>NC_000024.10:12893218-13502766 GCF_000001405.40 Homo sapiens
CAGCCCTTGTGACACCCCAATGTGAGGGGTATAGAAAACCACACTGGGAATGGAGGCTTGTTCAGGACCTCTGTCTCATTAACCAATTCATCCAGTGGTTCATAATCCTTATACATTGCTAATTCAAATTCCTGAGGGAACAAAATTTTTCACAGTACTAAACTTGAAAGATGCCTTTTTCTGCATACCATTGTACCCTGACTCCCAATACTTGTTTGTCTTCAAGGACCACCCCTCACAGACCACCCAGTTAACCGTGATGTTGCTGCCTCAGAGATTCTGAGGCAGCCCTCACTTGTTTGATTGTGCACTGTCATGAGACATCTCTGAGTTCTCTCATTCTTAAGTTAAAATTTTACAATGTGCTGATGACATTCTCCTTTTGCCTCAACTGAGGGGGCTTCTCAGGAAGGCACTTCACCTCTTCTTAATTTTCCAGCTGACAGAGGGTATAAAGTTTCAAAATCTAAGGCCCAGCTTTGTCAAACCTCAGTGAAATACCTAGGCTTTGTCTAGTCAGAGGGAATAAGAATGTTGGGTGAAGACAGGATTAAGCCCATTCCTTCTTTCCCCCTTCCCAAAACTCTCAAACAGCTAAGGGGATTTTTGGGTAATACAGGCTTTTTCAGATTGTGGATACCTGGGTATGGCAAAAATAGCTCACCATTTATATCACCTTATAAAAAAAACTCAAGCAGTTAAACTCATTCTTTGACCTGGGAACCTGAAGCCCAAAAAGCCTTTAACTATCTAAAGCAAGCTTTGCTTAAAGCACCTGTCCTATGTCTTCCCACAGGAAACACACTCAATCTTTATGTCTCAGAAAGAAAAAGACTAGCCTTGGAAGTTTTAACTCAGGCCTGAGGTCCAGCCCAGCAGCCAGTTGGTTACCAAGCAAGGAGCTTGACCTGGTGGCTAAAGGATGGCCAGCCTGCCTCTGAGCAGTTGCTGTGGGCGCTTTGTGCCAGAAGCCATCAAGTTAACCATGGGGAATAATTTGACTGTTTACACTCCACATAATATAGCAGGACTGATTATCTTTTAAAGAGAGTCTCTGACTAATAGACAAATTGCCTCCTCAAATATCAAGCTTTGCTGCTAGAAGGATCTGCCGTCCAGTTAAATAACTGACCTTGCCTAAACCCTGCCACCTTCCTCCCAGAGGAAACTAAAGAACCTGAACATGATTGTAAACAGATAGTGGTGCACACCTATGCAGTCAGAGAGAACCTCGGAGAAAGTCCCCTAGAAAACTCAGACTGGACTCTCTTTACAGACTGAAGTTCCTTTGCAGAACATGGCAGTGTATGCAGTAGTCACCTAGGATGACATTGTTGAAAGCATGCGTCTCTCACCGAGCACCAGTTCTCAACTAGCTGAGCTAGTCACTCTCACAAAATACTTGAATTAAGCCCTTAAGGAAAGTCAGTTAACATTTATACTGATTCTAAGTATGCTTTCCTGGGTCTTCATGCCCATGGTGCTATCTGGAAGAAAAAACACTTTCTCATGGCCAATGGATGTCCCAGTAAATACCTTAAGGAAATAGGTAGACTGTTATCTTCAGTTTTCTTTCCATGGGAAGTGACAGTTATACATTGCAGAGGACACCAGAAGGGGATTGATGACATGGCCAAGGGACAAAGACTAGCAGATCAAGCAGCCAAATCAGTGGCAAAAAGACCAAGAGGTCTGACACACTTGACACCCCTCTAATCTGGGATAGCTCCATAAGAAAAATAAGACCTCAGTATTCTCCTGCAAAGATAGAATGGGCCACCTTTCAAGGACACACTTTTTAGCCCTAAAAATACAAAAAATTAGCCAGGCGTGGTGGTGGGCACCTGTAGTCCCAGCTACTCGGGAGGCTGAGGCAGAGAATGGCGTGAACCCGGGAGGAGGCAGAGCTTGCAGTGAGCCGAGATTGCGCCACTGCACTCTAGCCTAGGTGACAGAGCCAGACTCCATCTTAAAAAAAAAAATCTCAATAGGCAGCTCCTCCCTCAAACCCTGAATTCAATGGATAGGGAGTTACTGCGGGAAAACCGACAGATAGACTTAACTCATATACCAAAGTAAAAGGCATTAAATATCTTTTAGTATGGCTAGATACATTTACTAACAGGGTGGAGGCATTTCCATGCCAAACAGAAAAGTCCTGTGAGGTGATGAGCATGCTAATTAATGAGATAACTTGATTTGGACTCCACAAGTAACTCTAAAGTGACAATGGCCCCTCATTCAAGGCAGTTGTTACTCAGAGGTTCTAAGTAACAAAACCACTGGGGCATACAATACCATCTACATTGGGCCTGGAGACCATAGACTTCAGGAAAAGTAGAAAAAACAAATAATGTCATTAAGAGGAACCTCAGAGAGCTGTCTCAAGAAACTCACCTCCCTTGGGTTACTCTTCTTCCCATGGCCTTATTACTGTGAGGAACATCCCTTCTAATTGGGTTTAAGCTCTTTTGAAATAATGTATGGTTGGCCTTTCCTTACCAATAATTTCCTATTAAACCAGTAAACTTGTAAATTGGGTAAACATATAACCTCTGTGGCCCACTTCCAGCAAGAATTAAAACAACTATCAGAAGCCCAAACCCAAGAAATAGGACTACCTTTATTCAACCCAGAAGACTTGGTAGTGGTGAAGGCTCTCCCCTCTTCTTCCTCCCCATTAGACTCCAGGGACCTTACATCATCTTCCTTTCTACCCCCTTGGTGGTGAAGGTTGTGGGACTCAATTCTTGGATTCATCACACTCAAGTCCTGGAATGCAGGAGGAGCAACCCCTGACAGTCCAGAAGAACATCCTGGATATCAAGGTAAAGAACTTGGGAACTTCAAACCGGATTACAAAAGATAAGTAAGTGATTGAGGACTACCTGTCTTCACTCTCACCTTTACCACATTTAACATATTCTTTCAGCTATTTCCACTTTTCATTTTGAGATCCACTGTCAGGTATCGCAGCTTCTTTTTGATGCATATTTACAGAGAAACTTTAATTTTCTGTGGGACTAAATTTGTGACTCATAGATGCCCATAGAGAAATCCAATATTTTGAGAAATAGAAGTTCAGGTGGAAACCATCTACTACTTCATAATTGCAGGAATTATCTTGTTTACTTTGCTTTTTGTGCTGGGGTTATACACTGTGGTACTTCCTGAGTGGACTATCAAACAGAAAGTCTCACTGCCGGAATATTTTATTTAGTTATCCTCCTTATTGCAGGGACAGTAGTAACAGATAAGAGGCAAATGTGAAGACTTTATTCCTATCAGCCTGTTAGAGGCAGCGACGCTTCTCATCCTTTGGCCCCTACAATGTCAGCCATTGCCCATATATACAACTAATTGCATGGCTTGCCCTAAATGATTTGCTTATTTTAATAACACTAAAACTAGGGGGCTTCATGATGATCCTGAACTCACCATCCTGGGGTTCCCTTTGATAGCTTTGCCCCTAAACATCAAGGACTTGTCAGATATAAATGGAACCTGGTATGCGAGCACCCCATACCAGTTAAAACTCCATGTGGGAAGACATATCTAAGACTCACATCCTTGTGAATCTTAGACCAGGCACACTTGACAGAATAATAACAAACACCTCCCTCTGCATTAAAGCAGAGGAAAAGGACTATACCTGGGGGGATCTCAAATATTGCAACATTACATTTACAATCTCTAAAAATGAGGAGGTCTGGAGGGTAAAAAGAGGAGAAAGCTAACCTAAAACACAAGATAAATTGCTGCAAAACCCTTAAAATCCTATCCATACCTCCTAACTGGAATTCCAAATCTGAGTGGAAGCCCCTGAATAACTCCTCTTACCACTATTATGTCACAATAATAAATAACACATGGTGCTTCTCAAACATGCCACCTCAGGGAATCCTGAACCTCTGTATATTATTTGATACTATTAATGACCTAATAATGACTAATAATGACACATCTGTTCATGGACAGGAAATGTCTAGACTGAGAGCCACTGCAGGAAGAATCAGCTGAGTTACTGGCCAGGACATATTATGTCCATAATCTTCCAAAACTCCATCTGTCAGAAGGATCCTTTCCACCTAGTGTGTAAATGGCACCATACATGACTATACTTTTTATGATTATCCCTATACCAAAGATGCTCCCATTAAATGTATGGGAAACCTCTTTATGAGGCCTGGGCAAAGACAAGCTGGATCTATTACACATTATAACCTAGAACCCTCTTTTCAAGCAACAGAGCTTTATTTTCTTCTTGGTTCCTGGTTATACCTAATCCTCCCTAGGTACTGGATGGGAATATGCACTATAGTGGCAGTGGTCCCTGACCTATTATTTTTAAACTCCTCCAACATGGCAACATCATCTGGTGGAATTCCTAATCTGGCATTCTAGAAAGTGCCCTATCTTGGGCACAGCAAACAAACAGATCTATCATTTCCATGCCATTGTACGGAGATCTAACTGAGAGAGGACTGGGGAGGACATGCACAGGACAATACTGAATTGAAAAGACCAGGAATGAGACATGTTAGAGCTAAAGGCCATTTTCATTTGCCAACATTCGTCTCCTTGAGAAATCAGGGCTTAATAGCTCTATTATGATGTGGTGAGGGTGGAAGGCAACAGTAGAACCCATAGAGGCATAACAACAATCCATAAACTCTCTAGCCTCAGTGGTAATGCAAAATAGGAGAGCCCTAGATGTTCTTACAGCTGAAGTAGGGGCACTTATGCACTCTTAAATAAAACATGTTGCTTTTGGATCAACACCTCTAATCAAGTGGAAGAAAATTTACAGGTGCTTAAGAATCAAATCAGAATCATTGCCATATTAAGAGAGAATGAGTGGGCTTTAGTCTGAGTTGGCTACAATCCCCTCTTGAAGGATCTCAATCTTCTTTTTGAACCTGATTAGCTCCTTTACTGGGATCTTTTTTTTTTTTTTAATGTCTTGCATTAATGTTTGGAGCCTGTATAGTCCATGCTGTAACCCAATTGTTTCCTCTTGGCTGAGGCTATTAAACTCCAAATGGTGGTGCAAATGGAACCCCACATGGACATGCATTCTTCCAAGGACCCTTGGACCAGCCCCAGGAAAAGCCCTAGCTTTTATTCCCCACACAATGCCCCTCTCCAGCAGGAAGTAGCTAGAAAGACCATCGCCCAACTTCCCTAATAGCAGTTAGGGTCTCCACTCCTGAGAGGGGAAATGAAGAAGAAAAGGAAGAATCAACTGGGTAAACTAAGACTAGTCATCAGAGAAGCTGCCTGCCTGAAAAATCACAGGTACTTGCAAAAATACAGCAGCCTGGGGTAAACTCAGGCTGCACCTGCACAGAGATAAGCAGACAAGGCAGGCAAGGTTCAGCATAGCAAACTTTTTGTTCTTTGAGTGATTAGTGGGTTCTCAGGAAGAAGTTTCCTCTTCTTTTCAGGCATATACGTGGAGAGCTCTACAGGAACTTGCACTGGCAGGAGAAGGACTTAACTAAAACAAACCCACAATTATATAAACAAGAAAAGCTGTGATTTGTGCTTACCTAAAGACATTTCACAGCTGAATAGATAGGGAGTTGTGCAGATGGCTTTATAGATAAGACCGGTTATTCAAACAGCTACAGTGGTGAGAAGAGTTTCATATAAAAGCTTTTGCACTCAACAGTAAAACTGCAATCCACTTGGGATCACTTCTGCACTGTGGAGAGCTTTCTACTTTTGCTTAGTAAACTTTCACTCCAACCTCACCCTTTGCATCCATGCTCCTTAATTTTCTCAGTTGTGAAACAAAAACCTAGGATAACATGCGAAACAATGATACCAGTAATTGGTTTCAGTTAAATAATGATAAATGGGCCAATTTTCTAAGAATTACTCAAGAACACTTAATATTACAGCTGTAATCCCAGCACTCTGGGAGACAAAGGTTGGCGAATCACTTGAGCCCAGAGGTTCGAGATCACCCTGGTCGATATGGTGAAACCCCATCTCTACTAAAAATACAAAAACTAATTAGGCATGGTGGCGGGTGTCTGTAATCCCAGCTATTCAGGAGGTTGAGGTAGGAGAATCACTTGAACTCAGGAGGCAGAGGTTGCAGTGAGCCAAGATTGCTCCACTGCACTTCAGCTTGGGCAACAGAGCGAGACTCAGTCTCAAAATAATAATAATAATAATAATAATAATAATAATAATAATAATAATAATTTCACACAATAGTGAGGAACAAAATTGGATGACTCACACTTTCTGGCTTCAAAGTTTGCTAGAAAGCTATAGGAATCATATTGTCTTGCTTAGCATACTAAGGAATAGTCACACAGATGAATGGAATAGAGGAGAGAGAGCTCAGAAATAGACCTACATAAGTATAGTCAATTCATCTTTGACATAGAAGCAAAGATAAAAAGAAAAAAGAAGATTCTCATTTCAACAAATGATAGTGAAACAATTGTCCATGAGAAAAAAAATCAAGACACAGACTTTATACCTTTTACAGAATTAACTCAAAATGAATCATAGACCTAATTATAAACCCAATAACTATAAAACTTATTAAAAAAGACATAGGAGACTGGGAGCAGTAGCTCAGGCTTGTAATCACAGGACTTTGGGGAGGCTGAGGTGGGAGGATTGCTTGAGCACTGGAGTTCAAGACCAGCCTGGGCAACATGGTGAAATCCCATCTCCACAAAAAAATACAAAAATTATCCAGGTGTGTTTCTGTACGCTTGTAACCCCAACCACCTGGAGGCTGAGGTAGGAGGATCATCTGAGCCCAGGAGATCAGGGCTGCAATGAACCATAGCTGTGTGTCTGCACTCAAGCCTTGGCAACAGAGTGAGGCCCTGTCTCAAAAAGAAAACAAAAACAAAAACAAAAATGACAAAGGAGAAAATCTAGGCGATCTTAGGTCTGCAATTAACTTTTATAAAACAGCAATACTGTGTGGTATTCAAATACAATTATATTTATTTGAAGTATACATACAATTCACCTAAAGTTTTAAGTTTAATAACTTTTGGTATACTATATAATTAAATATTAATACAGTATAAAGAATATATATTATTATTAACATAGTATACCAAAATTTATTAAATTACTAATTTAAATTGTAGTACACATATAAAATATAAATCTGCCATTGTAATAACTTTTTTTTTTTTTTTTTGAGACAGAGTCTCGCTCTGTCGCCCATGCTGGAGCGCAGTGCGAGCGTGTCGGCTCACTGCAACCATTGTCTCCTGGGTTCAAGCAATTCTCCTGCCTCAGCCTCCCCAGTAGCTGGGATTACAGGTGCCCACCACCAAGACCGGCTAATTTTTTTTTTTTTTGAGACGGAGTCTCTCTCTGTCGCCCAGGCTGGAGTGCAGTGGCGCGATCTCCGCTCACTGCAAGCTCCGCCTCCCGGGTTCACGCCATTCTCCCGCCTCAGCCTCCTGAGTAGCCGGGACTACAGGCGCCTGCCGCCACGCTCAGCTAATTTTTTGTATTTTTAGTAGAGATGGGGTTTCACCGTATTAGCCAGGATGGTCTCGATCTCCTGACCTCGTGATCCGCCCGCCTCGGTTTCCCAAAGTGCTGGGATTACAAGCTTAAGCCACCGCACCCGGCCCATGCCCGGCTAATTTTTAAATATTTTTAGTGGACATAGGTTTCACAATGTTGGTCAGGCTGGTCTCGAACTCCTGACCTCATGTGATCTGTCCGCCTCAGCCTCCCAAAGTGCTGGGATTACAGGAGTGAGCCACCGCACCCGGCCGTTGTAATAACTTCTAAGTGTGCAGTTTAGTGGCATTAATTACAGGCATAATGTTGTGTAACTGTCACCACTATCACTTTTCAAAACTTTTTGTATCACCCTAATCAGAAACTCTGTAACTAGTAAGCAATAACTCTCTATTACCTTCTCATCTCAGACCCTGGCAAATCTCTAATCTACTTTCTGTCTTTATTAATTTGCACATTCTAGATATTTTATGTGAGAATCAAATGCTATTGCTCCTTTTGTCATGTAGCTCAGGCTGATCTCGAACTCACCAAGCACCTAAGCTTCCCACAGTGCTAAGATTACTGTCATGAGCCACTGTGCCCCACCAGAAATTACTTTTACTCTACCTTTTGTTATGATCTTTTTTCAGCATGATTTTGTTTACCTAAGCACATTATTTATTTTCATCATTTCAGTTTATCCCAGTAATATCAATAATAATGATTACTATTATTTCAGCTTCTTACATATCTCAATATTACATGGATAGTAAGAGACTTGGAACCACAGAGTAGTGAAAAAAGACAAATATAATACAATATAGGAAAATATAGAGTAGGAATGATTACTTAATAAAAGTCATTTGAGGTGCTGTGAAAGTTTGTTCACTTACCTACCTAAGTATGTAACTTTAGCTTTTTTAGCCTGTATACATTCTAAGACAAAAGTTTATCTTTTTTCTTCCTAATTTGATACTTGTGTCATAATATACTAATTAACAAACCACACTAGCTGTTTGGACTTGAGTAGTTGTAGAATAACTGAAAATAGGAAACTGCTATATATATATGTATGTATAATATATATAACCTTTTTTCAGGTACTCCTATTGCAATACCTGCATTTCAGCACTATTCAAAAGTAAAATAAGTCCCAGAGCCAGGTTAGTCATTATGTCCTATTTATTGCTAATTTTCATATACAAATGAGAGCTGTCAGAATTCACAGCTTCTGAATATCAGAAGCTCATGTTTTCCCTGGTCTATACAAAAAGGAAATAAGTGAGGCCAAAAATGTACTTTAACAGTGCTCCATAATACGAATCTCATAAATGAGCTGGAATAGACCCTGAGGTCTTCAAGCCTAGTTTCTCAAGATCGTATTTTGTAAACTTGTGCTAGCAGTTTTGAATATCACAATGATTGGCATGGGCTGCTGACATTTTAGCAGGCAGGGCTCAGGGTGTTAGATGTCCTGTAATTCAGGGACATTCACAGTAGAAAATACTTTGGTTAGGATTTAAACCTACAAAATTGCTTTAAACATAAACTCAAAAGTATTCTTAGGCTGGTTGCAGTGGCTTGTGTCTGCAATCCCAGCACTTTGGGAGGCCAAAGCAGGCAGATCCCTTGAGCTCAGGAGTTTGAGCCCAGCTTGGGCAAAATGACAAAACCCCTTCTCAGTTAAAAAAAAAAAATTAGCCTGGCATGGTGGGTGGTGTGCAACTGCGGTCCCAGCTACCGGGAGGCTAAGGTGAATTACCTGAACCTGGGAGGTGGATGCTGCAGTGAGCCAAGATCCCACCACTGCACTCCAGCCTGGATGAGGAAGTGAGATCCTGTCACAAAAACAAAAACAAACAAACAAACAAACCAAAAGGATTTTTGAATACTTTAAACATACAGGGAGTGTTTTTTTTCCCCCCGAGAAGGCAACGACTGTATAAATTTATATTGTTTTTACCATTTTAGAAATACTACCGTTTGCAACCCTGTTCATAATACAGTGAGTTGTGAATACATTCTGTTTGTATTTGCAGCTAAATTAGGCAACCACTTGTGTATTTGTCAGTGTAGCAGTGGCGGTCATTTACATGCCAAAATACATATTTTATTATAAATATTCTTTTAATTATATAATAATTAGGTTTGTTAGGGGCCAGAGGGGTGTCATTGTGCATCATTTGAGTTTATTTCTTTGGGAGGCAAAGAGAGAGGAAAGGAAGGTCAAAAATGGAGAAGGCCAATAAATTTATTTTATATCACGTGTGAATTTAACTTGAGAATGGTAAAGGTGTCGACACAAAATATGTTATAAAAAAGGAAATCTAGTTGACAACTTTAACTTGCCAAAGCAGTAAACCAACTTCACTCTGGGAACACTGAATAGAAAGTGTATGTTCCAATCACTTTGAATGTTTTAATTTTAAATTCGGAAAAGCAGAAATATTTGTGATAATGTTTTGAGAATGGAGGTATTTGAATTTTAGCACTAGGAAACCCTTTGAAGGACGGTGTAAAATCTGGATATTTAATCTGGTTTCGCTGAGAGTTCAGAGGGAAGAAGTGTTTGTAAAACCACGTATATGGCTATTAGTTAAAGCCAGGAATCTAGTACTAAGCTTTTTTTTTTTTTTTTTTTTTTTTTCCTGCCTGTCTGCTGAATCTGGACTAGAGGGAGGACTGAGAATTTGGCCAAAAAAAGTAACTCCTTCTAGGGCAAAAGACTATTTCCCACCCACTGCAGCGCCTGTAAGTTGTTACGAACGTAGGACAACTTTGGTGTAGTGGTTCCTTCAGTAGGCCGATCCCCCTCAACCCTCATTCTTTTGGGCAACCAAAAGAGTCTTTCACAATCCCATGGCTAGGCTGGCTTTGGGGACGTAGTATAGCACTGGTTAACCTAGGTTGCAGGGTGCCCAGAAAAACAAGGGACCTATGCCAGTGTGCGTTAAGGGCCTAGGTCCCCCGGTAGGTGTGTTATCACCAGGGTCATTCAGTATATAATTGTTTCATTGTTTCGTGAAAACAAGGGACCTATGCCAGGGTGCGTTAAGGGCCTAGGCCTAGGTCCCCTTGTAGGTGTGTTATAATCAACGTCATTCAGTATGTAATTGTTTCATTGTTTCTTCATCACTATGCCAGGGTGCGTTAAGGGCCTAGGCCTAGGTCCCCTGGTAGGTGTGTTATCATCAACGTCATTCAGTATGTAATTGTTTCATTGTTTCTTCATCACTATGCCAGGGTGCGTTAAGGGCCTAGGCCTAGGTCCCCTGGTAGGTGTGTTATCATCAACGTCATTCAGTATGTAATTGTTTCATTGTTTCTTCATCCTGTGATGCTAAAGCCGTATGCTCATAAAGCGCAGGCACACCGGTAGAAAAACTAGAGGGGTCTGGAGTTCCTAGGTGAACCCCAGCAGCCTAACCCTGTCAAGTCTGTCGAGCCTCTGGCTGGTCACACGTGCTGCGGAATCCACTCAGCTTTCCTCAGGTGCAGTCAGGTCCATCCTGCAGAGGGACCTTCTGCGGACCTGTTCTTTCACCTCCCTAACCTGAAGATTGTATTCAAACCACCGTGGATCGCTCACGTAAAATGGTCACTGCGCCTAACACCTGGGATCCCGTAACCCTTATCTATCTTGGCTTCAGAGAGTTTTTTGACTAGTTCCAACTTTGCTGAAGCTTGTCAAAGGTAGGTGACGGCTAGTTGGAACGGAAAAATTTTACGAAACTTCCTATTCTCAGAAGTAAAAGGGAAGAGAGAGTGCTTAAGGAAGAAGGGAAGTTGAGGGTGGGTAAGGAGGGAGCGGGAGTTAGTGGTAGATTGTCACTGTGTTTAAGATTTCCCCAAGGCGAAAAAGGCGAAAGATATCTTGCTAGATCCCTAGAATTCGAAGGCATTAGGAGAGGGCGGGGATAGCAAACATCGCGCGAATTTTGAGAGGCGCTGGGACTACGTAATCCCGCGATCTTATGACTAAACGAACGCGATTTAGGGAGAAGTAACGGTAGCGATAAAGGGATTGGGTGGTGGTGGTGGAGGGGTGGAGCCAACGATTACGCACGTTGTGCGTGCTGTCGTATAGCTGTGGGAGGGGCCATATTACCGCGTAGGCTAACCAGTGCGCTTAATAGCTGTAGGTCCAGTGTAAGAGTTCCGCTATTCGGTCTCACACCTACAGTGGACTACCCGATTTTTCGCTTCTCTTCAGGGATGAGTCATGTGGTGGTGAAAAATGACCCTGAACTGGACCAGCAGGTGAGTCAAAGTAAGCCTACCGAGGCTTTCTACGGGACCCTTTACTTGGCCTGACGGTTTGTGGCGCACTGTTAATTGGTTTTTCAGTTTCACTTCTGGTGGGTTCGTGTGTTATGTGACTGGGACTCTAGGGAAATGGGGAGAGAAACTGCATGAGACCATGACAAGACCACGTACGGAAGGGATCGTGCGATGGCAGTAACGTTAATGGTAGTGGTTACGCTGGTATTCTGGTATAGTACTGGGCCTCACGCAATGGCGGCTTTTGTGTTTGCTTGTCCCGTGGAGACGCGCATGTGCGACCACGAACCCGTTTGTGAGGGGGCGGGGGAGGGAGGCGGTTCGCAAAAGCGGACCGTTTTTATGTCCAGGGTGAGGCTCTTATCTGGCGCCCCTGACGTATTCGCAGTAGTGTCATTGTTAAGAAGAAAGTGTATTCAGGCCACCCAGTTTGTGTAGCGAGAAGAAAGAGTAGTATGGTCTTTGCTCGGGCAAATGGCCAGAGTCTTTGTGTATACAATTGTGTGACTTGGCAGCGCTGTGTTCCTTGAGCAGAGGGGCCAGGCCTGTGGAATTCTTGAAGACGAGTGACTATAATATAGCACAACGTAACAAGTATCCTGTATCTTGTTTCTGGTGGGGTCCCGTAGCCACGGAGCAACCGTTGCCCGGGTGCTGAGCGTGCCGAAACTGGGCTTCCGGTATGGAAAGTTTTGTGACGCAGAAGGACCGGAAAGGGATGGTGGGGAGGGTAGGGAAGGATGGCTGCCGCGTGCTTCTCTTGACCCTGTAGAAATAATGGAAATTGGACGCCCGCGGAAAGACACCTGGAAGGTTAGAGATCCAGCATTGCGCTACACCCCTTTGTTAATTCAGTCACTGGACAGCCGCCTAGCCGAGAGCTGTGCGGTTTTTATATGGTATTGTATCTTTACTTTAGGCGATACATGCAGAAGTCGTCCGGTAGAAAACTAACCTCGAATGTTGATTAGCGGGACAGGTTATTTGTGGTTTACTTTCTTGTTATCGCCGAAGGATTGTTGATATAGGTTTAACTGTGTTTCCATTAAGGGCAGATCCTTTGGAAGTTTGGGCGATGAGGCAGAAGATAGGTGGTCTACGTGTTAGATCAGGCTCGTTTTCTGTGTCAGGAACCTACCGCGCTTTTGCATTTGGCACACCAGTCGTTTGCAAGCTTATCCCTGCATTTCTGCCTCCCAAGTCTAGGGGAGAGAATGAATAAAGAGCATACATTTTTTTTTTAACCAAAAAATACCGTCGGAACTTCTTAGTTGTAATTAAAGCTTAGTGATGCTAAATGATTTTAAATTTTGCTGTTAGGTGTCGTTTGAGGGATTTAATGGTCTGCCTTTGAAGGTTATTTTTCCACTGACGACGTATTAACGCCTGCAGTTTACTGAGACTTGACGTGTTAAATAGACCACAGAAATAGAAAATTAAGAGCCTGGGCAATACGCATTTATGTTTTCTATGTAATTGGCATCCCTTTAACTCTTGATAAACCGTGCTGTCTAGTTCACTAGAATTAAGTAGTAAATTCAGATGGCAAGATTTTTAAGTACAGTAGTATCTTAATTGATGATTCATGTAATGTGATAGTATCTTGAACTTATATATGTAAGCTTTCTACGGCATAGAAAGTTTGTGCAAAAAGGTGACCAAGGTGCTCTTGGCATTGGTCTTAACGTGTTTTTTGAAAAAAATCTATTTTAACGTACATGGTTTTTTCCCCCACCCCCGCCACCGCTTCAGAGTTGTTCTAGGTAAGGTATTATGCTGAAAGCCCTTAAAGCGAAATAACCTTTTTTCTAGTTTTAAAATCCATCAGTATAAGGAGGCATGAATTGAGATTGGATATGTCATTTTAGAAACATTAAATACGAGATGTGTTGCTTTTTAACTTCGCAACCAAAGACCTCCGAATTTGATGTTTAGAATGGGAGAAATAAATGCTACCATCTCCATAAAGTATCGAACATTAAGTGACAGCTGTGTAAAGCCGCGTAGTACTCAAAACATAGTGAAGTTTTTTTTTTTTTTTGAGCTTTTGATGTTTAGGAATTTATCTGCATTAAAAATAGTTGTACCGTCTTCAGGGCAAAGATAAATTAAGGAATCTTCAAATGATTTTAATGTCCATTTATTTTTAGGGTTAGAATATCAAGAAAACCACTGTCATTGGGAACATTTCACTATCATGACTGTAGCTAAATTGGATGTTGAAGTTACTGAGAAATTGATGGTAAATTTTTTTAGTTAGGAAAGTTTTCACTTCGGAAAATTGTTAAGGAAAATTTGTTTTGAATTAATGAATTTGAACTCATTACTGTGAAACTGCTGGTATTCAGCTGATGCCATTTGCATTTGTCATGGTTGGTAGACCTGGACATCTTTAAAATTTGGCAGGTAATACCAGGCCGACATGGCAGCTAAGTTTGTGGTACAGGATAAGATTGGAATCTAGGTCTCATTTGTCTTTTGTGATGTTATCTGTTCTTGTGTATCAGCATGTGAGCTATTGATATCTCTTCTAGCTTGCTAATCTGGACCTGAACTCTGAAAAACAGAGTGGAGGAGCAAGTACAGCGAGCAGTAAGTAAAACTTTTTTTAAAAATGGAGTGTTTATCAGAGCTTAATGTTAATGTCTTACTGGACTTGTTAATTTTAAATTTACATTTTTTTCTTTACAACTTGACTATATGAAAATATGAGATATTTTGGTGTGTCTGGGTAATAAAATACACTGTTTACCTATGTCTGCTGAAAATACAAAAAATTATCCTGGCGCTGTGGTACGTGCTTGTAGTCCCAGCTACTCATGAGGCTGAGATGGGAGAATTTGCTTAAGCCTGGGAGGCTGGAAGCTTCAGTGAGCTGAGATCAGGCCACTGCACTCCAGCATGGGCTACAGAGACCTTGACTCAAAAAACAAAACAAAAAACCAAGAACCTTAATGTAATACACATTATTTTTAGAAAAGCAGTGCCATTCATTTCTGGCCCAGCATGGGATATAAGCCCATCCTTGTGAATTGACCTGCATTGTGTTAAACCTAATGAAAGAACTTTAACCTGTGCATTTATGTGCTACACCTACTGCTGTTGCCGACGAAGAACCTAACATTCAGTGATAAAACCAAGCTCATCTGATTTTAAGGTGATGAGTTAGCTATATTCCTGTGAAAGGAAATTAGTTATAAAGACATTCTTTTGAAATACTTGGTCTTGTTTGGTTTTGGAAGATTGGGTGAGGTTAGTATTTGGATAGGAGAGTAAGGCTGGTGGTTATTCAGTAGTATCCCTGGTTTGAGTCCAGGTTTCTTACTGTTGTTCAACAAGGAAAGTAGTTGGTATGCTTTGAAACAAAACAAAACAGAACACTTTTAAGTTTTATAAATTTATTTCAAACTTTGTCGTTATATGAACATTACAGATATTTAAATGGTAGAGACATTTTTGGATATTTAGTTAAATCCAAAAGTAGGAGGTTTAGTTCAAATTTGGATTTTTGAGTTACAAAATCAGGTAGTTAAGTACTGTCTACTTCATAAGTTCTTTTACTTCTTAATCATAGACTGGCCTGTTGATTTAACTGAAAACACTTGATTTGTTTTCCAGATCATTTTCACTTTCCAACTTTTCATGTGTTTTTATGGTATCACTTTAATCTACCAGTACAGAATTTTTTTTCTTTTTTTGAGACGGAGTCTCGCTCTGTCGCCCAGGCTGGAGTGCAGTGGCGCGATCTCGGCTCACCCCAAGCTCCCCCTCCCAGGTTCATGCCATTCTCCTGCCTCAGCCTCCTGAGTAGCTGGGACTGCAGGTGCCGGCCACCATGCCCGGCTAATTTTTTCTATTTTTTTTTAGTAGAGACAGGGTTTCACCTTGTTAGCCAGGATGGTCTCGATCTCCTGACCTCGTGATCTGCCCGCCTTGGCCTCCCAAAGTGCTGGGATTACAGGCGTGAGCCACCGTGACCAGCCCAGTACAGATTTTTTAAAAGCCTCTTACTGGTTAGTTAATTTAGTATAGCACATAAGAGTCTTTTTTCCCTAGTAGGCTTTTATACTGGGGTAATTACCATGTTTAATGGTCAGTGTTGATTCATGAAGCAGTTATTGGAAATAGATCCTTTTAAAAGATAATTGTTAGATAACCACTACTAGCTACTGAAATATTTGTGGTTTGCAATGTATTTTAGAGTAAGCATTTTTTCCGCTCATCTTGCAAAGTAGTTTATTGTATAAAATACAGGTTTTAAAAGTTTGTTTTCCAGGACCTATTTTTTAATAGACATTTTCTAAAAGCAGTATCTTGGCGATGTTATAGGCTTCTAATTTTACATTTTCTCTTTTAGAAGGGCGCTATATACCTCCTCACTTAAGGAACAGAGAAGCATCTAAAGGTACGTCTTTAAGGCAACTTTGTAGACCTAACCTTTAGCAGCTAATCAAAGCCTAGGGAAGAAAGTAACTTTAGGAGGTCTATAAATGTTTTTTGTCCCCTCCTGTGCCTCTTTCAGACTGTCTTTAAGAACTAGCACTTTCTGTTTTTGGAACAGTTTGTATAATGTTGAATGATGGATAGTTGTTTCCTTTGGCAAACTGAGCCCAAAGAATCTGAGTTTTGTATAGTGGTTTATCTGTTTGTAAACATTTATGTTTTGAAATTTGAAACCAGTGTATTTGTGGAAATGCCTTACGTAAAAGAAACTGTGTAGTGATAAAGACCTGCTTGCTGCTGTCTGGAAAAGTTAGCACAGCAAAAGTGGGTTTTTTTTTTTTTAGACTAGTTAACAGTTGTTAAGATTACCACTTTTGGCCACATCCAATAAGCTGGTGAGATTGTCTGGTTTCAGCCTAAACAACTTCATTTGAAAGGTGTTGCATGAAATGCCTTAAAACACTTAGGATGGTTTACTATTAAATTTGTAATTTAGAAAAGTTTAATTGGGGTGATGTTTTGAGTGCTGCATATACATCAAAAAAATTCTAGGAGAAGGAAAGGTCAGGAAAAGTATTTAAAACCAAAAGGAAAGAAGGTAATGATAAAGGGGTGTGGAGTGGGTTTGTATTTCTATGTTTAGTCTGTAGCCTCTTTAGGTCTGTTTATCAGAAGACCACTTAGCTAATGATTGTATTATTTTTTCAGAATAACTGGAGAATTGTTATTCTGAAAAAATATTGCATCTGGCTGGAATTGCATCAAAGGTTTATTAACTGCCTTAAGGAGAGTTGGCAATATTTTAGTATTTGAGGGGATGGAAGAGACCTTAAACATCTAACTTCCTAAATCTGGGAAGTACAATCGATTTAGTACAATAGATCTAGATTTAGGAAGTACAATTATTCATTTGTCTAATATTGGAGATTTAAAAGCAGGGGAAAATAACTTTATTAACTTGTAACTTTAAACATTCATTGAAATGTTTGAATTTAGGTAAGTGTGTGGTTGTGAAGTGAGTTTACTCTTGTCATTTTTTTTTTATCAGTTTGTAGACATGGAAAGTAGGCAACAATGAGGGTTTTTTTGTTTTAACACAAGTATACCTTATTCTTAACGAGCATATTAAGATTACATAGTTACTTTTGGACTTTTAGAATTTGAGGCTATTTTAGAGGTCTGGTAGAGCAAAGTAGACAACATGGAAATTCCTTGTTTTGTATTGACTACTTCCATTTAGCTGATCTGTTTCTTTTTGGTGTTACTAGACAAAGCTAGATTTTAAAAGATGAATTAAGATGCTCAGCTAACTAGTCCTGTTTATAGTATTGTTGATAGATAGCAAGTTGACTTCTCCAGGTTCTTCATTGAATGAGTCCTTGTTTACTATGATGCTTGCTACATACAGTTGCTACATACTACTATGTATGAGTAGTTTTTGGTCATAAACTGCATAGAGTTGGAGCTGTTTTTTTTTTTTTTTGAGACGGAGTCTTGCTGTGTTGTCCAGGCTGGAGTACAGTGGCGCGATCTCAGCTCACTGCAAGCTCCACCTCTTGGGTTCATGCCATTCTCCTGCCTCAGGCTCCTGAGTAGCTGGGACTACATAGGTGCCCGCCACCATGCCCAGCTAATTTTTTTGTATTTTTAGTAGAGACGGGGTTTCACCGTGTTAGCCAGGATGGTCTTGATCTCCTGACCTTGTGATCTGCCTGCCTTAGCCTCCCAAAGTGCTGGGATTACAGGTGTGAGCCATCCCTGTTTTAATCCATCTGACATATTTCTTCTGATTATGTAGCTCTCTTAGTTCAAGCTTTTCTGTAGGTAACCCACAGTCCCTGAGGTAATCTTTTACTTAGCTGGGCCTTCCCAAAATGTGTATTATATATAGCATATGTTAAATGTTTAGGTTTAACACCTTTTGTATTATTCAGGATTTGTCAAGGATGGGACATAACTAAGAAACTAACAATGGGCTTGCACTAGCTACAAGTTCAGCTTAAAAATTGGGAACTTGGAATCCCTCTTAGTCATAGCTTAAAAAAAGACTCATCTTAAATAATTTAATTGGAGTAGGTTTATATTTTGGATATGTAACATTTACACTTAAAAAATGAATGAAAAAAATTGTTACGATAGTATAGTATTAATAGCATAGCTATGTTACATGCAAGCTACCTTGTTCTCAGGTCATGAGATTACTTTGCTTCATATAATAATCTCTGGTGGAAGAAAACATTAAAGCTTTTAACAATTCTGCTTATGGGACTTGTAGACCATTGGTCCCATAAAGATAACATAAAGGAAGACTACATGTGAAGGACTTCATATTTTGAAAGATGCAAATTATTCAAAAGTCTTGTCACCTTCTGATTTTTGCTTTTTTATTGAAGGATTCCATGATAAAGACAGTTCAGGTTGGAGTTGCAGCAAAGATAAGGATGCATATAGCAGTTTTGGGTCTCGAGATTCTAGAGGAAAGCCTGGTTATTTCAGTGAACGTGGAAGTGGATCAAGGGGAAGGTAAATCTCAGCTTGTGTTTGTATACAGTAGAAATTTAGAAATTTTAATTTGGTAGGTTCTCATTCTTCATACTTTCAGTGGTCAAGCATATCTTTAACAGATTACTAATGGATTTAAAGCAGAATGTTGGTTTACTCATTGTTTTGTTAGCAGTAAGAGGTCTTTATTAATTTATTAAATTAGATGAATATGGTATTTGACACAGTGAAATCTGTTTCAACTTAAATGATACTTAAAGCCTGTCTGTGACAGCTTTAAACACTTCATTTTTGATGTGTGTTATAAGTTGATCTTAAAAACCTAATGGCTGTATTTAATCCTTTCTGTTTTTCACAAATAGGAGTAAAACTCTAAAAATATTCTCTTGTCACATGTCTACTTTCATATAAAGGAGAAATTCAAGTGTTATTCCTGCTTTCCTACTAGTAAATATATTTAGATGATACTATTTTAAATGAAGATGTAAAGTACGTAACTAGTTATAAGTATCTAAAAACCTAATTCTTAGCATGTGAGGTCTAAGCTGTGTGATTTTATAAAAATTTTTATAATTTTCTTAAAAATGAAGACATAAATTACATTTTAAGTACTGGTTAATTAGAGGGCCTTACTTCACATGAGAAACGAATATTGAATTGCCAGTATCTTCGAAGGGTGGTTGTGTTCAGTAATTCAACTGATACCCAAGTACGTTTCTAGAGCGATGATAATCTAACATGGGCTAAATCGTGTACTTCTGATTGCTTGTGCTATTCAGATTTGATGATCGTGGACGGAGTGACTATGATGGTATTGGCAATCGTGAAAGACCTGGCTTTGGCAGATTTGAACGGAGTGGACATAGTCGTTGGTGTGACAAGTCAGTTGAAGATGATTGGTCAAAACCACTTCCACCAAGTGAACGCTTGGAGCAGTAAGTTTTTGAAATGTATGTTAATTGTTATGAAATTTATTGCTTAGTATAACATGTATGTAATAATTGTTTGATTTCAGAGAACTGTTTTCTGGAGGAAACACGGGGATTAACTTTGAGAAATATGATGATATACCAGTAGAGGCAACCGGCAGTAACTGTCCTCCACATATTGAGAATGTAAGTTTTTTGTTTGACTCTTAAAGTTATTAATGCAAACCCATTGGATTATGAAAAAAAAATTAATGTCATTGTTAAGAATAATCCTGGAATTAAAAATTTACCAAACTTATGAAGCATCCATTATTTTTATTTATTTATTTTTTTGAGACAGATTCTGTTCTGTCACGCAGGCTGGAGTGCAGTGGCATGATCTGAGCTCACTGCATCCTCCTTCCTGGGTTCAGGCCATTCTCCCACCTCAACCTCTTAAGTAGCTGGGACTACAGGTGCACACCACCACACCCAGCTCATTTTTGTACTTTTAGTAGAGACAGGGTTTCGCCATGTTGGCCAGGCTGGTCTCAAATTCCTGATCTCAAGTGATCTTCATGCCTTAGCCTCCCAGAGTGCTGGGACTACAGGCATCAGCCACCATACCTGGCCTCCAAAAACTTTTTTCAATGTAGATTAAACCCAGGCATTTTCTTAAAAAATGCCATGAATCTTTTACTGAAATCATAGCATCTGTAAACTAAATCAGACAGTTTAGTTGGTTACTTCCATTAATATGTTAGTATAAAACAGAAATTGCGACAGATACAGCATTTTATATCTGCTATGTTTACTTCTGTATTTACTTGTATTTGATTAACCTGGTTAAATTTCTTGGCAGTTTAGCGATATTGACATGGGAGAAATTATCATGGGGAACATTGAACTTACTCGCTATACTCGTCCTACTCCAGTGCAAAAACATGCCATTCCTATTATTAAGGGAAAAAGAGACTTAATGGCTTGTGCCCAAACAGGTAAGCTTACTCAATACAAAGTGAAAGTTAAGAATACCTGATCAGACTTACTTTAAAAGTAGTATGTTCTGAAGGGGATGTCTGAATCCTGTGTTTAGCATTTGAGGTAGGTAAAGATTAGCTGAGGATGTGTCTTTTTGTGTATACCTTTGGATCCTTGGGATGAAACTAATATTTTTATCTGGACATCTTGAGGAAGCTTATGGCAAAATCTTCTTTAAGAAATAGAACTGCGTATTTTACAGTTAACTCCACGGGAGTTAGCAAACTGCAGCCTTTAGGTCAAACCTAGCTCTTGTTTATTTTTCAATAGCTGTATTGAAATATAGCCATACCCATTGGTTACGTCTATAGCTGTAGAGGTTAGCCAGAGATGTGGCAGAGAGACTGGCCTGCAAGAGCCATGTGGCTCTTTACAGAAAGTTCACTGACCCCTGTTTTACCTTCTAACAGTATGTAGTGATTACAAAGAAATGTTGAACTGAAAGTTGATGCCACTTTTCAGAAAAATGGTTGTGTTTTGTACAAATTGAAATACATTGTTTAAAAATAAAGCACAGTACTCACTTTAGGTTTGCCATATAAATTTACTGTAACTTCCTAGAAAATTGGAAATAAAGTAAGAAAAATTTTCTTACAATTCAAGGGCATTTAGAACCCTTTGTCATCTGTTAATATTCAGAAATGATAAGCCAGTGTTTTGTTTTCAGGATCTGGGAAAACTGCAGCATTTCTTTTACCCATACTGAGTCAGATATATACAGATGGTCCAGGAGAAGCTTTGAAGGCTGTGAAGGTAAAGGTTTTGTTATAAAATCAGACATTTTTGTTTTAAAAAGCTTTGCAAAGCCCTGTTGACTTTTCTAACGGATGCCAGATACACCTTATTTTCATTTTTTTTTTTTTACCCCTTTCACCCACTGAAAATAAGTTTGTAGATGTAATCTGCAAATTATAAAGAGAAAGTGATGAATTTTTAAAAACAATTGAAGTTTTGGGTTATGAATTTAAAATTATATTTATGTTTTAGGAAAATGGAAGGTATGGGCGCCGCAAACAATATCCAATATCCTTGGTTTTAGCCCCAACAAGAGAATTGGCTGTACAGATCTATGAGGAAGCCAGAAAAGTAAAATATTCATTTTAGTGATTATTGCTTTTCTTATTTGTCAAATGATGTTGTTATAGTCACTGACATGTTCTTTGCTTAAAGTTTTCCTACCGATCTAGAGTTCGTCCTTGTGTAGTTTATGGTGGTGCTGATATTGGTCAGCAGATTCGGGACTTAGAACGTGGATGCCACTTGTTAGTAGCCACTCCAGGACGTCTAGTGGATATGATGGAAAGAGGAAAGATTGGATTAGACTTCTGCAAGTATGTCAGTTTTTATATATGGGGTGCATCTATTTCTGTATTAAAAGTTGATTACTTTTGTTGTATTTTACTAGTACTGCTTTAACTTCAATAATTTAATTTTCTACATAGTTTTGAAAATTGCAGTTAACGTTTTTGTAAAGAGTAAGTGAAATTTTATTTGAGGCTCTGAGCTTCATTTTAACAATCAACATGGGTAATTCGGTTGTTACCTTGAGCATTTCATCTCATGATTTTGTGTGTGTTTGTGTGTGTATGCATTTGTTGAGTATATGTCAAATTGTGACACTGCAATAGTTACTACTTGAGTTACTATATTAGTGCAATTAATTACACAACTATATATAGTAATTAGTTTCTCAGATCTAATAATCCAGTATCAACTGAGGGTTTTCGTAATAGGTACTTAGTGTTGGATGAAGCTGATAGGATGCTGGATATGGGATTTGAACCTCAGATACGTCGTATAGTTGAACAAGATACTATGCCACCAAAGGGCGTTCGTCACACCATGATGTTTAGTGCTACTTTTCCTAAGGAAATACAGGTACTGTTTGACGTTTGAACTTTCATTCAGAACATTTGTGTTTATTCATTATCTTCAGATAATTTATGTATTAAAATAGGTAATTGAGTATTTTTCTCACTGTTTCAGATGCTTGCTCGTGACTTTTTGGATGAATATATCTTTTTGGCTGTAGGCAGAGTAGGCTCTACCTCTGAGAACATCACACAGAAAGTAGTTTGGGTGGAAGACTTAGATAAACGGTCATTTCTACTGGACATTTTAGGTGCAACAGGTAAATTATGAATAAGAATAGTGTCAGTTACATGTAAAGATAATCTCTTTACATATCTTCTGGCCTTTCCTGTCTTTCTAAACATGGCTAAAACAATGCTTACATTAATTGGCTCTGTTTGCATGCATCCAAGATGTATTTTAGCACAAGGACTAGAATTAAGCCAGTTAATAATTTAGATTAAGTAGTGATGCTAATTCACTGTGAGTAAACAAAGCCTTATAATTTTTCAGGGAGTGATTCACTTACTTTAGTGTTTGTGGAGACCAAAAAGGGAGCAGATTCCCTGGAGGATTTCTTATACCATGAAGGATATGCTTGTACTAGTATTCATGGAGACCGGTCACAGAGAGATCGAGAGGAGGCCCTTCACCAGTTTCGCTCAGGAAAAAGCCCAATTCTAGTGGCTACAGCTGTATGTATATTTTATTTTTTAATTTATCATGTGTGGATAGTGCTTTTTTTTTTTAAAAGAAGTTAATTTTTCAGGTGGCAGCACGAGGACTAGACATTTCAAATGTGAGACATGTTATCAATTTTGATTTGCCAAGTGATATTGAAGAATATGTGCATCGTATTGGCCGTACAGGACGTGTAGGAAACCTGGGTAAGGGGTTTGTTAGTTCATTTTTTTTTAATTGTGATGCATACAGCCAGGATTTGACACAGAATCTTAAAAATAGAATGTTTATTTTTGAGGTAAAATTTCATATCAGATTAATCAGCCAAGTAAAAGTTTTTCTTTCAGTATCTTTGATTTGGTTATATTACAAATTACAATGTCGTATTTTAGTTTCTTTCTTACTATATTTTATACAGGAATATAAGAATACTCCACTACTTTATGGAAACTTCATGTACTTTTTTTGAACACTTTAGGCCTTGCCACCTCATTCTTTAATGAAAAAAATATGAATATTACAAAGGATTTGTTGGATCTTCTTGTAGAAGCTAAACAAGAAGTGCCTTCTTGGTTGGAAAATATGGCTTATGAACACCACTACAAGGGTGGCAGTCGTGGACGATCTAAAAGGTACACACTGTTTCGAGCCTTCACTCTTGTTATTGCTTACTAGGGGCAAGAAGCTTTCAGAGTTAACTTAAAAGTGTTAAACAGTTATTTTCAACAATAATAAACATTTTGGGCAAGGGATGATTATTAGAGAGGGTGACAAGGAATTAAGTGTTAGGTCCTTACTCCTGAGTCCTTTAGAAACACTGTTAGAACACATTGGGACATTAATGGGATGGTTCCCATTGGAACATAATGGAATTGAACTGAAAAATCAAATTGGGAATTGCAGGGTTTAAGCAGTAATTTTCAGTTTAATTGAACTTTGTACTTAACACTGCCATGCCATATTTTTGCTTACAGTAATAGATTCAGTGGAGGATTTGGTGCCAGAGACTATCGACAAAGTAGTGGTTCCAGCAGTTCTGGCTTTGGTGCTAGTCGCGGAAGCAGCAGCCGCAGTGGTGGAGGTGGTTACGGCAACAGCAGAGGATTTGGTGGAGGTAATGTTAATTTTTCTTTTAGGAAGGGCTTTTTGTTTTTCTTTTTTTTTTTTTTTTGAGATGGAGTCCCACTCTGTCACTCAAGCTGGAGTGCAGTGGCCTGATCTCGGCTCACTGGAAGTGACTCTCCTGCCTCAGCCTCCTAAGTAGGTGGGATTACAGGTGGGTGGCAACATGCCCAGCTCATTTTTTTCTATTTTTAATAGAGATGGGGTTTCACCATGTTGGCCAGGCTGGTCTCTACCTCCTGACCTCATGATCCACACACCTTGGCCTCCCGAAGTGCTGGGATTACAGGCTTGAGCCACCGTGCCTGGCCTAGGCTCTTTGTTTTTCTTACGAGTTCTCTTTTTCAAAGCATAATTCATTGGGGAGATTTGATTTCTGAGGGACACAAAATCCAACTCTAGATTTCTTTTACTGGTTTTATGTTAAAGTACTTGAGAAAAAAAAGGTATTAACGAATGACTTAATTTCTCTCTAAACATTTTTCTTGATAGGTGGCTATGGAGGCTTCTACAATAGTGATGGATATGGAGGAAATTATAACTCCCAGGGGGTTGACTGGTGGGGCAACTGAATCTGCTTTGCAGCAAAGTCACCCTTACAAAGAAGCTAATATGGAAACCACATGTAACTTAGCCAGACTATATTGTGTAGCTTCAAGAACTTGCAGTACATTACCAGCTGTGATTCTCCTGATAATTCAAGGGAGCTCAAAGTCACAAGAAGAAAAATGAAAGGAAAAAACAGCAGCCCTATTCAGAAATTGGTTTGAAGATGTAATTGCTCTAGTTTGGATTAAACTCTTCCCCTCCTGCTTTAGTGCCACCCCAAACTGCATTTATAATTTTGTGACTGAGGATCGTTTGTTTGTTAACGTACTGTGACTTTAACTTTAGACAACTTACTACTTTGATGTCCTGTTGGCTCAGTAATGCTCACGATACCAATTGTTTTGACAAAATAAATTTACTAAACTTGGCCTAAAATCAAACCTTGGCACAGAGGTATGATACAACTTTAACAGGAGTCATCAATTCATCCATAAATATAAAAAGGGAAAAAAACTTAAGGCAGTAGTCTGCATTAGGACTGTTTGAGTTTTGCAGACTTGGGGTTGGGAGAACATCTTAAAGCATTAAAGCATAGTTTTTTGTATGGCCAACCTTACTAAATTAAGTTCTGACTTGCTCACTCTATCCTGGATAGGCACTTGGGAACTTACACTCTTTAAGCCATTCCAGTCATGATGAGGTGGAATGTATCAGTATACCAATTAATATTTTTGAAAGAGCTCTTTTAGGTTAATTTAAGTACAGCAATTTCTCATGTAATGTTTAGGGAGTTTATTCTAACCTAGGCAAACGGCATGCTATCACAAGAAAGGTTTAAAGCTTTGATAAAATGGGGGAGATTTAATCAGTTTTTTTAATGCCTGCTATAAAAATTTGAAATATTAGAATGGCCGACCATGGCAGTGACCAGGCCTCACTACAGGCCTGGTTGGATTCTGGTCTTTAATGCATGCTAGTGTTGATGTTTTTTGGTCAAGAACGGTTTAAACAGGAAGGATTGTGCAGCAGGCTTTAATTTAATGTAGATTCATACTGCTCTGTTAAAGCTGCATTGAAATGTTAAAATGGCTTACACTTGCAGACTTTGCAAATCTTAAGACTAACAAATCCTTGAAATCACACAGCTTGCAAATACGTACTAAACTGCACAAGGTGTGTGTTCTATATGTGCAGTTTTAGCGTATTTTAGTTGCATAGGTTTCCATGGTATTTATAGTCTCTTGTGCTAAATTTGGCCAAAGATGATTGTCCACCACTAAAAATGCCTCTCCCACTTGGAATTCTGTACTGATTTTGTGGCCAGATGCAATGATCTTTAAAAACAAATCTTTTCAATGGCATAAGAAGTTGACAAAAATTTCTTAAAGTGCAATAGATTTTCAAGTGTATTGTGCCTTGTTCTAAAACTTTTAAGTAGGTGCACTTGACAGTATTGAGGTCATTTGTTAAGGTGCTATTTCAATTAGTGTAGGTTTAGACTCTTGTACATTTCTCCCATAACTTTTTACAAAGTATTTTGTTGCACATTCAGAGAATTTTATATATATATGTCTTGTGTGGGTGTCCTCGACCTTCCAATCTTATTTCGTCTCTTGGAGATTGTTGAATGCAGCCAGTGAAGAAGTAGATTCCTAAATTTTATTGGGGACCATGGAATGGTAGTTGAGAAGAAAACTATTTGCACACAACAGATTTTAGATACTTTTTGCTGCTAGTTGTGTAATATTTATTGAACATTTTGACAAATATTTATTTTTGTAAGCCTAAAAATGATTCTTTGAAAGTTTAAAGAAACTTGACCAAAAGACAGTACAAAAAACACTGGCACTTGAATGTTGAATGTCACCGTATGTGAAATAATATATTTTGGGGTAGTGTGAGCTTTTAATGTTAAGTCTGTTAAACTTGAGTCAAATTAAGCAGACCCGGCATTGGCAATGTAGCTGTAATTTTCTGACAAAATTTAAGACAAAATTGTCAACTTGAAACTAAAACATGCCAAGGTTTTGATATACTTGTCTTAAGATATTAATGAAACACTTCTGAACACTGATAGGAAGTGTCCACATCCACAAAGTTTCTCTTGAGTTTTGTTATGTGTTTTGTTGTGTTTGATTTTCAGTGATTGTCTGGTATATTTACAGTCCTCAAACATGGTTATTTCTGTCAGTGACTTAACATTCGGTTTTATCAGCCAGCAGTATTCTTCAGTAAATAAAGAATGGAATTGCTGAATGTAATCATTGAACCTCGAGTCACTGTAAAAGTTCAGTAATTGCTTATTGTATTAGTTTTAGATGCTGGCACTGCATGTGCTCTGTTTATTCTGATTTTACTAAAATAAAAAGTTCAAAAGTCTTCCTGCTGTCACTTGTAGCTTAATGTTGAGTTGAAGATGAACTTGTGCTCTTAACCTGAAGATTGGAAATCTGATTTCTTGGCTACCTACCAAAGCTGTTTGTGAAATACCGTCCTGAGGCTAGAAGTACTTCTTTGCCTTAATGACGAAGGTGGTAGAAGGTTGGAGTTGTGAGGCAGGATTTGTGTTCTGACTGATGTGAATCTAAAAGGTCTATACATGCAGCATATATTGCATTTTGGTCTAAGCAACTTAATATGAGTGTGATTGCTATTTTAAGCATTTTTGATGTGAAAGATGGCTGAACTAAATGAATTGGGTAAAAAGTCAGTTGCCTAACAAATTACTTTTTGATTGTAAGTAGTTACTTAAGGTCAAGAATTAATTGGAGTAGGTTAATGATAGCTGAGAATCGCATAAGCACGTTTTGTCCAACTTCTTTTTTCTGGTGGCTGACAATCCCTTTAACACATTGCAGCAGTTAGTGCCGCTTAACAAACACGATAGGCAAACTGGTCTAACGTGTTAATGTTTGAAATAGTTTTTTTTAAGGAAATCAAGAACCTCAGTGTCCCTTTGTGTCCCCTTTTGGCAACCAACCTCAAACTGCAAAGGATAAGCACTGTTCTTTTAACAGCACACATAAGCTTTAGTCTAATAAACTTGGTGAAAATGAACAGTTTTTTTTAACTCATTTTTTGCACTAAGTGTTAACGTTCGTGAGATGGAATTACAATGTTCCTTAGATTTTTAACATTCTGATAGCTGTGTGGAATTCTGTTGTGTAAATAGCACCTAATTTCTAGTTTGTAGCAGCAACAAACTATTTTAATATGATTATGGTAAACGCCAATGCTCCTTCATGTCTTACCTGTTTTCAGTAGGTACTACTGGTTTTCAGAAGTATTTATGCCGTTTTGCACTTGGTCTCACAGTTTATTTGTGGTTGCTCTATATTCTCAACATTACTTGGTTTCTTACACACCTTATATATGTAAGTAGGTGTGTTATTTTAATTTGTATTTATCATCCTGATGACGATTGATACGACACGAGCTGTGTTGAGGTTCACGCAGTTAAAAAGAATTTGTCCTTATCAATTACAGGCACACTTAGTAAATGATCTGATTTTTGGGTACTGCTATCTCCCGATAAAAGATACAATGTAGGTAAAATTGGATTTGCAATTAAGTTGTTCAGATTGGTTGATGGTAATACAGTTTAGTTAACAATTTACTATTGATGTTTGAAGATTAGTAAATAAATATTTGTAGAACACATACTATGTGGAAATTCTGCAGTGAACTAGCCAAATAGTGACCAAATTAAGGTAACTTTTTCTAGCAATGGAAATGGTCTCCCATTTCCTTCCCTCCTGCTCAGGTGATTTTTAGGTGTGATTTTCCACTGAATCATTGTATTTGTCTTCTCCAGGACTGAGGGCTCAGAAATTGAATGTGCGTGTGTTTGCGCACAAGTATGTGTATTTGTCTTTTGAAGACCACAGTGGTCTAATGTCCATTTTTAGGAGTATGAGTTCTTTAGATTCAGAGAATAATTGATCAGTCAGGATCTGAGTTCCAGCAAGAAGTATAGCTGGAATGATCTCATTCCTATTGGACAAATGAAGTGGATGCATCTCTACAGCAGTCACGAGAAAAGTTAGACAAGCCTGTCCTGCAAGAAAATGTGAACTTGAAATGGTACTGATGTGTGCTATGTAGCAGTTCTCTGTATGAAAAATGAGCTTTTAGAACTTTGAAGACAATAACAGTATGTTTACAAAAAATGAACATATTCACAATGATGCTGTTATTTAATAGTTGCAAGGGGAGATGAATAGATTTCTATAATGAGATACTATGTATTTGAAACAGTAAAAGTTCCTGTATCCCCCTCACAAAGGGTGTGTGACTGGGGAGTGGCTCAATCCTTAAGTGTCCCACAGCTCCAAACCTTAGGGGGAGCATGCAGACAGGCAGGTCTTGGCGAGTGTGGGATGTGACCTGTTGTGTACAGCTCTTGAAGCCCAGTGGGCATGTCGTACAGTGTGTTCTCCAGGTTTTGCCATCTGCAGGCAGGTTGTGCTAATCAGCTCAGTTAGACCCTCTGCCTTATTGCAAGGATAGAGGACTTTCTGTGTCCTGGATTCTTGTCTTAGTGGACCAGAAAAATCAGATCACATGTGGGCTTGGAGAGTGAATGCAAGGTTTTATTGAGTGGTGGAGGTAGCTCTCAGTAGATGGATAGGGAGCCAGAAAGGGGATGGAGTGGGAAGGTGGTCTCCCCTGGAGTCAGGCTGCTCAGTGCCTGGGCTGTCTCCTTTGACCCCCCTCTATGGAATTTCCCTCAGCATGCATGTCATTCCACTGTCAGTGGCCTGTTGCCGTCTGTGTATTCTGCCAGTGTGTTCCTCTTGATGTCCAGATGTTTGTGTGTGTGCCTAGTATGGTCTTGGGGTTTTTATAGGCACAGGATGGGGGGCATGGGAGGCCAGGATGGTCTTGGAAAAATGCAACATTTGGGTGTGAAAACAGGAGTGCGTGTCCTCACCTAGGGCCGTGGGCATGAGGTTGGAGCCCTCTCAAGGACCCTGCCCGTCTCTACCCAGCACTTCTGCCCTCTTCTTGTATCATTTTTCCCCTCTGAAGAGGTACATGTAACTGCCATAAAAATATGGAGACAACCAGTCTTAGCTGCTTCCTGCTGATGGGGCGTTGTTTTTGGGAAAACAGATTCCTCCCAGACAGAGGTCTATCTAAGGGCTCACATTGAGGCTCTGGTTGCCTTTCTGGAGTTTGATGACCTCTATATGTGAGAGGAAAAAAAAAACTTTATAAGGTTAAGTATGCATGCGTTAAATGTGTATTATACAAGGAAAAATTTAGTGCTAAAGATTACAGAGATAAGAAATGAAATATACTAACAACAACATTGTATCCTTAGCTGTTTTACCCTGGTGAAAGAAATTAAATCTTGTATAGGGTCAGTTAAACTTTAGAAGAGAGGTAGCTATTGTAGCCATATCTTTAGCAATTAACAAGTGTGCCCTGCCTGGAAATTCTGGTGTTTGTAGTCTTGTGTGGTGGTCATTAAAGCTTCTGCCTCTCTTGTGCCTCCCTTTTTCTATTGTAAAAGACTGAGGTGGTCACTTTCAGGAGGTCCTGTAATATACTACCTGGCCCCAGGAACTGTTTCTCCAACTTCCTCCTAATATCAGGGGCTGCCTGAGTTATAAATTTATCCTTTAGGATTAGCTGTCCCTTGATTGAGTCAGGAGATAGAGAGGTGTACTTTACTAGGGCCTCTCTCAGCCTTTCAAAGAAGGCAGCGGGATTTTCATCGAATCCCTGGTTAGTCATGGACAGCTTAGCATAATTGAGAGGCTTGGTCTTCATCCTATGTAAGCCTTCCATTATGCACACCAGAAAGTATCTCCTCTTCCAGCCTGCCATCTCATGACTGGGATCCTATTTAGGGTCATTCACTGATACTGCTTTTCTTCCAGTTGGATAATATTTGCTCCCTTCCCTGACACTATATGTGATGCAAAGCTCATCCCCAAATCTGTCTGCTGCTTGCAGAGTGGCCTGCTTCTCAGTGTGCATCAGGATCTGATTCCAAAGTAACATAACATCTTTCCAGGAGAGTTCAAATATTTGGGTGAAATTCTGGAAATTTGCTTTAAGTTTTATAGGGAGAAGGGGACCTGGACTTGGGCCAAATTCACTGGACATCTGTTGGAGGGGCAAGAGTGATAACTGGGGCTTGTTTAGGGGAGGGATTTCTAGGAGAGGACAAGTGAGAGGCTGAAGCTCGATAGGGAGGTTGGTGTGGACCCAGAGGAGCAGAGCTGGAGGGAGCTGGCTCCTCTGCTGGGGGTGCTTCTGGGACTCAGATCTTTTAATTCCCCTGGGCTTGCCCCTTCCAGCCTTCCCTGAGATGGCAATCAATCCTACACTGTTGGCAAAGTTCTGGATTGCCTTGCAAGGTATAGAAAGCCTGCATATGTGGGACGCAGACCATATGTCTTCACGTCTATGAAAAAGTTCCAAATGTCAGATGGTATAAGGGTGAGTGGTTCCTTCTTGGGGTGAACCCAGTTTATAATTTGTCCAAACCTTTGTGCAAAGGGATATGAGGCATTTTTGCTCCAGATTCTGAGGGTCAAAATGGTCTCAATGGTTCAGGACACACTGCAGAGGAGTAGAAGGTGGGGTTGGTGAAAAGAGCTGGTTACCCATTCTGAAAGACAGGAAATTTATCATTTTCTTTCATCAGTTTTGCTGAAGCAAAAACTCAGGGTTTGATGGAGAAAGAAAGCTAGTGCCCTCCCTTTTCTTCCACCTCTTATCCCTGAGTCTCAGGGACCGTGGCAGGTGCTGGCCACAGATACCAATGTGGTGTGTTCCCATGAAGCAGGGAAAATCTGGAGAATAGGAATTAACCACCCTCACCTCTGCCTCCTTTTCTCCCTGCTGTTGGCAAACTTTGAGTTCCCTAGGCCTGTTTATGCCATGGAGTATGGTCTTCTTCCATGGGTTGAGGGTTTAGTCTACAGGAACTGATGCTACCCATTTACATTGTGCCTGTGGCCTGGCTTTGGATCCCTCCAGCCTGGTCTTTCTAAGGTCTCAGCCTGAAGCTTGGAATCAGGATTGGGACTGAAAAGATATTTCAGAGACTCTTTCTATTTAGATAGTGTCTCAAATGAGTGCTGCTGAATTTGGTTATCAGCCAGCAAGGGATTTCCTTTGTTAACTTCCCTATCAGAAATAATGTTGGGAAGAGGGAGTCCTCTCACTTAGAAAAGGAAAAAAATAGAAAAAACAGTTTAAGGGTCAAAAGGGGAATGTCCTGGGGAAAGAACTCCTTGCTCAGTGTAAGAGGTTCCTTTTAATCCTTGTATCCTTTCCCGGGTTCAGACTGTGTTGAATTCCTTGGCCAGGGGAAGAAAGGTTCTGTTGGCATGACAGGCCATAAGTGCCCACCTGCCAGCTCTGTGAGGTCCCGGCTACCACCGTGGTTTTCTCTTACCTTCGTCAGCTGGTGGCTGTTAAGTACAGCCTTTGCATGCTGTGAACATGTCCAGGTGCCCAAGCTGGAAGGAGAAAGGGTAAGGGGAGTTTCCCTGAGCTGTGTGCGTCTGCACGTGTCAGGGTGGAGGCAGAGATGGCACCTCTAAGAACAATTTGTCTGATTTGCGTTTTTGGCAGCTGAGCATTGCCACAGCCTGTAGCAAAATTCTTTAACATTATAAAGGAAGAGATAATAGCCATTTCAAACCATGACAGAGAGAAAAGAGACAAAGTCGGGGTTTTGACCAGCCCGGTTAGGGAAATTAAATCTTCTTGAAAGGAAACAGATCCTTTTATCTGCAGGAAAGAGAGAGAGGTGGCAGGATTTTGGGAAAGAGGCAGATCTGACAGTTTCACATTTGCTCTTACCTTCTGGGATCCCAGATGACCCCCAGTTGAAACAGGAAAAGTTCCCTTATCCCCCTGGCAGGGTGTCAGACTCTGGGAGTGGTCCTCCTCTTCAGTGTCCCGCAGCTCAAACCCATAGGGGGAGCATGCAGATGGGCAGATTGTGGGCAGTGTGGGGTCCAACTCCATGGCAGTGTGTAGGACTCAGTGTTTACAGCTCCCGAAGCTCCAGTGGGCATGTGTTGCGGTGTGCTCTTTCAGCTTTACCGTATGCAGGCAGCTTGTGTTAATCAGCTCAGTTAGACTCTCTGCCTTATCGCAAGGGCAGAGAGCTTTCTATATCATGGGGTTCTTTCCCTAGCCCACAGGAAAAATCAGATCACACATGTGCTTGTAGAATGAGTGCAAGGTTTTATTGAGTGGTGGTAGTAGCTCTCAGTAGTTGGGTGGGGAGCCAGAAGGGCGATGGAGTGGGAAGGTGGTCTTTCCCTAGAGTCGGGCCACTCATTGGCCAGGCTCTCCTTAGCTGAATTTCCCTCAGTGTCTGTATGGTTCCACTGTTGATGGCCTGTTGATGTCTGTGTGTTTGTCTGCCGGTGTGTTCTTCTTGACATCCCCACTATGGTCTCAGGGTTTTTATAGGCACAATATGGGGGGTATGGTGGGCCAAGGTGGTCTTGGAAATGCAACATTTGAGTGTGAAAACAGTCCCAGTCCTCACCTAGGTTCGTGGGCACAGGCCTGAGGGTGGAGCCCTCACCAGGGACCCCACCTTTCTCTACCCAGCACTTCCTTGCCACCCCTCCCATATCATGTTCATGAGAATTGATATGTGGTTAGTCTCAAACTGATGCGCTGAGGAAGTTAGACACAAAATGGTACATACTGTCTGATTCCATGTATAGAAAGTTTAAATGGCAAAACTATGGTTATAGAAGCCTTGAAGGGATATTAACAGAGAGGGCTTTTATGGTATCGATAACTGATGTTCTTTTTGTAGGTATAGTTCAGAGATACATGTTCACCTTTTATTCATTGACCTGTACATTTACTATGCATGCATTTTTCTCTTCACCAGATGTATTTTGTAGATGATTTTTTCCCCAAAAGTAATATTTTATAAAACCTTACATAAACAGCTCCATGAATTTTGGCAAATACACTGTTGTTATAAACTCACGCTTAGATCAATATACAGAATATTTCTAGCATTCCTAAGAACTTTGTATTTCATCTTAAACTTAGGAGATTAGTGCTATTAGTGGCTCCATGTCACCATTGAGGAACATTGGCAGAGCAGGTTAAGAACCTGTCTGTTGGTACTACCAGCTCTTCTCTGGATAATTTTTGCATGCCCATGGTGTCAGAGATGGCAAAGAGGACAGTGATAGTCTCTGCCTTTCTTCCTGAGGTTAAATTGTCAACCAATATGTTGTCCTGGAAAATAATATTCTCTTTCCACGTGACTAGGCCAGGAGCAATCTGGGTAGGGGAGCAATCTGGGTAGGGGAGCATCAGGCACTCTTCTGATCCATTTCCCAATCATTGTCATCCTTGATGATGCTATGGGGTCTTAAGAATTGTCAATGCCAGGTGCAGGGGTGCTAATACCAGGCTAGAAACTGCTCCCAGGGAGGATGTGATCATCATCTGTCAAGCTGGATTGTCAGTTTTTGTTTTTTACTGGCAAACCAAAGAAGTGAGGCTGAAGCCCTACGAAGTTCATTGTAGGTACATTTAAGCTCTGACGCTTTTATTGGACCTAGATAAAGTTTAGGTGTTGACTGGGGCAAATACTTCCTACATCATGGGGTTTCATGTGGATTCTCTAATTCAAATTAATTTCTCAGTGGCCTCATGTAGTGCCAGCTTTGTCTTAGAATGACCCAATGCTTTCATCTCAGAACATTTTGTTGACTATTACAAGAGATTTCTAGCTTCCCTTAGGAATTAAGAGCCCTCACCTAGACTGAAGCTCTCTAGTTATACTTTGACTAGCAGAAAGTGACATGAGAGGTCAGAGAAGTTATGTTTCTATTTCTGAAAAGCATAGGATTAGAAATTAAAATAGGTTAATTAATGACATCTGGCAAAGAAAGTGATGAGAGATGCTTATCAAAATGTAGCCAAGCTTTGAGGCAGCCTATGAGAAATTCATTTATTTTTTTGGCCACATCTCAGGGCAAAGAAAGCTCCAGGATGTAAGAAGGAAAGAAAGCGTGCAGTAGTTGAGAATTATGAAATTACTCATATTGGCCCTATCTCAACTGTCTTATGGGATTTGGCAACAAGTACAAGGAAAAGGAAAAGTTTTCTTTGCCCTGACTCACTTCATAAGGAAGGTGGCGCACCAGGGAAGGGAATACACGGCCAGACTTTAAAAGGTTTATAGGTTGATGACACAGGGATGTGAAGGGAGTAAAATATTTTACCCAGCCCCTGATCAAGATGGAGTCACTCTGGTTTGAGTGCCTCTCACAGCAGGAGGATAGTTAAAATCATGACATAGTTTCTCAATGAATATGAAATGATTGTTCTCCTGTATCAAGGATAAAGCAAGAGAGCAGAAGCCACTCTGGAAGTGACCCAAACTGTGCTATTTCAGATTATTTTGTTGTCCTTCCAGCTGTTATTCATTCCCTGGTCTTCTGTTAGTTAAAGGATCACCAACAAATTCTAAAATCTAAAAGATTATTGGGTGGTAAAACTAGATGTATCTATAATAAAATGAAGAACTCAACTATGTTTAATTATTGAACACATGAGTAAGTATATATATTGTAAAACTACTCAAACTGTCCTGCTAGCTTAATTTTAAGTTTGCATTGTTTGATAGGTGAATTATTTGGAATAATTCAGTTGACAGCTAATGCCTAAACTGATTTGGGTTAAAATACAGAAAATCTGAGTTGAGTTCAGTAGCTCATGCCTGCCTGTCCTAGTTACTTGGGAGGCTGAAGCAGGAAGATTGCTTAAGCCCAAGGGTTTGAAGCTGCAGTGAAAAAATAAACTAAAAATATACAAGTCTTTGCTTAATTAAAACATTACTATCAGATAATACATTCCAAAATTGTAAAATCTGGAAAGGCACCGTAGCTCATGCCTGTAATCCCAGCACTTTGGGAGGCTGAGGCGGGTGGATCACCTGAGGTCAGGACTTTGAGTCTAGCCTGGCCAACATGGTGAAACCCCGACTCTACTAAAAATACAAAAGTTAGCTGGGCATGGCGGTACGGCCTGAAATCCCAGCTACTTGGGAGGCTGAGGCAGGAGAATCACTTGAACCCAGGAAGCGGAGGCAGGAGAATCGCTTGAACCCAGGAGGTGGAGGTTGCAGTGGGCTGATATTGTGCCATTGCCCTCCAGCCTGGGTGACAGAGGGAGAGTTTGATTCAAAAAAAAAACTAAAATCTTACAAAAATGAAATTGAGACAAAATTACAAATATATTTCACTATATAATTATTAGTAGTAAAAGTCAGTTATTAAAAAGATTTCCCCCAGTTTAAGAGATGTGTATGGGTTTATAGCTTAGTTATAGAACATTTTATTTCCAATGAGTATGCCGTAGATAAAACGCACTTTGATAAAAGACTATACATTTTGTTTATAGAACAAGGATAGAAAGTATTTTTTTAAAAAAGACTACAGATTTTTTTCTTTGGTACAGGCACAGTGCTCTGACATGCATTACTCAAGACTCAACTTCATATCTTTAAAAGATTTTCAGAGTATTGAGAAGATACTATATTATATCTGGAAGTTACATGAAAGAATGTAAATAAAAAAAGTTTTTCAGAAGTTATAACTTTATCACTGTTTGAAATAAATTAAGAAAAACCTTTTAATCAGTAAAATCAGACTAAAAAATGCAGTGTTCTCAGTTCAAGACAACTTTCTTATTGTTAATAAAAGAATTTATTAATAAAATGGATTATAGAAAGCAGCAGCTATTTTGTGCAGCTGTTGGAGCCTTGACAATAAAAAGCTATGATTTCCAACTATCTCTAATCATTCCAAATAATTAAATAGTTATACACTTAAATATATATTTAATTAAAGTTTAGGAGAACTAGTTTTAAAATATATGGTCTCCTTAAATTACTTTTTTTTCCTTCTTTTTTTTGAGCATGACAATAATTGTAAATTTAGGCAACACTATAACTAGTCTCTAGTTAGACCTGCTGAAACAGGACAGATGATGAGGTAAGAGATGATTTCTAGTTATACTAAAATTCTTTAGATATCTAGGCTCTAGGGGATTGGGACCCATGGAGGGTCTGTGCATATGAACTCAACAGCTTCTCCCAGATGTCTAATCATTTTCATCAATTTTATTGTTGAAAATTATTAGATCAAAGTAGTATGCATATATTCCCTCTAAGATCTCAGACTCCCTTTGCAGGTGCTGAAGAGGTTCATTCCACATGATGAGGGATTGAAGGTGAAGTGAGCATAGGGGAAAGAAAAAGCATGCGGAAGTCAGTTGAATTTATTACATTTCTGTGTTTGTTTTTGCACCGTTGCCAGAATTAGCCAAAGTCAAACCTCAATGTATTACATATAAGTATGAAACAAAATCTGTTTCATGACAAAGGAGACATTTTTCCCTATGATGGCAAATTTGTACAACAAACACTGGCCATAGAAACTGCTCAATGTGCATTACTGGTTATCTCCAGGATATGGGAAGTATAGTATGGAGGAAGGGGACAAAGCAGAAAAAGAATGTACATTCTTCAGCAAACACATTTCAAACCCCCAGGCCTATCTGTGTTTATCCCAGAACTAATCAGGATAAGTCCATGAGAGGTACCGGTTACCAGTGGCTTTTATAACCCAAGCTATTCATTGGTATTTCTATAGTCAGGCTAACAAGAAGACCTAGAAGCTACTTTAACTTCATTCTCCTAACAGAGGTCTTTCATGACTCATTGCTTGATACCTTATATTCAAAACGTTCTTTGGAAACAAATTCTGGAGCTCAGTTTTACTTGTACCAATACATATCTGACTTTGGCATTACAAATTAGTTTTTTCTCGTTTTCTATTTAAAGATTCAACATGTTTTATACATTCAGTTATATACAGTGAACCTCAAGCAGGGAATGCATTTTGGAAGTTTAAAAAGCTATTTTGCTCATTCTGAAGTATAGAAATAGAGATAGAGATATATAGGTACAATGATTTAATTAAATACATACTTATTTGGTCAGTATTTGCTCCTTGACTAGAATGTGAACTTGCTTTATTACTATAGTCCATCAATTGGTATAGTACCTTGTATATAGGAAATGCTTGAAAAACATTTGAGTTGTTATTTGGCTTACTGATACTGATCATTGTAAGATTTGATGAACAAGTAAATCTACAGTGAATAAATAGAACAGTGGGGAAAAAAAATGATGTCTCTGGTTGACAGAGACAGATTTTGGGGGAAAAATTAAAAGATTTGATGCCTTCAGATACTTAGCAGCAGTACTTCTTAACACTGTCTTAGGATTCTTACACTTCCTTGAGGCCTTTTATTTATAAGAGACTCTAATGAGCCTGATATGATGACACTGACGCCACTAAACCTAGAATCTAGACACAGCCATATAGAAAGGAGATCAGAAGTATGACAATGAGGACTGAGAGACTGAGTTAATTCTACTTAGCATCTCTCCAGTGGAGATGGGCAGACATCAGAACAGTTTAGAACTTAATCTGTTTATCTTGACAAGCTAAGGAGAGAAATTTCTTACCAGTTTTAATATCTCTACAGGAATTTCAAACTAGGATATAACATTCTTTTAATGTCAGGTATTAACTACTAATGTTTAGGTAGTTTATTGTAAATTTACAATGTCAGGCATTAACTATTAAAGTTTAGATAGTTTATTATCAATTTATAATAATCACCTCACAGCATATGGACATACCTTTTGCTATTACTTAAAAGCATAGCATTTTCACTGTGGTTTACAATAAAGACAATATTAAAAATCTCTATTTTAGGAAACATGTTCACCCAAAGATAGGAGTGCTTTCTTCCAGTGAAAGAATATAAAACTTGTTTTCCTAAAATGTAGATCTACATAAATTTGTCAGATAGTCAACCTCTGGCTACGTATGTGTGCTTAACTTTCATGTGAGCATGGTTTACTAATGAAAGTTAATAACAACAAAATACTTTTCTTTTTTTAAAACTTTATTGTAAATTCAGGGATATATGTGCAGGTTTGCTACATAGGTAATTGTGTGTCATGGGGGTTTGTGGTACAGATTATTTCATCGCCCAGGTATTAAGCTCAGTACCCATTAGTTATTTTTCCTGATCCTCTTTCTCCTCACATCCTCCACCTTCTGAAAGGCCCCAGTGTGTGTTGTTCCCCTGTATGTGTCCATGTGTTCTCATCATTCAGCTCCCACTTATAAGTGAGAATGTGGTATTTGGTTTTCTATTCTTGCGTTAGTTTGCTAAGGATAATAGCCTACACCTCCATCCATGTCCCTGCAAAAGCCATGATCTTGTTCTTTTTTATGGCTACATAATAGCACTTTACAGTGTATATGTACCACATTTCCTTTATCCAGTTGTCATCGATGAGCATTTAGGTTGATTCCATGTTTTTGCTATGGTGACTAGTGTTGCAATGAACATAACACATGGATGTGTCTTTGTGATACAATGATTTCTATTCCTTTGGATAAATACCTACTAATAGGCTTGCTGGGTTGAATGGTATTTCTGTCTTTTTTTGAGATGGAGTCTCACTCTGTTGCCAGGCTGGAGTGCAGTGGTGCTATCTCTGCTCACTGCAAACTCTGCCTCCCGCGTTCAAGTGATTCTCCTGCCTCAGCCTCCCCAGTAGCTGGGACTATAGGCGTGCACCACTACATCCGGCTAATTTTTGTATTTTCAGTAGAGACGGGGGTTTCACCATGTTGGCCAGGATGGTCTCAATCTCTTGACCTCCTGATCTGCCCACTTCGGCCTCCCAAAGTGCTGGGATTACAGGTGTGAGCCACCGTGCCTGGCCAGTTGAATGGTATTTCTGTCTTTAGACCTTTGAAGAATTGCCACACTGTTTTCCACAATGTATTGAACTAATGTATACTCCCACCAACAGTGTATAAGCATTCTTTTTTTTCTCTACAACTTCATCAACATCTATTATTTTTTGACTTTTTAATAGTAGCCATTCTGATTGGTGTAAGATGGTATCTCATTGTGGTTTTGATTTGCATTTCTCTAATAAGTAGTGATGTTGAGCTTTTTTTCATATGCTTGTTGGCTACATACAGGTCTTTTTTTGAAATGTGTCCATTCATATCTTTCACCCACTTTTTAATGTAGTCGTTTGTTTTTTTTCTTTGTAAATGTGTTTAAATTCCCTGTAGATGCTAGATATTAGACCTTTGTCAGATGCATAGTTTGCAAATTTTTTTCCCATTCTGTAGGTTTTGTGTTTACTCTGTTGATAGTCTTTTTTGCTGTGCAGAAGCTGTTTTGATTAATTGCATTCCATTTGTCAATTTTTGCTTTTGTTGCAATTGCTTTTGGCATCTTTGTCATGAAATCTGTGCCTGTGCCTATGTCCTCAATGGTATTGCCTTGGTTGTTTTTCAGACATTTTATAGTTTTGGGTTTTACACTTAAGTTGTTAATCTACCCTGAGTTGATTTTTTGTATATGGTGAAAGGAAGGGATCTAGTTTCAATCTTGGACATATGGCTAGCTAGTTATCGCAGCACATTTATTACATAGGGAACTCTTTTCCCATTGCTTGTTTTTGTCAGGTTTTTAAAGATCAGATACTTGTAGATGTGCAGCCTTATCTCTAGGTTCTCTCTTGTGTTCCATTGGTCTAAAATTATTTTATTCTAATAGCAAAAGCAAATACAAATGAAACAAAACCAATCTACTAAATATAAATATATTAAAACTACTAAAATATATAAGAATATATTTAATCAAATTAGTTTTTTTTCTCATTCTCTATAACTGATATTCAGCGGCAATTTCAACACCATTTTGGCAGCTTGGGAAATTAATAAAAGGAAAAGTAAGTGCCATAGAAGAAAATAATATAATTAAAGATAAATACTTGGTAATAAAAGGACAAAATGAAACCACAGTATGGACTGTTAAACATGTTTGTTACCGAATACAGTGGTAGAATTTTACCAAGGAACACAACTTTTCCAAATAAAATGGCGAAATAGGGAACAAAAATATGAATTATACTGGTGAATTTAAACATTTAATCTTCTGTGAAAGTGCAAAAAATGAATATTTGCAAACCTCGATTTTCCTGAATTGTTAAAGGATTGTAAAAGGACAAGATTATGTATTCCTTGGCTAAGTTTATGCCAATTTTTTTTGTCTACCAAACAGAACCAAGAGTACTCTGAGAGTCTATGCCATCTCCAAAGATAGTACTTTTTATAACAATTTTGTTTAGCAGTCTTCTCCTTCGATTAAACTTATGCTTACCAGGCACAATAATACCCTTCTTTTATCTACTAGCAATAGAAGGCCTTCTAAGCAGACCTGTTACAAGACAGCACAGCCAAGTATTGCAGATGCCATATCTGTGGCAGCTGCTATTTGAATTCTTTCCCCTCTAACAACCCAATTCATTTTTAAGTTTGGTAATCAACAGGGGTCTTGATATGAATATCACATATGCTTACTTCAGGAGCTGCCTAGAGGAACCTAGGTAGCTACGTCAAGGTACTGAATCTGTTTTAGCTTTCTTCCGGTAAAGCAGCTCTTGACACAGAGTTCTTTCCTTTCCTATCTCTTCCCATATTCCTCCCTCACCCACTTCCATCTCCACTTCAAAGTTGGGCCTGGGTTGCTGTTTTCTTGGTATATGTCTACTAGGACAATAAATGGGCTGAAAACATTGTGGGACTCAAAATTCTCAGGAGACTTTGTGGCCTGGAAGAATATTTTTATGTTCTCCACATTTTAGAGCTATACTTATGAATAAAATCATGAGTGACTATTCTATAAATCATTCTTTATACCACAATAGACTTCTGTTGTAAATGTACACTAACATATGGTTTAGACTCTGCATAAGACTAATGTGTTTATTTGTCTGAGGATTCTGAACCATATTACTTATGTTGCTTAGTTTCTTATGTGAGAAAGAGCATCTCAGATTCTGGAACTGTTAATTCTCAGGATCAATAACAATGCACAGAGTGTTTGTCTTAATGAAAACAAACTTGTCTTGTGTGCACAGCAAGCATGAATCCTATGAACAGGATGTACTTACCTGGAGAAAAAGTACTATTACTCTTATTTAAGCTTATGGTAATAGTAGTTATAACAGCAAAAACAAAAAAAATAAGCAAACTCTTCGGTTCTCGGGACTTTTAATGCTTGTTTAAAAAAGGAAAGATCTTGCAGTAAGAATTTCCCAGTACAACTTAAAAATCAGTGTGTGGAATATTAACACCAAAACAAAAAAGGCCCTTGGTTTATATTTTGTGTCATTTAATGATTTCATTCATTAACTATTATTTTTTCCCTTCCTTTCCTTCCCTCCCTCCCTCCCTTCTTCCTTTCCTTTTCCTTCCTTCACTCCCTCCTTCCTTCCTCCTTCCCTCCCTCCTTCCCTTTCCTCCTTCCCTCCTTCCCTTTCCTCCCTCCCTCCTTCCCTTTCCTCCCTTCCTCCTTCCCTTCCCTCCCTCCCTTTCCTTCCTTCCTTCCTTCCTTCCTTCATCCTTCCTTTCTTTCTCTCTCTCTCTCGTTCTTTCTTTCTCTCTTTATTTCTTTTTCTCTCTCTCCCTTTCCTTCCTTCCCTCCCTCCCTCTTTCTCTCTTTTTCTTTCTTTCTCTCTTTCTGTCTCTTTTTTTCCTTTTTTCTTTCTTTCTTTCTTTCTCTCCTTCTTTCTTTCTTTCTATCTTTCTTTCTTTCTTTCCTTCATTCCTTCTTTCCTTCTTTCTGTGTGGATGAGCCAGTCTTGCTCTGTCATGAGGCTGGAGTGCAATGATGCAATCTTTGGCTCACTGCAACGTCCACCTCCTGGGTTCAAGCAATTCTCCTGCCTCAGCCTCCCGAGTAGCTGGGATTACAGGCACCTGCCACCATGCCTGGCTAATTTTTGTATTTTTAGTAGAGATGGGGTTTCACCATATTGGCTAGGCTGGTCTCTTGGCCAGGCTGGTCTCAAACTCATGACCTTGTGATCCACCCACCTTGGCCTCCCAAAGTGCTGGGATTACAGGCATGAGCCACTGCCCTGGCCCCTATACTTTTTTCTAAAAGATACACAATAGCCACCCAGAGAACAAAATATACAAAATAAACATTTATTTTAAATCTCTTCTGTCAATCTTTTTTTCCCCCTCAGGAAAGTTAATGCTGATTTGAATTGTTAACCATATATATAAACTTATTCATTTTAGCTTTGATGTTAGCTTATAGGAAATGAATTCTTAGGTAGACTTGGATTAGCAGGCTGGTCTCAGTACTGATTTAGATCCACTTCACCATATTTCAAATTGCCAACCAGGGGTGGAAAGTACTTGCTACTTACATAAATGTGAGGGCTGCATTCACACTTACGTAATGCATTTAAAGTTTCCCTAATGAAAGGCCCTTGTGAGGCTCACTGAGAAGGAAGCCTGGCAGTATGGGAGACATTGTCTGAGATTGGAATCAGGAGTCTGGGTTTTTTTTTTTTTTTTTTTAATCTCAAAACTGCTATTAAGAAGTGGTGGCTATGGTCAAGCACAGAACTTCAGCAGAGTAACAGCACGAAACTAGGGTTTTCAAGCTGAAAACCTCTGGGTCCTATTTCAGTTTTCTGCCAAGGCATTAAAAACCACTAACAAAATTACTAATTGGTATTGTTATACTAAAAAGCTGAAGTCAGATGTAGTAGAGTTAGAGTTGATTTTGGCAAGAGATACCTACTTCTGCTCTCTTTTACGTGGATATGAAATTCTTGTAGGTTACTAATCCCTTTTGAAGAATCAGAAATCTAATATACATGATTACATGATTCACATGACACTACCAGGTAATTGTTTTATATATGCCAGGATTTATATGTTATCATTTTTCAGGAATGTGGCATTTTTCAGGAACTAGGCCCAAAAGACCAGACAAAACCAGAATTCAGTCACTGATGCTAGGTAACACGGCTAGGTGCCACACAATCAACTTTGAATGGACCAATTTTCAAAAAAACAAGAGTGACAGTACTAATAGAAAGGGCCTGGCTTATCTGAACTAGCAAAATAAGGAAGTCCCATCTGTTTTAACACTATAAGAAAATAACTTTGAAATGATTAATTCACTTTTTGTTCCCTTTCTGCTTTCTTGAGCCACTTTTGGCCTAAAAAACCAATTTCCTGTTCTCAGCTTGTCTTCTTGTACACGGTCAGTACAGATGCAACTATCCATATACTCCCCTGCCCCTGAATAGAGTTGATCCTTGAGCAATGCAGGGATTAGGGGCACCAAACCCTATCTGCTCCAAAATCTGCAATTTTTTGTTTGTTTGTTTGTTTTTAAAGGCAGAGTCTTGCTTTGTTACCCAGGCTGCAGTGCACTGGTTCAAGTGATCTGGGTTGCAGCCCTGACTTCTCAAGTGATCCTCCTACTTCAGCCTGCCAAGTAGCTGGGATTACCATACCCAGCTAATTTTTGTATTTTTACTAGAGATGGGGTTTCTCCATGTTGGCCAGGCTGGTCTCCAACTCCTGAGTTTAGGTAATCTACCTGCCTCGGCCTCCCAAAGTGCTGGGATTCCAAATGTGAGCCACCACTCCAGCCCAAATCTGCATTTTAGATTCCAAAAATGTAACTACTAATAGCCAAATTTAATGAATTTTTAAAAATAAATTGCACTTTGGGAGGCTGAGGCAGGTGGATTACTGGAGGTCAGGAGATCAAGACCAGCCTGACCAACATGGTGAAACCCTGTCTCTACTAAAAACACAAAATTAGCTGGACATGGTGGCATGTGCCTGTAATCCCAGCTACTCGGGAGGCCGAAGCAGGAGAATTCCTTGAACCTGGGAGGCAGAGGTTGCAGTGAGCTGAGATTGCACCATTGCACTCCAGTCTGGGCAAAAAGAGCAAAACTCCATCTCAAAAAAAAAAAAAAAAAATTAATCAGTCAATCAAATGGCCGGCCGGGTGTGGTGACTCATGCCTATAATCCCAGCATCTTGGGAGGCCAAGGCAGGTGGATCACTTGAGGTCAGCAGTTCAAGATCAGCCTGGCCAACATAGTGAAACCTCATCTCTACTACAAATACAAAAATTAGCTGGGTATGGTGGCCTGCCCTTGTAATCCCAGCTACTAGGGAGGCTGAGGCAAGAGAATTGCTTGAACCTCGGAGGCGGAGGTTGCAGTAAGCCAAAATGGCAGCACTGCACTCCAGCCTGGGGGACAGGAGTGAGACTCTGCCTCAAAAAAATAGTAAATATAAATAAAAAACCAATCAACCAATGAAACAAGATAATTGCAGGAGTCTTATAAAGCCCAGCAGCTCTGAGGGGAGCAGAAATTGCCAACAGTCTTCCTGACATGCTTCAGAAAAGCATTTGAAGGCATTTCAAGTGGAGTCTATCTTCACATTTTCTCGTAGCCCAGTCTAAAAAAAATCAGACTTTAATTTCACGATAACTGTAGGTACACATGCAGTGGTGAGAAACAATAAAGATCCCGTGTATTATGTATTCAGTTTTCCCTGGTAGTAATATCTTGCAAAATTATAGAACATGTCAAAAGTAGGATAGTCACATTGATATAATTAAGATACCGAAAAATTTTATGACCACAAAGATCCCTTGAATTGCACTTTTAGGACAACATTCACTTTCCTCCCAATCCCCATTTTCATCCCAAACCTCTGACAGCTGCTAGTCTGTTCTTTATTTCTGTAATGTATCAATTCAAAAATATGTAAGTGAAATTGTATAGTGTGTAACTTTTGAGATGGCCATTTTTTTTCCTGACCAAATATAATTCTCTGGAAACCAATAGTTCATCTTCTTTCATCGCTGAGCTGTATTCCATGGATTATCACTGTTTGTTTAATGATTCACCTGTTGAAAAAAAAATCTCAGTTGCTTCCTCGAACATTTTCACTCATTAATGGGCAAAAAAACCCAAAAGGAGAGACAGAGTCTATTGTATTTTCCTGTTTTTCCTTTGTTTCTTCTTTCCTGATGTTTCAGAGTTCTTTATTGTTTTATTTTTAGAGCATTTCTACTAGCCATTCTTTTAGCATATGTCTTCTGGCAACGAAGTATTTTAATTTTCCTTTCTATGAAAATGGCTTGGTTTCCCCTTTATTTCTGGAAAAAAAACTTTTTTTGAGATGGAATTGTGCCCTATCACCCATGCTGGAGTGCAGTGGCATGATTTTGGCTCACTGCACCACCCCCATCTTGGGTTCAAGCCATCCTCCTGCCTCAGCTTTCCAAGTAGTTGGGATTACAGGTGTGTGCCATCACACCCAGCTAATTATTGTATTTTTAGTAGAGACAGGGTTTCACCATGTTGCTCAGGCTGTTCACAAACTCCTGACCTCAAGTGATCTGCCCACCTTGGCCTCCCAAAGTGCTGGGATTACTGGCATGAGCCATTATGCCCACCCTGAAAAATATTTTTTTAGTAAATACAGAATTCTGAGTAGACAGTTATTTTCTTTTATTGAGTCACTTCTTTGACCTCCATGGCTTGTAATAAGAAATCTACTTTCAAATTGTTTTCTGTGTAGCTAAGGTGTCATTTCTCTCATTTATTTATTTATTTATTTATTTTGAGACAGAGTTTTGCTCTTGCTGCCCAGGCTGGAGTGCGATGGCGTGATCTCCACTGACTGCAATCTCTGCCTCCTGGGTTCAAGTGATTCTCCTGCCTCAGTCTCTTGAGTAGCTTTGATTATAGGCAGTTGCCACCATGCTGGGTTAATTTTTGTATATTTTTTAGTAGAGACAGGGTTTCACCATGTTGGCCAAGCTGGTCTCGAACTCCTGACCCTTGTGATCTGCCTGCCTTGGTGTCCCAAAGTGCTGGGATTATAGGCATGAGCTACTGCACCCGCCTCTGTCACTTATTTTAATAAACTTTTTCTTTGAGTTTAACTTTCAGAAGTTTGGCAATTATGTATCTTGGTATGGATTTTATTGTTATTAGATTTATTATGTAATCAGAAGAGTGTGTGTGTATGTATATATACATATGTGCACATACACATATATACACATACATATATACACACACATACACACACACATATATACACACACATGCATATTTATCCTCTTTAGGTTTGTTCAGATTCTTGAATGTATAGATTCATATCTTTTGCAAAATTTATGAATCTTTCAGCCACTATTTATTTAAGTTCATTAAGAAATAATTCTTGCTGTCTTTCAGCTGTGTTTATAGGATGCAAGACACAAGTGTTAGGTCTTTTGTTTTGTTTTCAGGGGACCACAGCTCCTTAAATCTTTGTTCATTTTTTTTCAATATTCGAATTTTTATTAATGTATACATGCATACAGGAATATATGCACAAAACATTTGTGGAAAGCTTGCTGAATTATCACAAAGTAAATACACTTGTATAACCTAGAAATAAAATCAGACTTGCTCATGCCCCTGACAATCACTTTCTCATTCTTCCCAAAGGTAAACAAGATATTAAGAGCTAAGTGTAGATCAACTTTGTCATTTTGTACAAGTGTTTAATTACAGAACATTAAAAACATATACAAAATACAAAAAGTAGTATAATAGACCTATCATCCAACCTTAACAGCTACTAGTCATGTGCCATTCTTGTTTCATCTATATGTCAATCCATTCCCCACCCCCCACTTCATTTGTTTTCTACTTTTTAAAAGATAAAATGCATATACATTGAAATGTATGATCTTACCTATACCTTTTTTACAGATCAATACACTTATATAAACTTTCCCCTTTTAAGAATACAATTACTCCATGTAACAATCATTAGTGTGCATATGTTACCTCAAAGTATCATTTAAAATCCAAATTTTAATAAAATGGGTCTGAGTTTTGACTGAGAATTTGTATATCTAACAAAGTACAGATCCATAGAGCACATGGTAACTACAATGTCTCTCTTATCTGAAGTAAATATAATTTGATGAATACAATTAAGGAAAATTGACCTAAGGTGAAAGGACAAATCAAAACATCTGTGCAATATGCTATCTGTGGGAGCATTTGGTTACTGTTGTAACATAAACTAACCAAACAGTTTTATTATTTATTATTTTAATAATCAAAACTGGCAAACTTCCTACTAAGCCCCCTAAAGTATGAGAGGTCTAACCAGCAGGTATAGACTTTTCAGGAGGGAGAAATGAGGCTGCAATTTTGAGGGGCTCTTCTGGAACATGTCTGGAAGATGAATGTTGAGGAACAGTGTGGGCTTTGGTGTACTCAGATGATGTCTGTCATGGGGAGGCAGGAAGTCAATGCTCAGAATCTGGGCTGGTGTCTTTGAGGTCAGTAGGTTGCCTCTTTGTAGGCAGATCCATTTTCATTAGGGAAGAGTCTGAGAGTCTTAATGGTGTCTAGAGCCCCTCTTTGACTTCCTTTGGGAGATGGAGCCTGAAAGGGGGAAAGTCAGTATTTTTGGGAAATTCTAGAAAGTCTGGTTGGAAACCTCATTAAGGCCTCTTGCCTGGTACTTGAATGCCCAATTTGCAGTCTGAACCACATAGAGCTGGGTTTTCATTTATATCAGCACATCCTTATGTCAGTGTTAAGGGAGTGGCCAGGACAAGTGTCTTGGGTGTAGGCTAGGAAACATCATAAAAGCAAACTACCAAATTGCTGGCTTTCATTTTGGCAATAAGCCCTGGCCAAAGTGCTTGACTTCAGCATGAGACCAGTCCAGAGACCCACCTTCATGCACCAGCTGTCCATAATGTAAGAGGGAGCCCAGTTCACGTCTTGATGAGAGATTCAGTAAGATGGAAGAATCACATCTCATGTTTCTTGACAGCTGGCTGGCTTGTGAGAACAGATACAGGACACATCTATTTTTGAATGTGTGGACAAGCTTCAGCCTTCTTTCAGTTTTGCTGATGCTTCAATTGAAGTCTCCTCAGGAACTTCTGCAGTAGATGCTTCCTCTGTACTTGTTGCCTTTCCTTGGAAATAAATTCGTTTGTTCCAAATCTTGCAGTAGAATTGATGCACCAGAAAGATATACCACAGAAAATCTGCTTTTCTGCATCCTCCCTGAATAGAATTGAGGCTGTCCCTACTCTGGTACAGTTAATCCGAAAAAGGTTTCAACATTCATTGGGGAGTTTCCCACATGGGCTTTCAAGAAATCCAAAAACTACCAGGACTAGGGCCTCCAGGGCCCTGCAGGGGCTGCACTGGCACATGCAAAGAGACGCAGCAAAGGGGAAGGGGCAAGAAGAAGGTGGGTGCTGATGGAAGAGGAGAGTGGCCAGGGTGGAGTAAGTGACTGGGTGTACCAAATGCCCAGAAGGCAAGCATAACTATGGCAACTCTGAAGAAGCTGTGGGAGGATACTTGCCCCTTATTCTGTGAGAAATCAAACTGCTAGCACTGACATGTCAGGAAGCCAGCATGTTGAGGGATGCAGTATCACAATTACTTGGTGAGACAAGCTGCCCTGGCTGTGTCTCACCAAGTCATTCCCATCAGGTAGGAGAGGTTAAAGAACAGCTTAGCTTCCCTCTGCATGGCGGAACTGCTCTGAAGGTGACAAGGAGAATGGCAAAGGTGAAATCTTTGCAGCTGATGCTGAGAGCTGAAATTTCTTTACTGCTCCTGGCCAGTGCCTATAGGGCTGTAGACATTTTTATTTCTGTTTATTTATCTCTGTTTAGAGTAGGCAGTGTCCATTATTTTTGTCTTACTCTCTTTGATTCTTTCCCTTTCATTCTCCTATTGAGCTCATATACTGATTATTTAAAATCTTTAGTTCTAAAGATTCCCTTCAGTTTGCCATCATATTTTCCATTTATTTCCTAAGACATTGTTGGAACTTTCTATTATTAATTTGTTTTTGCTGCGCCTGGTGGCCTCTCAGCACTTTGGGAGGCCGAGGCAGGCAAATCACCTGAGGTTAGGAGTTCAAGACCATCCTGGCCAAAATGGTGAGACCCTGTCTCTACTAAAAATACAAAAATTAGCTGGGCATGATGGTGGGCTCCTGTAATCCCAGCCACTTGGGAGGCTGAGGCAGGAGAATTTCTTGAACCCGGGAGGCGGAGGTTGCAGTGAGCCAAGAATGCACCATTGCACTCCAGTCTGGGAAATACAGTGAGACTCCATCTCAAAAAAAAAAAAAAAATTAAGTGTGTTTGTAATTTTTCACATCATTTTTATCATGGCTTCTGCTGTAGTTTGGACATGCTTTGTTTGGCTCCGTCAAGCCTCATGTTGAAACATGATCCTCAGTGTTGTAGGTGGTCTTGTGGAAGGTCTTTCAGTCATAGGAGTAAATCCCTCATTTATGGTGTCAATGGATTGGTATCAATTTCATGGTAGTTAGTAAGTTCTCACTCAGTTCCTGCTAGAGCTAGTTGTTAAAAAGAGCCTGGCACTTCCCCTCCCCTCTCTCTTTCACTTTCTCTCTGTCTCCATGTGTCTGTCCACTCTCCAGGTCCCCTTTACCTTCCACCATGAGTGGAAGCAAACTGAGGCCTCACCAGAAGCAGATGCTGGCACTGTGCTTCCTGTACAGCCTGTAGAACTGTAAGCCAAATAAGCTTATTTTCTTTTATAAATCACCCAGTCTCAGCCATTTCTTTATAGCAACACAAATGGACTAAGACAACTCCTTTAAAATCTTTAGAAGATAATTTTAATATGTTTGTCATCCTGACGTCAGCATCTATTAACTGCCTGCTTTTGCTCAGTTTCAGATCTTCCTGTTTGTGTAATAAATAAATTTCAGTTGAAACTTGGACATTTTAGTATTATAACATTCTGAGTGTTATTAAAACCTATTTCAGATGGCTTTGTCTGATAGTACTCCAAAAGTGAAAGGAGGTAGCAGCACCTGGGTGGTGATAGAAGTCATGGAGAGAATAGTTATTCACAGTTGAAGGTAGAACTTAGTTCTCCACCCCATAACCTATTGACACTTGAGGTGGTAGGTGGGTTTTGGGTGGGGATAAAAGTCTTGTTTTCTATTTAAACTTTTCCATTGTCACCCTGGCTGGGAGGCTAGGATAGGCTTCTAAGGGCAGAAGTCCATGTTCTTCATTTGGCCTTTACCAGTGTGAATGAATGTGAGGTTTGCACTTGTTTTTGGTGGTGTTTCACCAGAGCAGAATAGTTTCTGTTTAAAGTTTTCTGCCTTGCTAGATTATTCGTTTTCTTTTCCTTAGGCTATTGAGATAAAGCTTTGTTTGAGATGGTTTTGGTTTGTACTGCTTGGCATGTCTAGGTTGCTGGAATCTTCCGCTTCAAGTCTGAGACACACAAGACAAAAAGAAAATTCAGGTAATCACCATAATACACCATAATATTGTTCTTTGGGTCCTAAGGTTCCTAGCTACTCTTCCTTTTGTGTATCTTTCAGAATCTTCTTATTGTTGTTTTATACATAAAGTCTAATGGGTGTACTAAAAAGTGAAAAGCATGTTTATTCCAGCTCCTAGAAATGTAAGTCTTTGCTTTCACTTAAAAAAATTATTTCCATTGACTCTTTTCATCTTCTGCAAGGTTCTGACTCCTAGAAAGTTTTCAAATGTCAAATTTAAATGAACAAAGATGGCTACTTTTTAATCTAGCATCCACTGAGTGGTCTCATTTACATTCTCTCTTATATTTTTTATAACCCTGTAAGCATAAATTACTTTCACTTAACAGAGGACATTTATTAGGAACTGGTAAGGGCAAAAAATTAAGAAAAAGATGTAGAATTAAGGGAATAAAATTAAGAGAATAAAAATCTTTCCATTTAAAAATTCTGCAGAATACATAATAATAATTTATGGAATTGGTATTAAAAATCATAGAAAGTAATTTGAGGACTGATTACAAACCATTTGTCATTATAGGATATTGTATAACCATTAAAATGTGCCTTTCTGCTACTGGGAGAAAGTAGGTTAAAACAGAATATATAAGCCTATGTTTATTTCATTATATATATATGTTATTTATTTATTTAAAAATAAAATAAGATGAAATAAATGTGCATAAGAAAAGCCTAGAAGGACATATACAAAATATTTACAGCCATATCACTGTGTGAGATGCAGAGAGTGTAGAAAGATAATTGATGAGTCATTCTTCTTTCTTCATTTTATGACTCTTTTTTTTTGGTGGGGACAGAGTCTCACTCTGTTGCCCAGGCTGGCGTGCAGTGATGTGATCTTGGCCTACTGCAACCTCCACTTCCTGGGTTCAAGTGATTCTCCTGCCTCAGCCTCCTGAGTAGCTGGGATTACAAGCACACACCACCATGCTAGGTTAATTTTTGTATTTTTTGGAGAGATTGTGTTTTGTTATGTTGGCCAGCGTGGTCTTGAACCCCTGACGTCAAGTGATCTACCCCCTTGGCCTCCCAAAGTGCTGGGATTACAGGTGTAAGCCTCCATGCTTGGCCTTCTATTTTCTGATTTAAAAATAATGAAGTTATTATATAATCCGAAAAAAAATTTAAATTAATAGATTACAAACAGTGAAATTCAAAGACAAGGAAGCATCACTTACATGGAAAAGGATGTGAAAATCAATTTGAGTGCTTTGCAATCAGGAGTTTTTTTTCTTTGTTTTTAAGAGACAGCCTAACTGTCACCCAAGCTGAAGTGCAGTGGTATGATTATAGCTCACTGCCCACTCCACCTCCAGGACTCAAGTGATCTTCCTGCCTCAGCCTCCCCAGTAGCTGGGACTGCAGGAGCACATGCCTGGCTATGTCTAATTTTTTTTTTTTTTTTTTGTAGACATGGGTTCTCAGTATGTTGCTCAGCCTAATTAAGGTGTTTTAATGTGTCTTTTCCAAACACTGTGTGCACTAATATAATTTTTTGAAAAGGATATAAAAATTTTCTTAATAAAGTTCAAGAAATAGTTTGAAGATAGTAATAAGAGAACTACTTATACAATTAAACTTATCTAACAAGATTAATGATTTCCTTTTAAATTTTGGCAGTTTTACTACTTTACTAAGATCTAACTGATAAAATACTACAAGGCAAAGATTTAGGAAAAAGTAAATGCTTTTTATAACTTTTTCTTTTCTCCTTCATGAACTTCTGTATCTCAAAACATTTCCTCTTTTGATGCTGTTCTGTCAATCCCATAAGTTTTTTTAATGTTTATATTCTATCTTCTCTTCTGATCATTTATTTTCAAGTAACCCGTATGTTCACAGAGTCTTTCTTCTGTGTGATTAGTTCTGCTGTTCATATTCTCCACGTCTTTTAAATTTTCATTCATTGTATTTTCCAGCTCCATAAATTCTCTTTGATTGTTAAAAAATAATTTTAATCTCTCTGCTTTATTTCTAGTTTTGGTTATTCTTTACCTAACCTCACTGAATTATTTCTCTATATTTTGTTATGTTGTGCTTTCTTAAAATGATTAATCTATGAAGGCCAACCTGTCACCAAGGTTTACTGGGACTGGCCTGGACTGTGGGTCTCCTGGAGTGTAAAGCTATTAGGGCAGGGCAGAAAGGTAGGGCCAAAAAGATAAGTAGCATTTTGTAAACCAGAACCTGTATCTGCAGGTGTAGGTGTGATTCCTGAGGCCAGAAGTGCTGACTTGGTGAGACAGAAGATTGAAGTTGTGTGTCTTACCCTGTCTCTGGGCTGATCTGGAATCTGGGGCAGGATGGTGACAGCATGGAGGGAAGCAGAGAAAGAAAACATTAGAAATGTTAGTATAAAGTAGTGAAAATGCTTCTATAGAGAATATAGGAGTGGATGGCTGTATTCATATTTTCTGCTCCAAATCTGCTGATGTGATATGCATTAATTAATCAGCCTTTCTCTGGTTCTTCTAGTTCTTTCCAGATGGAGTCTCACTCTGTTGCCCAGACTAGAGTGCAGTGGTGCAATCTCAGCTCACTGTAGCCTCTGTTTCCAGGGTTCAATTCATCCTCCTGCCTTAGCCTCCCGATTACAGGTGTGCACCATCATGCCTGGCTAATTTTTGTGTTTTTAGTAGAAATAGGGTTTCACCATGTTGGCAGGCTGGTCTTAAATTTCTGACCTCAGGTGATCCACCATCTTGCCTTCCCAAAGTGCTGGAATTACAGGTGTGAGGCACCATGCCCATCCTGGTTCTCCTATTTATTATCTGTAAAATAAGTAGCCATGTGATAGTCTCTTTAAAAGACCCCACTCTGGAACTAAGGAATTTACTAGACACTGAGGATTTGAAATTCCCGGTTGACTTATTTGAATCTTACTGGGCCAGAAAAGCAAGAATATATTAATAAGGATTTTGTATCAAGCAATCCTGTTGAGTTGAAAAGCAGGTGGCAGGAGTTTTAGACCAGCCTGGGCAACATGCCAAGACCCTGTCTGTACAAAAAAATACCAAAAAATTAGCAACACATGGTGGCACACACCTATAGTCCCAGCTACCCTAGAGGCGGAGGTGGGAGGATCACTTGAGCCCAGGAGGTTGAGGTTTCAGTGAGCCAAGATTTTGCCCTTGTAGTCCAGCTTGGGCAATAGAGTAAGATCCTGAAGAAAAAAAAGGTAAAAAAAACTGATGGGGGGCCTCTATTTTTGTAGAAAACAAAAGCAAGCACATCTTTTCTGAAGGTCTTCAGGAAAAACTGAAACCTGCAATTCAACTTGCTGTTTTCCAGTTTACTTGGCTACCAGTTACTGATAATCTGGAGAAAATCACCAACTTAATTCATTTTTTATTTTTATTTTTGAGACAGAATTTCACTCTTGTTGCCCAGGCTGGCGTGCGATGGCGTGATCTCAGCTCACTGCAACCTGCACCTCCTGGGTTCAAGTGATTCTCCTGCCTCAGCCTCCCAAGTAGCTGGTATTACAGGCATGTGCCACAACACCCAGCTAATTTTGTAATTTTAGTAGTGACAGGGTTTCTCCATGTTGGTCAGGCTGGTCTCAAACTCCCCACCTCAGGTGATCCGCCTGCCTCGCCCTCCCAAAGTGCTGGGATTACAGGCGTGAGCCACCACGCCTGGCCCAAAATCACCAACTTTAAATTAAATACTAGCTTCTTTTTTACAGGGGATGTTGTCAACCTTGGCTAGATCTTATTCAAATTATTCTCTTATATAAATCTATAAAATTGAAGGTTACAAGAAAGGATGCCATGATGATGTATACATGAGATTAATCTAGTAACAATATGTCAACATTTGTAATACAAATAGGATATAGATAATATCAGCAAAAATGCACCAAAGATAGAAGATAATACAACACAGAATCTTCTAAGACAAGAAACACTTTATTTTTGATGCCCAAAAGTGAAAAAAAAGTATCATTTTGGACAGGTATGGTGGCTCACCCTTGTAATCCCAGTACTTTGGGATGCCGAGGTGGGCAGATCACCTGAGGTCAGTAGTTTGAGACAGCCTGTCCAACATGGAGAAACTTCATCTCTACTAAAAATACAAAAATTAGCTGCACATGGTGACACATGGCTGAAATCCCAGCTACTTGGGAGGCTAAGGCAGGAGAATTGCCTGAACCTGAGAGGCTGAGGTTGCATCACCGCACTGCAGCCTGGGTGACCGATCAAGACTTTGTCTCAGAAACAAAATAAAAGCAACAAAACCAACAACAACAACAACAACAACAACAGAATGCTATTACTGGGTATATAAATCATTCCACTATATAAATCATTCCACTATAGAGACACATACTACACATGTACGTTTACTGCAGCACTATTTACAATAGCAAAGACATGGAACCAACTGAAATGCCCATCAATGATAGATTAAATAAAGAAAATGTGGTCCATATACACCATGGAATACCATGCAGCCATAAAAAGGAATGAGATCATGCCATCTGCAGGGACATGGATGAAGCTGCAAGCCATCATCCTCGGCAAACTAACAGAGGAGCAGAAAACCAAACACTGCATGTTCTCACTCATAAGTGGGAGTTGAACAATGAGAACACATGGATATAGGGAGGGGAACAACACATATGAGAGCTATTTTGGGGTGGTGGGGGTGATAGGAGGAACCTAGATGATGGGTCAGTAGGTGCAGCTAACTACCATGGCACATGTATACCTATGTAACAAACCTGCACTTTCTGCACATGTATCCCAGAACTTAAAGTAAAATTAAAGAAAAAAAAACTATCATTTTAATTTGTTAATTATTTGGGTAAATATAATTTCTACCTTTACCTGTAATAAGTATAAATAATTTATTACAAATCAACTATAGCTCATAATTATAAAAAGATGCTTTTCATTTTAAGTTTGCATATATTTAGAAGACACTGTAAGTAGTCATAAATGTGTAATTGCCTTGGAATAAGAAACACTGGTATTTGTAATAGGTTTTGAAAATAAAATAGTACATTTGAAAATAGAGGGACTATACACTCACATTTTTTGGTAAAAGTGCCTACATTACAACTGTCAGTGCGTCTATATACAACTTAGAATCTTAAATGCAATAAAAACAGTTCAGATATTATTTTAGGTTTATTTTTATTTGGAAATATTTCTTAATTTTTTTCTCTTCCATTTTTAGTTGGCACATATAATTCTTCATACTTATTGGATACAGAGTGAGATTTTGATATGTGTATACTGTACCACTTACAATGATCAAACCAGAGTAATTATCATACCTATTACTTCAAATATTTATTTCTGTGCTTTGTAAACTCAAAATCCTTTCCTGTAGCTTTTTTTTTTTTTGGTTTGAGACAGAGTTTTGCTCTTGTCGCCCATGCTGGCATGCAGTGGTGTGATTTCAGCTCACTGCAACCTCCACCTGTCAGGTTCAAGCGATTCGTCTGCCTCAGCCTCCTGAGTAGCTGGGATTACAGGCGTGTACCACCGTGCCTGGCTAATTTTTTATATTTTTAGTACAGATGGGATTTCACCATGTTAGTCAAGCTGGTCTTGAACAACTGATTTCAGGTGACCTGCCCACCTTGACCTCCCAAATTGCTGGGATTACATGTGCCCACCACCACGCCCATCTAATTTTTTGTAGTTTTAGTAGAGATGGGATTTCACCATGTTAGTCAGGCTGGTCTTGAACAAATAATTTCAGGTGATCCACCCGCCTTGGCCTCCCAAAGTGCTGGATTACAGGCATGAGCCACCATGCCTGGCCCCTTTCTTGTAGCTTTATGAAGATATACGATAAATTATGGCTAGCCGTATTTGCCGGGCAGTGTTACTAGAACTCATTCTTCTTATCTAACAGTCATTTTGTGTTGATTAACCAACCTCTGTTCATGCTGCTCTCCTTGCTATACTTCTTAAGACTCACAATTGTACTCTGTACTTTCATGAATTTATATCTTTTTAGGTCTCACAAATGAGTGAGAATGTGCAGTATTTATCTTTCTATGCTACAATTATTTAGCTTAACGTAATGTCTCCAGGCCCACACATATTGGTACAAATGACAAGAGTCATTATTTATGGCTGAATAGCATTGCATTGTGTGTATATATATATGACTTTTTAAAAAGTAGCAGGGTTTTTCCTCATCACCCAGTCTAGAAAGCAGTGGCACAGTCATAGCTCACCACAGCCTCAAACTGCTGGGCTCAAGGGATCCTGCCTCAGCCTTCCTGACAAAAGCCAAGAACTCTCATGGGCTAAGCCATACTTTGGCACTCACCTGTCCTGTGTCAGTGTAGTGCTCAACATGGGGTGAGGAGAGAAGACAACATGAGAAAAGAAGACAGTGACGTGAGAGATGGCGAAGTGATGGTGTGAGAAGTGGGTTGAGAAGTGGCTGTCAGTGAGGTGATGGTGAGACAGCAGTCAGTGAGACAACAGTTGGCCATCAGCAGGAAGCCAGTTGGTGATTGACGTGACAGCAGACAGCTGGGCAGTAATTGAGACAGTGAGAAATGGCTGGTGGGTTACCAGTCCCCATGCTGACCCCTACCACCATGGCAGCTGAGTTTACCTAAGCTAAGGGATCCTGGAGAGATCTTCACCAGGGTCCCATGTGGAAGATCACTTGGTGCCATTTCTGCTCTGGTGGATGGCTGAGTGTCCTTTCTGTTCCCATCTGCATAGTAGCAGAACTAGGGAATAAAATAAAAGCCTTTGGCTAGGTGATCAGTTAGAAGTCCCCACTCACTTAAATTCCCCAAAGCATGTCCTTGTCGCTTCTTCCCCCAGTCCTTTCCCTTCTGACTTTATTTTATTGTTCTATCAGTTATTTATTTTCAGATCTAAAGTGTGTGTTTTATTTGCAGTCTTACATTTACTTTTAACTTTCTGTTAACTATGTTTGGGCAATTGTTTAAGGTAGGACACTTGGCTGTGTGAGGTTCCCCATTGTGTTGACCCTGGGATGTAAGCATTGTAGTGTTCTGTGACCCCAACTTTTTCTTGGTTTCACTGTTGGCTGGCCTCTCTCCCCCAGGTGCCTGAACGTTTTTGTCATTTGGTGAGGCATCCCTCATTGGCTGAAACTTGGGCACTCTGAGTTTTCAGCATTGATATTTTTGGTCCCCCAGTTCCTCCATCCCAGATGTTCTGCAGTACTTGGTATTGACATTCCCTCTAGGATTGTGGGTTATAGCCCTTCCTCCTAGGGGAATATTGGTCTCACTTTGTTCTGCCCTAGCATTAGAAGTTTGCAAGCTGCTTTCTATGTACTATCCTACAACTGCCTTGTTCAAGCCCATCTTGGTCAAAGGAACTAGGAGGTTCCAGGCACCTAGTCTGATGGACAGCCACCTATAGCAGTAGTCAAGTGGCCACCCAACTTTTTTTTTCTATATTTCTATTACTGGGTAGGTTCTTTGACAAGTCAGGGCCTTTGATGTTGCCCCTTGGGCAATGCTGTTTACCCCTTTGCCTCCTCTCTTGCATAGATACCATCCCTCCTCTCTGTCCATTGCTCACTCTCTGTGGAATTTAGGCTCAACATCCAAATGCCCATTTGAAGCTCCTGATAACACTTTTGTAACACCTTACTATCTATAGAAAGTGAAAAGTCAGTAGTCATTTACTAAACTTAGGCTGAGTTAGCTTATTGTGACCCTAGGCATATGGACAATGGCAAGCATCCCAAAATAATTACCAGTAGGGTGTTTTTTAGACAATTGAAGTAAGTTTAAATTATTAGACTAATTGAAAAAGAAAACCTCATTTACTATAGCAATAATATTTGGGTTCAATACAAATTTGCAAACTAATACATTCGGACTAGGAATAGTTCTTTATATTATAATGATATTGTACAATTAGATTTGCTTTATAAAAAGGAAGGAAAAGAATTTACTTATGTGTAGGCTTTTATGGCCCTCTACCAGGATCCTAACCTAAGGGCTAGCTGTAGAATGTGTCTGGCTCATGATACTCCCAGATATCCAGAAGCTGCATCAGATATGCTAGATGACCTCTTCCTAGCTGCTCCTCCTAGAAGGCCTGTAATTCTCCTTCAGAGCTTCCTCAGTCCCCTAATTCTGAGGGAGCCCCACTAGTTATTTAGTGCAGGATTCCACCCCAAGGTCACCAGGCACCCCTCCATCTTATCCAACAAACGCTGGCTCATATGCCTCACTGCAAAGGAAGTGAGCCCAAACAGTCTACTAGGATTGAGGCCCCATGTTAGCCCCCAAAATCAAACTAGTGTCAACTGTGGGAGGTAGCTGATGGAGATGGAGGAACAATTGAAGTACATGTGCCTTTTTGCATGTCGGATTTGGCCATATGCAAGGAATAAATTGCTCAGTCTTCAAAGGATCCGGGGTAGTTTGTAAATGAGTTTGTAAAGTTGACTGATTTAACTTGGTATGACATGCAAATATTATTATCCACTTATTTACTTATTTCCTTCTTTCCTTCCTTTCTTCCTCTTTTTTTATTTTTATTTTTTTTTAGACAGAGTTTTGCTCTGTCACCAGGCTGGAGTGCAGTGGCACAATTTCAGCTCACTGCAACCTCCACCTGTCAGATTCAACGATTATCCCTGCTTCAGACTCCTGAGAAACTGGGATTATAAGTGCCTGCCACCACATCCATGACTGCAGGTTCCCACCACCACCTGGCTAATTTTTTGTACTTTTAGTAGAGATGGGGTTTCATCATGTTGGTCAGGCTGTTCTTGAACTCCTGACCTCAGGTGATACATCCACCTTGGTCTTCCAAAGTACTGGGATTACAGGTGTGAGCCACAGTGCCCAGCCTATTATACACTTAATGTAATGTAGATGAATAACGAAGAATTCCAGGTACTGTTATAAACATACAGATAGAACGGCTTTGTGTAACCCAGGCCATGCCACTTATCTTGTGGGAAGAGAGGCAGTTCCAGATCCAGACCTCAATGGGATTACTAGAAAGGGTCTCAAGGTGTCAAATGCAGAAATTACATACTAACTTGTTTAATAGTAAGAAAAACTGTGGGATTAAGCCAGTTGATTATGATAAAGTAAGAGAAATAGCTCAAGAAAAAGATGAAAATCCCACTCTAATTCAGGGCTGTTTGTATGAGGCACTGCGGAAATATACTAATATAGACCCTGACCCCTTGGAAGTGTGAGCTCTTTTGGGTGTGATTTTATTACTAAGTCTGCCCCTGACATTTGGATAAAGCAACAAAAAGTAGCAGTGGGACACCAACCGCCCTGAGCCAACTCTTAGACATTGCCCTTGGGGTTTACAATAATAGGGACAGTATCGGGGGAACCAGCCCCCGATATTTCAACGTAGTTTCTTTTCTATTTTCCCTAAGTGTTGGCCAGTCTGAGAAATAAAGGGAAAGAGTACAAAAGAGAGAAATTTTAAAGCTGGGTGTCTGGGGGAGACATCACATGTCAGCAGTTTCCATGATGCCCCCTGAGCCGTAAAACCAGCAAGTTTTTATTAACAATTTTCAAAAGGGAGGGAGTGTACAAATAGGATGTGGGTCACAGAGATCACATGCTTCAAGGGCAACAAAATATCACAAGTCATATGGGCAGGGCAAAGTCACAAGGCCAGGGTGAAACTAGAATTACTAATGAGGTTCCTGGTCCTGCTGTGCACACACTGTCATTGATAAACATCAGGAAACATGGTTTGAGAGCAGACAACAAGTCTGACTAAAATTTACTAGGCAGGAATTTCCTAATCCTAATAAGCCTGGGGGCGCTGCAGGAGGCTAGGGCGTGTTTCATCCCTATCTACAACTGCATAAGGTGGACACCCCCAGAGTGGCCATTTTAGAGGCTCTGCCTGGGAATGCATTCTTTTCCCAGGGCTGTTAATTATTAATATTCCTTACTGGGGAAAGAATTCAGCGATATTTCTCTTACCTGTTTTTGGCAATAAGAAATATGGCTCTGTCCTGCCTGGCTCCCAGGCAGTCAGACCTAATGGTTATCTCCCTTGTTCCCTGAACATCGCTGTTACCCTGTTCTTTTTTCAAGGTGCCCAGATTTCATATTGTTCAACCACACATGCTTTACAAAAAATTTGTGCAGCTAACGCAATCACCACAGGGTGATGAGGCAACATACATCCTCAGCTTATGAAGATGACGAGATTAAGAGAGTAAAGACAGGCATAGGAAATTATGACTATTGATTGGGGAAGTGATAAATGTCCATGAAATCTTCACAATTTATGTTCTTCTGTCATGGCTTCAGCAGGTCCCTCTGTTTGGGGTCCCTGACTTCCCGCAACAGGACAAGGCAGAGGAAGAGGCAAAAACCAGAAGAACTGGCCAAAACCCACAATTGTTAGTGGCAACTTTAGGACCACTGTTGCCTCAGAGTTACCCCTCTCAAAGAAATATGGTGACATTGGCATCTAGGATGCTCAGATGAGGTCCCCCACTTACCAGCCTCTAGACCTAAATCAGCACTTGTCTTCTGTATGCAAGAAGGCCATTGGAAGGATTGCACCAGGATTAAAAGATAGTCTGAGACACTCAGACTCGTAATAGCCCGAAAAGTAGAAGACTGATAGGCTTCAGATTCTCTATATCTCTGACTGGACACCTTACCATCTCCACAGAGGAGCCTCAGGTAACCCTTGGTATAGGAGACAAAAATATTGAGTTCTTATTGGAAATGGGAGCTGCCTAGTCAGTTTTAACCCATTTCTGAGGGCTGCTGTTTTCCCACTCTTGTTCAGTAACAGGAATTAATGGCCAGCCAAGAATGAGGAGATGTACCCGTTCGCTTGGTTCCACTGTGAAGCACCATACATTTTCCAAGAGGTTTTTTAATACTTATACCTGAATGTTCTATTCTATTAGGGAGAAACTTATTTTCCAAATTACAGATCACAATTCACTTTAAAGTGCCCCATGAGAAGGCAACAGGCCAGAAGGAAAACTCCTCTTAGCTCCAAGTATTACATTAACACAGATATGGAGAAGAGCTGCCTTCCATTTCATATTGCTTCTTTAGTAGGTCCTTCTGTTTGTGACATGGAAATTTCTGGTAGAGCTGTTAATGTACCCCCAGTCCAGATTTTCCTAAAACCCAATGTTAATTACCCATGGAAAAAACAGTGTTTTTTGAATGCTGAGGCTCAGAGGGACATCCAGCCCTTAATAATGGGGGTCCTAAGGTACAAATTATGACAGTCCTGTCAGTATCCATGTAACTCCCCATTTTACCTGTTAGAAAATCAAATGAGGAATATAGATTTGTTTTGAATCTAAGGGGATTTGATGGGACAGTAGACCCAGTTCACCCATTAGTTCCTAATGCTTGTATAATGACTGAGATCCCTGAAGGCATTCATTGATTCACAGTGTTAGACTTAAAGGATGCTTTCTTTTGTATATCTTTACACCATACTGCCAGTATATTTTTGCTTTTGAATGGACTGATCCAGACACTCAAGCTACATCTCAACTTACCTGGACAGTTCCTCTCCAATGTTTTAGACACAGTCCCCATCTCTTTGGCAATACATTGGCCAAGGAGTTAAGGGAACTACAGTTAACTAATGGATTTCTTTTGCAACATGTAGATGGATTTCTACATCTACTACGGAAGACTCCAACAGAAACACAATTCAGTTCCTTAATTTTCTGGGAAAGCAAGGATATCATGTATGCTCCACAAGGCCCAGATCTCTGTGCAAAATGTTAAATATTTGGGGTATGTGCTCACACCTGGGACAAGAACGTTGGACCAAAAGTGAAAAGAGACAATCTTGGCCGTCCAACTACCTCAGACTAAGAAACAGTCAAGACGCTTTTTGGGAATGGCTAGATTCTGCCAGATCTGGATTCCTTGGTTTGGTCTTACAGCAAAACCTCTCTATGAAACTCTAAAAGACAGTAATCATGCACCTTTGAATTGGGATGGAACCTGCCAACAGGCATTCTTTACCCTAAAACCAAGACTAAAAACGACTCCTGCTTTGGGGCCCTTTAACTTAGAAAATACTTTTACCTTCTATGTGACTGAAAAACAAGGCATGAGGATGGATGTCTTACCCCAAAGGCTCAGGAATAGCCCTAGGCCAGTGGCTTACTTTTCTAAACAGCTAAACCAGGTGGCAGCTGGGCAGCCAGGATGCTTGTGAGCCAAAGTAAAAAACCAGTAACTTTACTTTATCTTGGGACAATTACTAAATGTTATGACCCCCTAAACAATACAGGTTGTCCTAGAGGAAAAAGAATGTCAGTGGCTAACGGGAAGATACCTACTTAAATATCAGGCCCTCTGCTTGACACCTGTATTAGTGTGTTCTTGAACTGCTATAAAGAAACACCTAACACTGGGCAATGTATTTTAAAAGAGATGTTTAATTGGCTCACGGTTTTGCAGGCTGCACAGGAAGCATAATGGCTTCTGGGGAGGCCTCAGGAAACTTTCAATCATGGTAGAAGGTGAAGGGGAAGCAGTCACATCTTACATGACTAAAGCAGGAGAGGAAGAGAGAGAGGAGGAAGGTGCCACACACTTTTAAACAACCAGGTCTTATGAGAACTCACTCATTATTGTAAGAACAGCACCCAGCGGGAGTCCACCCCTGTGATCCAATCACTTCCAACCAGGACACACCTCCAACATTGCGGATTATAATTTTACATAACATTTGGGCGGGTGGGGACACAGAGTAAAACCATATCAACACCTCAGTTGTAATCCTTAAAGTATGTTGGGTTTTAAACCCTGCTACCCTGTTCCCAGAGTTCACATCCCAGGAAACAGATCGTTAACTCATTTCCCTCCTGTGCGGAAACCATACAACCAAACTTCTGTAGTAGGACTGAATTCAAAGATGACCTTCTATCTAATCTTAATGTTGAGTACTTTATAGATGGGTATAGCTTTATATGCATGAGGGAGTAAAAAAGGCAGGTTTTGTTGTATTTAGTCAACAAGATGTCATCGAGGTCAAAACTGCCTTTCCAAGCTTCTATTCAAAAAGCACAATTACTTGCTCTAATCAGGGTCCTCAAGCTGGGAAGGACTTAAGAGTCAATATATTTACTGATTCCAAATATGGGTTCCTGGTGCTCTGTGCTCATGCTGCTATACAGAAAAACAATGGAGGGCTAACAGCTAAGGGGTCCCCCATACAACATCATTCTCAGATCTTGGAACATTTAGATGCTTCCTAGCTCTCAAAAGTAGTAGCAGTGAGTCAGTGCAGGGGACACCAAAAGGAAGACATCTCCGTTATCAGAGGAAATCCTCTGGCAGACAGAGTAGCTAAGCCCACAGCTAGAGAAACACCAGTGTTATAGGACACTGAGTAATGCCAGGTACTGCACCCATGTTAGGAACAGCACACTATACCCCTGAGGAAATTAAATGGGCAGAGCAGAAAGGCTTACAAAAGTATCCCTTGGGATGATTAGTAGGAAGCAACAAACTTCCTCCCTGAGGCTGAGCGGTGAGAGATAGTTAGGCATTTCCATGACTTAACTATCAAGTTAGTTTCTCAAAGTTTTAGGAAAAAAACCTATTCTACACTGCAAAGAGGGTCACCAGGGCCTGTGATCTTTGTGCCTGTAATGATCCAGGAAGCTACCCCATACCCCCAGCTCTACTCAAACCATTACAACATTGAGGGACATGCTCTGGAAAGACTGGCAAATAGACTTTCTTTAGATACCATCCTACAGGGGATAGAAATATTTGCCAGTATTTATGGACACTTTCACCAAGTGGATTGAGACTTTCCCCACAATGACAAAGAAGATATTAGAAGTGTCAAAATTTGGCTGGGCACAGTGGCTCACACCTGTAATCCAAACATTTTGGGAGGCCAAGGAGGGCAGATCACCTAAGGTAAGGAGCTCAAGACCAGCCTGGCCAACATTAGGAAACTCTGTCTCTACTAAATGTACAAAAATAAACTGGTGTGGTGATGCATGCCTGTAATCCCGCTACTCAGGAGGCTGAGGCAGGAGAATCACTGGAACCTGGGAGGTGGAGGTTGCAGTGAGCCAAGATTGGGCTGCCACACTCCAGCCTGGGCAACAGAGCGAGGCTCCATCTCAAAAAAAAAAAAAAAAAAATTAGCTGGGTGTGGTGGCATGTGCCTGTAGTCCCAGCTACTCAGGTGGCTGAGGCAGGAGAATTGCTTGAACCCAGGAGGTGGAGGTTGCAGTGAGCTGACATAGCACCACTGCACTCCAGCCTGGGCGACAGAGCAAGACACTGTCTCAAAAAAAAAAAAAAAAAAAAGAGGGTCAAAATTTTTACTTAATGAGATCTCTGAAACGTTTGGATTACCTAAAAGTCTGCAGAGTGATAGATAATAAATATGCCTGCATTCCTAAAGTGGCCCAGGAGCTTTTCTTCAGTCTTAGGCATTATCTATCCCCTTCACTCCTCCGGGAGTCCTCAATCCTCAGGTAAAATAGAAAAGCTAATTATGTTTTAAAAAGGACATTAGCAAAGCCCTTCAGGAGACTTCAGAGGCCTGGGCTTCTCTCCTAGCCATAGCACTTTTACAAGTAAGGATGTCCCCAAAAGGACATTCTAAAACTTAGTCCTTTTGAGCTGATTTATGGGAGGCCATTTTTAGCTTCTGACCTTTTGCTTGATAAAAAGATACATAGAATGCTCACCCATAATATCAACTTAAGCCAGGTTCAAAAGGCCCTCCAAGCATATGGACACAAATTATTGCCCCCTCTCACAAAGCTGATAATTGACCCCCTATCTGCTAAAAACTTGGAAAGAACAATACTCTGAGGGATCCTTGGAACACTGGTGGCTCTAGGAGCAATAAAGTACCAGTGGCTAACAGGAGGTCATCTACTTCAATATCAGGTCCTTTTACTTGACAGCAGTATTAGTGTGTTCTTGAACTGCTACAAAGAAACATATAAGACTGGGCAATTTATTTTAAAAAGATGTTTAACTGGCTCATGGTTTTGCAGCTTGCTCAGTAAGTATAGTAGCTTCTGGGGAGGGCTCAGGAAACTTTCAATAATGGCAGAAGATATAACCAAAATAGAAGAGCCCCTATCAGGTATTGCTGAGTGTCACAGTCCTGTTAAACTTTAGGGACTACCTAGTTCAGTACAACTGTCCAGGATTAAAGCTGTTGCTCACAAACTGTAGGCACACAAATGGAGGACACCATAACCTACATCTAAGAGCTTTTGGAGGAGTACTGCTACCTATTTAAAAGAATCAACATTCATCCAGAATTTGTAACATGATGCTATGGGTGGCAATAAAAGCTTTAACTATTCTCTTTTTCCCGACTGTAACATTACTTTTTTATCACTTTAGCCAACCTCCCAGGAAACAGCTTTTGTTCTTCTTGGGTGTAGAGGCCCCACTCAGCCAGACCCCATGTTGTCACTCTTGGTCCTATTTGCTCTCTCAACTACCTTGATCCCATGTGAGTGGGAACACAACTCTGTAGTAAATATTTCAACAATTATAGCATCAGGAAATCATCTTCATGCCTCCTGGATTTATCAGCATTGCCAGGATAGAGAATTGCATCTTCTGGCTTATTAGGAAAATCTCACCACCAGACCTCAGACCTCCTAACTAACCATAGTGATCCTGAAATAACCAAACCCCTACTTGCTAAGTGAAACCCTCCCCCACATAATATATTCCACCTGCACCTCCCAGCACTATCATGTGGGCCTAGGAAGTTAGGTACCTATGTTTCCAGTGTACTAACAGTTCTGTGTTTTGCACCCACTACTGTGTTAATGACACTGAAGTGGAAGTTTCCCTGTGATGCTATGATCCAACTTTAGCTGCCAAATTCCCAAGGCCACAGCAAGGTAAATGGAATTCTACCTGTGAGGAGACCATATATGGTGCCTTCTGTCACTTCAGAACAAACAAGGGAAAAACAACTGCTTAGTCTGGGAAGGTTGCAGTACTCCCCCTTCCGGAAAAAAAAATTTTTTGACCACCCTCACTGGAACAGAAGGGAAATATCTCTATAGACACAACTTGGCAGCAAAGGATGAACATCACACCCTCCAGAGTGTTTCTGCCCCAGCTGGCCTCATTTTGGTTTGTGGCCATGAATAGGAAGGTGTCACACCCCATAAACACCGTCAACTCTCTAGGGAGCCACCTGTTTTTTTAGGAGTAGCATTCCCTTGTATATAAGAAACTTGAAACACAGGTGAATATACACTAGCCATCCTTGCCCCTGCGGGGGTCTCTGTCTATTACACCCTAAAACCTAAGAATACCAGAAGTAAGCAAGCCGTAGAATTAATTCTGGCAGGAATCAGGGCAGCAATAGGACTAGCAACACTCCAGGGCAGCTTTGCTTACCATGAGTCAACTCTAAAGAACTTAAATCAACACAGATCAGGTATTAAAGGGAACTCATGAGCACCTTGACTCTCTCGCAAATGTGGTTTTTGATAACAGACTAACATTGGATTATTTACCAGTTGAACAAGAAGGAGTCTATGTACTTATTACTAAAAGCCGCTGCCTTTATTATATATTAGCAACTTTGGGGAGGTTTAGGTTAACATTCAAAAAATATATGAGCAAGCGACATGGATATATAGATGTAACCAGGGCACTGATCCCAAATACATCTGGTCAACTATCTCTGTATGGCACCAGATGTAGGGTCCAGCCCCACAGGGTTGGTGGGTTTTCTCCCTGTGTGTAGAGATGAGAGAGTGTAGAAATAAAAACACAAGACAAAGAGATAAAAGAGAAGACAGCTGGGCCTGGGGGACCACTACCACCAAGACGCGGAGACTGGTAGTGGCCCTGAATGCCACGCTGTGCTGATATTTATTGGATACAAGACAAAGGGGCAGGGTAAAGAGTGTGAGCCATCTCCAATGATAGGTAAGGTCATGTGTCCACTGGACAGGGGCCCTTCCCTGCCTGGCAGCCAAGGCAGAGAGAGAGAGGAGAGAGAGACAGCTTACGCTATTATTCTGCTTATTAGAGACTTTTAGTACTTTCACTAATTTGTTACTGCTATCTAAAAGGCAGTCATAAAGAGAAATAAAGAGGAATTGCTGCAAACTAATGATTAATGATATTCATATATAATCATATCTAAGATCTATATCTAGTATAACTATTCTTATTTTATATATTTTATAATACTGGAACTACTCGTGCCCTTGGTCTTTTGCCTTGGCACCTGGGTGGCTTGCCGCCCACAGGGATGGGGCAGAAGCAGCTTTCCATGAGATATGACCCCAGTGTGCAATGTTAGTTTACCATTACCATGAAAATGGGACTGCGACTTACCACCTCTTTTCAGGGCAGTGACCAGATGACCCAAAAGTTACTACCACTTCCCTAGAAATTTCTGCATAAACCAATTCTTAATCTACACGTAACTAAAAGTGGGTATAAATATGACTGCAGAACTGCCCTAAGCTGCTGTTCTCTGCCTATGGGGGAGCCCCACTCTGCAGGAGCACTCACAGAGCTGTAACACCACTGGAGCTGTAACACTGCTGCTTCAGAAAAGCTGTTTTCTTTTACCTCTGGCTTGGCGTTACACTCTCTCCTGTGCAAAGCCAAGAACCCTTGTGGACTAAGCTCTGCTTTAGGGCTTGCCTGTCCAGCATCAAAGTGAATAACTTGAGTAACTTTTCTCCCATTCTATAGGTGGTCTGTTTACTCTGTTCGTTGCTTTCTTTGGTGTGCAGAACTGTTTTAGCTTAATAGAGCCTCATTTGTCTATTTTTGGTTTTGCTGTCTGGTGTTTTAGCTGAGTTATAAAATCTTTGTTTAGTCCGATGCCCTGAAGCCTTTCCTATTGGTTTTCTTCTATTAGCTGCATAATTTCAGGCCTTCCATTTAACTATTTAATCCACATTAAGTTGACTTTTGTATATGGTGAGATAGAAATCTAGTTTCATTCTTCTGCATATGAATATCCAGTTTTCCCAGTACCATTTGTTGAAGAGGGTATCTCTTCCTCAATATACATTTTTAGCACCACTATTGAAAATCAGTTGAATGTAAACATTTATTTCTATGTTTTCTATTTTTTTCTATTATCCTTAGTGTCTTTTTATACCATTACTATTCTGTTTTTGGTACTATGGCTTCACAGTACTTTTTGAAGTCAAATAGTGTAATGCTGTCAGCTTTGTTCTTTTTGTCCAGTATTGCTTTGGCTAGTCAGTGTCTTACATGGTTTCATACACATTTTAGAATTGTTTTTTCTGGTTTTGTGAGGAATGTAATTGGTGTCTAGATAGAACTACATTGAATCTGTAGATTACTTTGGGTATTTTCATCATATTTACAGTATTTTTGCAGTACATGGTTATGGAATGCCATTTCACTTGTTTGTGTCATCTTCAATAATTTTCATCAATGTTCTTTTACTTTTCATTGTAGAGTTCTTTCATTTCCTTGGTTTAATTTATTCCTAGGTATTTTATTTTTATTTGTTATTATTATTATTATTATTTTTGGTGGGGAGAGGATCATGCTTTGTTGCCCATGCTGGAGTGCAGTGGCATGATCACAGCTTGCTGTAGACTTGTCCTTCTGGGCTCAGTCGACCCTACCATCTGAATAGCTGGGATTACCTGAAAGCCTGGGTAATTTTTGCATTTTCGTACAGACAGGCTCTCACTATGTTGCCCATGCTATTCTTAAACACCTGTCCTGAGGTAATTCTTTAGCCTCAGTCTCTCAAAGTACTGGGATCATAGGGATAAGCCACTGCACTCAGTTGATATTTTATTATTTTTCTAGCTATTTTAAATGAGACTGTTTGCTTGGTTTTGTTTCCAGTAGTTCATTATTGGTGTAAAACAACATTACTAATTTTTGTGCATTGATTCTGTGTTCTGCAACTTGGCTAAATTTGTTTATCAATTCCACAGATCTTTTGGTTAAGTCTTTTTCTCCATATAACATGAGGCCATCTGCAAAGAGGGACAGTTTGACTTTCTCATTTTCAATTTAGATGCCTTTTATCCTCTTCAATTTAGATGCCTTTTCTTATTCCTCTGGCTAGGCTTTCCAGGACTGTATTGAATAGAGTGGTGAAAGTGGCCATCTTTGTTTTGTTCCAGTTTTTAAAGGAAAAGCTTTCAAGATTTTCCACATTCAGTATGATGTTAGCTGTGAGCTCATCATCGGTGGCCTTTATTATGTTGATAATAAATCATATGGAGAATACAGTACAGCCCTCTGAGCTCCTGGAGAATATGTGTGGGAACGAACAACCTCAGCATAACTCAAGTGAGTTATGTTTCTTCTATGTCTAATTTTGAGAGTTCCTCCCAGATGTAGAACTCCCTTAAGTAACTTTTTGTGGGGCAGGTATAGTTGTAGAGAATTTCTTCAGTTTTTGCTTGGCTGGGAAAGACTTTATTTTTTCTTTATTTTTGAATAATATCTTTGTTAAATATAGTGTTCTTGACTAGCAGGGTTTTTTTATTTTATCACTTTGAATATATCACACAATTTTTTTCCTTTTCTGTAATGTTTCTGCTAGAAAGTGCTGTTAGTCTGCTGGTAATTCCTGTATGCGACTTGATGCTTGTCTCTTACTGTTTTGAGAATTATCTTTCTGCCTTTTCATTTTGAAAGTTTGACTATAATGTGTCTCAGAGTATACATGTGGATGTCTGAATCTCTCACAAGATGTGGAAAGTTGTCAGCTATTATTTTATTTAAAAATTTTCCATTTATTTTCCTATTTCTTCTGCTTTTCCTTAAACTCCAAATTCAATTATTTGTTTGCTTGATTTTGCTCTATATGTCTTGTAGGGTTCCTTGGCATTTTTTATTCTTTTTTTTTTTTTTTTGGTTTAGTTTATTTAAAAAGACCTGTCTTCAAGTAGGAAATTCTTTCCTCTGTTTGGTCTACTCTATTATTGAGCTTAAATTGTGTTTTTAAATTTTAATCATTGAATTCTTCAGTTGCAGGATATTGGTTCCTTTTTATCATTTCTATCTATTGAATTTCTTATTTAGATCATAAATTGTTTTTCTGATTTCTTTGTATTATCTCTTTGTGTCCTCTTGTGTCTTGCTGAGTTTTCTTACTCAGATTATTATTCCAATTTCTTTTTCTTATATTTTATAAATTTTATTTTCTTTGTGATCTGTCATTGGATAATTATTATGTTCCATTGGAGGTGCTATGTTCCTTTGCTTTCTCACAATTTTAAAATTCTTGTTTGATATATGCACATCTGGTTGCTTCTTATAATTTTATAAATTGTCTTTTATAGAGTAAGCCCTATTTTTCTGCATGTGTATCAAAAGTGTTGGTTGCATAATGTACTTTGGCTTGATTCTGGTGAGGGCTCTACTGTATTCTCCATATGATTTATTCAGTAGTTTTAGTGTTTTATATAAGTTCCTTAGAGGTTTAGGCTGTGGGTTTTGTGGGGGCTGTTGTAGGCTTTCCTGGAGATGGGAACACCAGAAGGGCCATTATTTAGTATGAGCATTGGTAATGATGTGCTGGCTTTTGAGCTCTTGGGTGACATACAAGGGTGCTGGAGGTGGCAGTGGGGGTCCCTTGTGGGCTGGTACTCAAGCCTCACAATGGCATACCTTTGCATCAGTCATAGTGGTAGCTGACTAGGTGGGCTTGTATACAGGCCCCAAGTGGCAAACATGAATGGGCGTCAGCAGTGGTGGTGGCAGACTTGGCAAGCTGGTTTCCCTTCCTTGGCAGTGGCACATGGGCACAAGGAGCAGCCAGTAGAGTGGACCTGTTCTCAGGATCCTGGATGACATACATGGGTGTCCACAGTGGTGGGTAGTGATGGGTATGTTAAGTCTGTTAGGTGACAGGACATTGAATGCTGGTGACAATGGCATCTGGCCTATCCTCAGGCCCCTGGATGGCATGTGTACACATCAGTGGTGGTGGCACATAGGATATGCCAATCCTCAGGCTCCTGGACTACATCTATAGTTATTGGTATGGTTGGTGGTCTGGTCTTCCCTCTGACCTCCTGGAGAGTATGTGTGGGAACCAACAACCTCAGCAGGGGGAGTAAGCCAATTTTCAGGATTTTGTTCTGTATGTACGGTGGAAGAAGCAGGTGAGTGGGCCTAAGCCTCTGGATGTGTGGCAGAGACACTGGGAGTGGCAGGTCTCTGGGAGGTGCGCAGGGCAGGCTAGCCTCGTGCTCATTGCAGGTTTTATTTATTTAAACATTTGCTTTTTATGTTTAGTATTTCACTCTTTAGAGGGACAAATAATGGAATTTAAATCTTATGTTTGTGAACACAACATATGAAATCAAAATAGTGCTTTAGGAGGTATACATTTCAAGGCTCTGAGTTTGATATGCAAGTGTACTTAGTATATATTATAAAGGAAAATGTATAGCACGCAAGAGTTGTCACAATGGTAGCTTTGATGAAATACCAGATTTCTGAATACTTCATTTAAGGTACCAGATTGTAAATGTTGTGTAGTTTTACTGTTCCTTAAGACTGTATTGTGAGTAAATTCGCTCATGTTCTGTTATATATATATGTATATAGAAATTTATATAATAAATTATATAAATGTTAACTTCAAATCTGAGTGTGTATTTGCACTTTATTTTATCAACAAATTCTATAAATATTCTAACTCTAAAAATTACATTTGAAGAGTAATATATAGTTTATTATGAAATCAACCTAAAGACCACTGGAATTACAGCATGATTTTTCTATTTATTTTTCAGAAATCCTGCTATTTACTTTTTTTTTTTTTTAACAGCTGGAATGGAAGTTTATTAAAAGGCTTTAGAGCAGGAAAGAAAGGGAAGTTACACTGAGAAGAATCCCAAGTGGTGATGTGAAGGACAAAGTGCAATGTTTAACCTTGATCCCAGGACTTTAGAGGGTGGCCCACCTCTCACTTTCCCATGATTTTTCCTTTAGAGTGGCTGTCCACATGCACAATGCCTTCCTTCTGCTTGGGAAGTAAGCACACTCAGTGTGTTTAGGAAGTTGTGTGCATGCCCATCTGAGGCTTTGTTTCCTCTTCTGGTGGAGTGCCCCCAAAAGGTCATACTCTACCATTTTGTCTCCTAATGCACGTATTCAGGCTCACTACCCCAATACGTGTGATTTTATTGGAAACCCTTATTGCTTCTTCTGGTGCCTGCATTCAATTAACAAGTTAATGTTAACAGCTGTTGATCAGCAGCAGATTGTCTCTCCCTGGTGCTGGCTGCCCAATTACCATTCTTAGAGAGGCAATGTGACAACAGTGGAACCATCTCCTGATCACCTGACATCCCTGGCAGGTGGGGGTGGTGAGCCCTCTCCTGCCCTGCTCATGCCCGACTAACTTCTTGTAACACTTTCCCCCTCAAGAGCCCAAGACCCCAAATCTTTGAGCAAATGTCAATATTCTATAACTGCTTCCTGCTGACTGACTGATGGTGGTGGTTGTTCTTTAGGTCTTGTCCTCTTCCTAGCTGTCAGGGCAGGGTGACTGCATGGGTTGGTGAAAGCGGTATCCAGCCAGGTCCAAGGTGTTAGGTTTTTAAGGAAATGCAAGGGTTAAAGAAAGACAGAGATGACAGGTCTATGGCAATGCAGGTTTATTGCCAGAGTAACCTGCAGAGGTGGGGACCAGCTTAATGCCAGAGCCATCTGCCACTTACAGGCTGGGATAATCATAGGTGTAGTGGGAGGGCTCTGGGCAATATGGCTTGCTGCCTGGAAGGATGTGGATAAAATTCTTGTGATCACGTGGTTGGCCCTTTTTCTGGTAGGGTGTGATGATCAGAAAGTCAGATGGTTGGGCAGGATATTTCTATGGCCCCATGGAATGTTTCTAACTCTGACCAGGGTCTGTGAAGTGGCAGGAACTTACAAAATAGTTTAGCTTAGACTCAAGGGCAGGATTTCATCTCCTTTCGGTCCCACTGATGCGCAGTCCAGGGGTCCCCTGTATCAGGGTGCCTCTTGAATATTGAGAGGAGGGTATTCTTCATTGAGGATCATCTGGAGCTTGATGGCCTGAGGGCAAGAGGAGACAAATTGGATTATTAAACTTAGAAGACATGGACCAAAAAAGAGCAAAAGTAGGAGAGTAACAAGTGGTCCTGACAAAAGAAGAACCCCCCAGAACCATTTTCAGATTTATTCCCAATCTAACCAACTCTCTGAAGCTTGTTCCCATAACTTGGAGGCACGATTTAAGCAGTATTTGATGTTGTCTTATACTTTTCCCTGTTGATTTACCCAAAAGCAACACTTTTAGTCTAAGGCTAAACAAATTTCTCCTTGTGCTGCTGTTAGCATATCTACTCCTTGACAATTTTGGCAACTACAGCTGCTAAAGAGTCAATTTGTTCTTGCATAATAGTTAAGGTTCTAGTCATGATGTTAATGTTGTTGGTATTCCCTCTGAGAGCTGGTTAAGGGGGCTTTTGTGATTCCAGCAATTTTGGTTCCTGTACTGGCTGTAATGCCAAGTCCCACAAGAAGGGGAATTAATTGGATAGCTCTTTTTATCATGGGAAGGATGGAATTTCTGGTCATTGGAACTGGAAGAGAGGTTGCCAGGGTCTGTAAAGATGTCTTGGGATGGGTAGCTGCATTAGTCTGTTTTCACACTGCTGATAAAGGTATACCCAAGACTGGGCAATTTATAAAAGAGAGAGATTTATTGAACTTAACAGTTCCGCATGGCTGGGGAGGCCTCACAATCAAGGCAGAAGGCAAAGAGGAGCAAGTCACATTTTACGTGGATGGCAGCAGGCGAAGAGGGAGACCTTGCACAGAGAAACTCCCATTTTAAAACCATCAAATCTCATGAGACCCATTCACTATCAGCAGAATAGCAGTGGAAAGACCTGCCCCCAAGATTCAATCATCTCCCACTGGGCCACTCCCACAGCATATGGGAATTATGGGAGCTACAAGATGAGATTTGGGTGGGGTTGCAGAGCCAAATCCATCAATAGCCTATGGTACAAGTTCCAGTTCAGTTAGCAGGGTGACATTGGTGAGCTGATTGGCCACAAATATAAAAGAGTCCTTGGGTTTTGAAACATGCAGAGATTTCAAAACAAAAGAAGAGAGTGAGGACAGCTCCAAAAATCCTGAGGCTGCTTACATGCCCCAGTAACTGGTAGCTAGTCCTGCTAAGACTTGGGTGCATGGGGCTGCCACCTGATTCCAATATGTACCTAGAACTAGAATATTGATCTAGACTTTTACATTACTCATCCCTTTTGTTTCTTCTGATCAGCAGCCAGAGATCACTGGCTGGTTCACAGGAATAAGCATGCTTAGTCTAAAATACTGACAAAAACTTAAAAACAACTGATGAGACCAGAATTTAATGAGAGGTATATCATAATTTTTGAAACATAGTTTTTTCTCTCCATTTCTTACTTTTGTTAAAAATAAAAAATGGGCTGGGTGCAGTGGCCACACCTGTAATCCCAGCACTTTGGGAGGCCAAGGCGGGCAGATCATGAGGTCAGGAGATTGAGACCATCCTGGCAAACACGGTGAAACCCTGGGTTTACTAAAAATACAAAAAAAATTAGCCACACTTGGTGGCAGGTGCCTGTAGTCCCACCTACTCTGGAGGCTGAGGCAGGAGAATGGCATGAACCTGGGAGATGGAGCTTACAGCAAGCTGAGTTCGCACCACTGCACTCCAGCCTCGGCGACAGAGCGAGACTCCATCTCACAATTAAAAATAATAATAGTAATAATGATGGGACTGATTTGTTCGCAAAATATACTTCAGTCTTACTATAACTTGGCCTATTTACATAAAGTGCAGCAGGAATAATTATTTTCACATAGGCTTTTAAAATGGGTTCTGATGGAACTCTGTTGTATAAGTAATCTCAAATAAGACATTTTTAAAACCCAGCCCAGCCATGGGTTTGTCCCGTCAAATACCTATAAGTTGGGTAGATTTCTCTTCTTTTGAGGTTCCAAGACAATTGGGGCTCCTGGGCCTGGTGGGAAGTGACATTCTTTACTTACCACAGGTTAGGAATCTTGTACAGGAACTGTGTACACAAAACATGAGGCCAGTTTTCCCAAGGTACTTTTTATGGGTCTGTAAGCCTAGCTTGAGAAATCCAACTATTTATTAGGTTGGTGCAAGAGTAATTGTGGGTTTTGCCATTAAAAAGGCATTACAAGGACAAAACCACAATTACTCCTGCACCAACTTAACATGCCTCTATATTTATACCTAGAATATTATATTTTTAAAGTATTTGTAAATTAATTAGTAAAAGTTACATATATTAATGTTAAGCAATATAACTTTTTTCTTTTTTTTGAGATAGAGTCTCACTTTGTCACCCAGGCTGAAGTGCAGTGGCATGATCTCAGCTCACTGCAACTTCCGCCTCCCCATTCAAGTGATTCTCTTGCCTCAGCCTTCCCAGTAGCTGTGATTACAGACTTGCACCACCATGCCCAGCTAATTTTTGTATTTTTAGTAGAGACAAGTTTTCACCATCTTGCCCAGGCTAGTCTTGAACCCCTGACCTCAGGTGATCCACCCACCGCAGCCTCTCAAAGTGCTGGGATTACAAGCATGAGCCTCCACGCCTGGCCAAGCAACATGACTTTTTATATTTAGTTAACTAAATAACCAACTTACATTTAGTTATGTTAATTTAATATGAAATTTAATTAAATAACTAACGTATGGGCATTGAGATATCAAGCCAGAGTGATATTTATGTTCATTTTCTTAATGTTATTGTGTGCCGTTTAAGAGATACACATCTTTCAAATCTAAGAATAGTTTATAAATGCCAGAATATTATTGTTTAGCACTTTTTTCGTATTTTAGTTAGTTTTATAATGCTGTTAATTTACCAACATTACATTTTTTCAAGAAAATCTATAAGATTTTTAATGTCTGAGTTTTTAATCACCCACACAAAATTATCAGATTGAAATCACAATCATATACAAAGATGTAAGAAACTCTTTATAATTTGCCATGTATAATAATGTGAATGTACTTAATACTTTTGAGCTATATACTTAAAGTAGTTAAATGGTGAGTTTTATATAATCTATATTTTACCACAATTTAAGAAGTAAATAATTTTAAAAATTGAAAAAAGATAGCTGTGAACAATACAAAAAAAGTAAACTGGTACAAACTCTTGATGTTCAAATGTTTTGGTTCAAAATGTAGGCAATATGAAATGGAAAGTGTAAGTAAGAAAACACTTGGCTATTAGTTGCTCAACTTTAAGAAGTTTTATTAGAGGGTATTTATTAACCTTTTTTCTTAAGGTTGAATAAGTGATTAAAAGTCCCATATAACAGTCAACCAAAGAGAACATTTTTATTTACTTTTTAAGAATACAAATAATTTTTGTGTTATTACAATATGGTTTATAAAAGCTAGATTTAAGTAGATTTTGTTAGATTTAATATCTCAGAAATACTGATATTTTAAGAAAGCACCCATGCCATCTATCATTAATCTAAAGAAAATAGGTAAGTTTAGAGAGAAAATCTGCTCTTAAAAAGAACCTCTCATTTGCAACACAAAAGCCATAGTGACTAAAATAGTCTATTTACAAACCAAACTGAAACAAAACAAAACAAAATAGCTATTGCCCTTTCAGCTTAGTCATCTCAGCCATTAGATTTTTTAAATGCTTAAACTGACAATAATTGTGTATATTTATGGGGCCTAATGTGATCTTTTAATCTATGTATACATTATAAAGTCATTCAATTAGGTCAATTACCAAATGACAGGATCTCATTATTTTTTATAACTGAATAGTATATTGCATATATATACCACATTTTAAAATCCATTCACCTGCTGATAACACATGGTTTGATTCCGTATCTTGGCTATTGTGAACAGTGCTGCAGTAAGCATGGGAGTGCAGATACCTATTCAACATATTGATTTCATTTCTTTTGAGTATTATACCAAGTAGTTAATGTTTTGAGAAACCTCTGGACTGTTTTCCACACTGATTGTACTAATTAGCATTCCATTCAACAGAGTTCCCATTTCTTTTTTTTTTTTTTTAATTATACTTTAAGTTCTAGGGTACATGTGCACAATGTGCAGGTTTGGCACGTATGTATACATGTGCCATGTTCCTGTGCTGCACCCATTAACTTGTCACTTACATTAGATATTTCTCCTAATGCTATCTCTCCCCCCTCCCCCCACCCCACAAAAGGCCCTGGTGTGTGATGATCCCTTTCCTGTGTCCAAGTGTTCTCATTGCCCAATTCCCACCTATGAGTGAGAACATGCAGTGTTTGGTTTTTTGTCCTTGCGATAGTTTGCTGAGAACGATGGTTTCCAGCTTCATCCGTGTCCCTACAAAGGACATGAACTCATACTTTTTTATGGCTGCATAGTATTCCATGGTGTATATGTGCCACATTTTCTTAATCCAGTCTATCCTTGATGGACATTTGGGTTGGTTCCAAGTCTTTCCTATTGTGAATAGTGCTGCAATAAACATACGTGTGCATGTGTCTTTATAGCAGCATGATTTATAATCCTTTGGGTATATACCCAGTAATGCGATGGCTGGGTCAAATGGTATTTCTAGTTCTAGACCCTTGAGGAATTGCCACACTGTCTTCCACATCTATACATCCTTGCCAGCATCTATACATCCTTTCTATACAGCCTTGCTAGCATCTTTTGGCTTTTGATAATAGTTATTCTAACTGGGGTGTGCTGATATCTCACAGTAGTTTTTATTAATATCTCACTAATGATTAGTCATATCGAGCATTTAAAAGTTTACCTATTGGCGACGGGGTGCGGTTGTTCACGCCTGTAATCCCAGCACTTTGGGAGGCCTAGGTGGACAAATAACCTGAGGTCAGTCGAAGACCAGCCTAGCCAATATGGTGAAACCCTGTCTCTACTAAAAATACAAAGATTAGCTGGATGTGATGGAATGCCCGTAATCCTAGCTACTCGGGAGGCTGAGGCAGGAGAATTGCTTGAATCCAGGAGGCAGATGTTGCAGTGAGCTGAGATCACACCACTGCACTCCAGCCTGGGCAACAGAGTGAGACTGTCTCAAAAAAAAAAAAATTACCTATTGTCAGTTTGTATGTCTTTTTTTTTTTTTTTTTTTGTAGGTAAGGAGAACAAGGTCCATTTTGTTACATGGATAGGATATATTGTGTAGTGGTGAAGTCTGGACTTTCAATGCAACCATTATGCAAATAATGTACATTGTACCCATTAAGTTATTTGATATCATCTACAACCTTCACACCCTTCGAGGCCTCCAATATCTATTATTCCACTCTCAATGCCCATGTGTACATATTATTTGGCTCCCACTTGTAAGTGAGAATATGTGGTATTTGACTGTTTCTTGATTTTGAGATGATTTATATTATTTTTGCTTTTAATTCTGTTTACATGGTGAGTTACATTTATTAATACTGTTTAGAAATAAAATGTAATGATCATTGATACATGCAACAACATGGATGGATATTGAAATTATTACACTAAAAAAGAAACTGAGTGTCTATTATGACATTCTAGAATATAAATACTGTTTTATAGTAAGAAAAGCCGATCACTAGTTGAATAAGGATGGGTTAAGTGAAGGGATGAATTACAAAGTGGTGTGAGAAATGTTTGAGTGATGGAAGCTTTTGTTGTCTTTGTCAAAATGATAAAATTGTACAATAAAAATGTGTTGTATATCATGCTTCAGTTATGTCTAAATTTGTAAGAAAAATTAAATGTATAGTTTCAGGGAATATAAAGTTCTTATCCAAAATGACACAGTAGCAATAAGATATGATATAAATAAAGTTTTTAAAGCTGTATGGTAAACCACATGCCAAATTATCAATCATGATGGACTGTGTATACCTATTGCTGGGCTCCTATAGTATCTTTTTCCTCTATGTTAAAAGAATTGTTATCTTTGTCTCACTGATATAATTGTAATCTTTTTTCCTGAATGCTCTATGAGCACCAGAGATGTTCCACATTTTTAAATCTTTCACCAGAGTGCCTAGTCTAAGTAGGGTTAACTAATTTTCTATTAGTAGCCAGAATATATTCCAGGATATCTTTCTCTCACTGTTGGAAGTATGGAATAGTCATAAATATGATGGCAATCTGACTAGATGTATGGCCATTCCTTCCAAAGGTTTTGATTAAGACATAGGAATCCATAGCCATGGAAAAAGAAACTTATATCCTCCATAGAGAGTCTATGCCCTGGATTCTCCTTGAAGTACTCTGTAATGTTTCTCCGGAGTTCTATAGCTCATGCATGAAATGTCTAGTAGAGAATTTGGAAATGACATACCCATTACTGCAGCCTTTATTTAATTCAGAGAAAAATATTTAGATCTTAAACACTTGGCAATGGTGGTCTTAAGTTTATAGCATGTGACTACTAAGGGTGTAGGCATTAAATATTTTCAGTGTACTTAGAGATTTAGTAAAGGCAGGCATGTTCAAGTGTCATGAACTTGGCACAATGGTCTAAAAAACCATGGACTGTAGGTATAATCCATTTAAAACCACTAGAAAAATTATTTTTTCTAATGGAGAAATTCAATGGTAGATTCAGAATCTTTAGCAATATTGGTCAAATAAAATGAATCAATTTGCTGTATTCACCAGTACCAAATTCCTGATTAAAGCATGATTACTACTCATTTTAACTTGAATTTGATCCCACAGAGTGCTCAGGAAGAGCAACAGAAGATTGATTGTACTTGTTTAGTTGTCTGTAACCATTATCAATTACAGAGTCAATGTAAATATTTTATACCTTTGTGTAAATGTTTATAAAAGGTTTACACCTACTTATGTTAATTTACAAGGTTTGTGTGTATAATAAAACACACTTGAATTTAAAAGAATAAAAATTTTACCCATTCTCTTACCCCATGCAGCCTCATGATCACCCCTTTATTTAATTGAAACTTAAACACCAGGAGTTTTCGGCACTGTAATGGGAGAATGGTAATGTAGATAAGGTATCCCTCAGCACCCTGATCAATAAGGAATCACTTTTCACATTATATTGTTTAACAAATTCTATGCTCCAACTGCTCCAAATTATGGATACTCATGTGGTACAGAGTATTATTAAATGGACCACAAAGTTGTGAGAAATGCTGAGGTCACTGCAGTTGGGTCAATGGTCAGGAGACAGTAAAGAATTTCATGGAAAGAAGAAGCCTGTCAGCAGACTTCAAAACAAGTTTGGGCATTATGACCTTCTGGGTGGGACAGATTACAGGATGAAAGAAGGAAGGGAGAATATATTTGTTTTCTCTCCTGCAATATGAGCATAATCATGCACACCTCTTAGGGTTTATATGTTCTATAAGCACTGTAATTTATATTTAGCACATTGCACGGCATCTGACATTTAGTTAGATAAACATGAATGTGAGATATCAGAAAGACCAGCCTTTGTTTTGTCATTACTATTTTGGTTATCTTCAGCATCATAATCATCTCTCAAATATTTTTCATCAAGCCTGGAGTAAAAGGTAATAAATGGGATGCAGGAGCTTGTTTTGGTCCAAGGGTATGTAGGGAAACACAATCTATTTTGTAACTAGAAAACTCTGAGTACAAAGAGTTTATTGTTTTGAGGAAGGTAATGTAATATCTGAGAAGATTTCGGAGCATTCATGAAATATATAAATGCCAACAGGATGAAGAGGAGAAATGAGATGAACTTTGAAATTACATGAATGCCTACTGTTTCTCAAAAATACAGGTGAAATGATTCATTATTTTTGAAATTGGATGGAGTGTAAAGCATAGCTCAGGTGCTTAATTGCAGCTAAGATATTTATAGGCCTACAACATTTAAATAGATCATTAGAAAAATTAAAAGGTGCCAGGCGCGGTGGCTCATGCCTATAATCTCAGCACTTTGGGAGGCCGAGACAAGCGGATCACGAGGTCAGGAGATCGAGACCATCCTGGCTAACATGGTGTAAACCTCGTCTCTACTAAAAATACAAAAAATTAGCCAGGCGTGGTGGCGGGTGCCTGTAGTCCCAGCTACTCGGGAGGCTGAGGCAGGAGAATGGTGTGAAGCTGGAAGGTGGAGCTTGCAGTGAGCCAAGATTGCGCCACTGCCCTCCAGCCTGGGCGACAGAGCCAGACTCAAAAAAAGAAAGAAAGAAAATGAAAAGTGAAGTAAGTGTCTTGCAAAGTTAAGAGATAGGGAACCCCTCAGTAAAGTTCATCAAAATACTTAGCTCTGAATTATGGAAAACCCCCAAACTTGTCTTTCTGATCAATAAAATAAAAAAGTGACAGAAATTTCCTCTTCCCTCCATTTTTACTTACTTCTTTCCACCTCCATTTCTTCTTTTTCTTGAAACAACTTGCAAAATCTTTTATCATCACTTTGCATTTTAATAACAGCAGAGAGTGATATCAGCAAAATGGCAGAGTAAGAGATAGCTGCAAAATACATTTACTGGTTATCAGTTCTAAGAAAAGACACAAACTGCATGGAGAATAGTAAAGATCATCACTATAAGAACCACCAGGAATAGGAGTCTAGTAACTGAATTCAGCCCACTGTAGCCTACAATGCTGCTTTACCACTTGTCCCAGTCTGGTTAAACAGAACATTCACACACATAACTTATATGAAGCAGATTTATTACTTATAGGTAGGCAAGAAAGGACAGCAGACTCTAGGATTTATGATAAGCCAGTATCCCAAGGCTCCTAAAATCTGCCAAGGGCAGAAGGAATCTTGGCTGTGCATGCACTACTTCAAGGACCCTGGGAGTTAGCCCATATCTATTTCCCAGGGGCAACTCGTTTTGCTGAACTGGAGTTGACGTTTTGTTTCTAAGGCAGACAGAAACAGAGTGTGGGCTCTCTTGGGGGCAATTCTTCCCTCTCTCAAAATATTACTTTCTTTGGGAAGGGCAGAAACAAGCCTGGGCTGTTTTAGGTAGTTCCTCCCGATCAAGGGATCTTGCATTCCCAGCTTATTCTACATCCTCTTGCTTGTTGTTTTCAGAATAATTGTAGATTTCATGTTCAGCTATTCATGAACAAAATTGTGTTGAGTTCAAAGGTCCATTTAAAAACCTGTAGCAAAACAGTGGAGCAACAACAACAAAATAGAGAATAATAGTACAGAATGAATCACTGGGGAAACAAGCACACCTGTGATGTTTGCAGATGGCTAAGTCAAAGAACAAGGGTGGCTATCAGGGTCAACCAAGCAGCAAGTGCCAAGGCAGTCCCCAGGGGTTGTTTGCAGAGGATACTGGCACACTTACACACACAACTGAGGTAACAATAGCCACCCATACCTTGGAATCCCCAGATTGAGAGACATCCCGTGGTTCGCTCCAGTAAGAAAGAACCCTGGTATTAGAGCCACTAACCCCTCGCAATCCTGTGCCCACCACTGACCCAGAACCAAGGCAGTTACATCCATACACATTCTCCAGACCCTAGCTCTGCCACAGCTATGCATGTGCTCACTTTTGCGAACCTGGCTCTCCAACAGCAGCATCTCATGCATCTGAAACTCTAATAGACAAGCCACAATTTCTGGGAGCTAACTATGGCTTCCAGGCCTGGGTCACTTTTAGAAGATAAACACCAGCAGGAGTGAGGGGTTCTCTGGGTGGAGGGAATCACTCTGAGCCATATTTCAAATATGAGCTCTGAAAAATAAAATGGTAAATTTTCTCAAGAAAGGAAACAGTAATAAATCGATAGATGTTAATCCCACTATGTCAATAATCACTTTAATTAAATGAACAGTCGATGGTGTAAATGCACTAATTAAACGAATGTAGATTTTCAAAATTGGTCAAAAACAGTACCCACTTTAAATTTAAATAAAGGCATTGAGAAATATATTAAGCTAACACTAATCAAAAGAAAGCAAGAGTAGTTACATTAATTTCAGACAGAGTGTCTTCAAAGGAAGGAAGGTTGTCTTCAAAAAAGCCGACCATTACCTAATGACAAAGGGTTCAATTCTCCAAGGACACAAAACAATTCTTAATGTGCACAGACCTAACAATTGAGCATCAAATACATGAGGCAAAAACTAATGGAACTGCAAGGAAAAATAGGCAAATCCACTATCATAGAGACTTCAACATCCATCTATCAGTAATGAACAGGCTGAGCAGTCAGAAAATGAGTAAAGACATAGTGGAACTCAAAGTCACCACCAACCAAAGGGATACAATTGACACACATAAATGACTCCATCCATCAATAGTAGAAAACACAATCTCCTCAAGGTCACATGGAATATTCACTGAGACAATAGTTAACAATAACAATATTGCACTGGGTACTGGAAATTTGCTGAGGCTAGACTGTAAGGGTTCTTACCACAAGCACACAGAGAGGTAACCATGTGGGATGATAGATATGTAGTAATTATTTAACTCTGTATATGTATATGAAAATATTTGTTGTACATCTTAATATATATACATGTACATATATATGTACACCTTAAATATAAACAATAAAAATAAATAAGAAAAAACTTGCATTTACAATAGCATAAAAAAGAATAAAATACTTAGCAATAAACTTACGGAGGTGGAAAACATATGTAATGAAAACTATAAACATATTGATGAAAGAAACTGAAGTCACAAATAAAGAGAAATAAAATCTGTGTTCCTTTATTGAAAGGATTAAGGTTGTTAAAATGCACACTACCCACACCAATCTACAGATTTCATATAATTGTTATTAAAATCCCAGTGTCCTTTCTTTGTAGAAATAGAAAAAACAATCATGCAATTCATATGGAAACACAAAAAACTCAAAGTAGTCAAAGCAATTCTGAGAAAGAACAAAGCTGATGGCATCACATTTCTTATTTCAAAATATATTGTAACATTCTGGACATTATAGCACCGTCATAAAAACAGACAAAAAGACTGTGAAAAAGAACAGAAAGCCCAGAAATAAATCGATACATATACTCTCAACTGATCTGCATTCCAGTAGGGAGACAAGAAACACAATGATGAAAAAAGATAATCTCTCCAATAAATGGTGTTGGAAATATTGGACAGCCACATGCAAAAGAATAAGTTGGATCCTTGACTTAGACTATACACAAAAACTAACTCAAATGCATTAAAGAATTAAACTGAAAACTTGAGACTGTGAAACCTCTGCAGTGGAACACAGTGGAAAAGTTTCATGATACTGGGCTTGATAATGATTTTTTGAATATGATATCAAAAGTACAGGCAAGAAAGCAAAGTTAGATAAGTTGGACTATAATAAACTCAAAGCCTTCTGCACAGCAAAGGAAACAACCGACAGAGTAAAACAGCAACCTGTGGAATGGAATATATTTGCTCATATATCTGATAAGGAATTAATATAAAAAAATCAGCAACTCCTACAATGCCACAGCAAAAAAATAATTAGAAACGGGCAAAGCACCTGAGTAGACATTTCTCAAAATGGTCAACAGGCATATGGAAAGGTGGTCAACTTCATTACAGTCATTAGAGAAATACAGATCCAAACCACAGTAAGATATAACCTCAAACCTGTTAGAATGGCTATCACTTAAAAAAACAAAATACAATGTGTTGGTGAAGATGTAGAGACATTAGAACCTAGTACACTTTGATGGGAATGCAAATGGTGACACTGCTATAAAAATAGTATGAAGTTTCCTCAAAAAATTAAAAACAATAATCAAATAATCCAGCAATCCCATCTTGGCATATATACAATAGAATTGAAATAAGGATCTTGAAGAGATATTGCATTCCTATGTGTGGTATAGCTTTATTCATAGTAGCCAAATTATGGAAACAACATAAATGTTTTTCTACAGATGAATGGATAAAGAAAGTGTGTTATATACACACAATTGAATACTATTCAGCCTTTAAAAAGAAGGAAATTGTATCAATTGTAAACAGATGGGTGAATCTGGAAGACATTATAGGAAATAAGAAGCCAGGCACACAAAGACAAATACTGCATTATCTCATTTATTTGTGGGATGTAAAAAATGTTGCACTCATTAAATAAAATGTAGAATGGTGGTTATGAGAGCCTGCGAGCAGAGAGGAAAGGGGCTGACAAGATGTTGGTCAAAGAGTACAGAGTTTCAGCTAGAGAGGAAGAAAATATTTTTGAGATCGACTACATAACATAGTGACTACGGTTAATAATATTGTAACGTACATTTCAAAATTGCTAAAAGAGTAGGTTTTAAATGTTTTTACCACCACAAGATAAGTATGTGAGGTGAAGAGTATGTTAATTAGCTCAATTTAATTATTCCATAATGTATATATATATCAAAACATCAAATTGTACCCCATAAATAGATATAATTATTATTTTTCAACTGAATACAAAAATACAAAAGAAAATGTGATATTTATAAACAATGAAATAGTATTCAGCCTTGAAAAGAAGGAAATCCTGCCATATGGATAAATCACAACATGGATAAACCTGTAGGACATTCTGCTAAGTGAAGCAAGGGATAGACAGACAAATACTGCATGATTTCATTTATGTGACGTGTCTGAAAGAGTCAAACTCACAGAAAGAGAGAGTAGGATAGTTGTTGCCAATGGCTGGGAAAGGGGAAACAGGGAGTGCTGTCCAAGAAGTGAAAGTTTCAGTTAAGCAAGTAAGTTCTAGAGCTCTACTGTGCAGCATTGTGACTATAGTTGTGGAGCACTGTGACTATAGTTAGCAATATGTATTATACACTTAAAAAATGTGTTAAAAGGATAGATCTTATGTTATCTTTTCATACCACAATTTTCTAAAGTTTTTTTTTTGTTTGTTTTTGAGATGGAGTCTTGCTCTTGTTGCCCAGGCTGAAGTGCAATGGCGTGATCTCGGCTCACTGCAATCTCCGACTTCCAGGTTCAAGCTATTCTCCTGCCTCAGCCTCCTGAGTAGCCGGGATTACAGGCGTGCACCACTACGCCCGGCTAATTTCATATTTTTAATAGAGATGAGGTTTCTCCATGTTGGTCAGGCTAGTCTCAAACTCCCGACCTCAGGTGTTCCACCTGCCTCCGCCTCCCTAAGTGCTGGGATGACAAGAGTGAACCACTGTGCCTGGCCTTTAAAAGGTTTTAAAAAATAAAGCGTATGTCTTTGGGAGGCCTAGGTGGGTGGATCACGAGGTCAGGAGATCGAGACCATCCTGGCTAACACGGTGAAACCCCGTCTCTACTAAAAATACAAAAAATTAGCCTGGCGTGGTGGAGGGCGCCTGTAGTCCCAGCTACTCGGGAGGCTGAGGCAGGAGAATGGCATGAGCCCGGGAGGCGGAGCTTGCAGTGAGCCTAGATCGCGCCACTGCCCTCCAGCCTGGGTGACACAGAGAGACTCCGTCTCAAAAAAAAATAAATAAATAAAATAAAATAAAAAATAAAAAATAATAAAAAAATTAAAAAAGTGTATGTCTTTGAAATGGCAATAAAATGGAGGTTTAAGGAGAGAAAACCAAATTGTTCAAAAAATAATTTTTAAATAAAATTAATAAATAACAAATATTTAAACATACTACTGGAGATTATTAGCTTAATTTAAAAATGTCATAAACCATCTTATGTCTATCAGTAGTGTGAGCTGACCCAGCCCATTACATGTGGTATCTGCTGCCCAGGTTTGTCCTCGCTGCCCCTGATCAGGAATATAGAGCACTTGATCTGTAGTTGCTAATCAGAGAGACTAAGAAGCAGATGGAAAGCCATGTGGAGAGGTGAACACACATACCAAGCAGCAAAGTTCTGTCTTCCCACGGGGAGAGAGGCCCCCTGTGGTAGACATACCAGCCAGCTAAGTTCAGCTTTTCTTCAAGCACTGATCTATAAGCAGGTCAGCCACTAAGTTACATAGTTATGCCTATATTCTCAGGTTTGAACAGAATTTCCTTTGTCACTCTCTGCAGTTGACCAAGAGAATTCTGAATGTATGCATTGAACATTTAAAAAGTTATTCTTGCTTTTTGGCTAACTTGGTGAAACCCTGTCTCTAGTAAAAAATACAAAAAATTAGCCTGGTGTGGTGGCAGGTGCCTGTAGTCCCAACTACTTGGGAGGCTGAGGCAGGAGAATGGCGTGAACTCGGGAGGCGGAGCTTGCAGTGAGCCAAGATCGCGCCACTGCACTCCAGCCTGGGCGACAGAGCGAGACTGTCTCAAAAGAAAAAAAAAATTATTCTTGCTTTTTTTTTTTGTTCCTCTGATAGTGTTTATTTTAATATTTTATTGTAAAAGATTTAAAACACAATATATGCAAAATAATTTGATAAATTATGTATTAACTAATTGTATTTATTATTAATTTAATGTTATCAATGCTAAATTTTATTTATTTATTAATAAGTAATTATTAATTAATTAGTATTTAATTAATACACATGATATTATTTGACCACCAAATAATTAACGAACATAATTGAATATTAACATTTATTACTAATCAATAATGATTTAAAAGTAATTATAATTATGATAAACTTTAATTGATGATTATTAATAATTTAATGTTTAATAAAATATGTATTAAATAACTGAATAATTCTTAATTTATCAAATTATTCATTGAAATTTTATTGAATCATTTATTAATTTAATAACTTTCTTAAATAATTTAATAATTTATTAAATACATATACATAATTTAAATACTTTATATAAAATTTTAATAAATCCTATGTACTCATTACCAAGACTGAACTATTACAAACATTCTGCCATTATGTCATCTATATGTCTACCCACTGCTCACTATTGCTTCACTGTAACCACATTACAGTTCAGTTTAGAGATAAAATTTACCTGCATTTAAACACACAAATTGTAGCCATACAATTTTGACAGATGAAAGCAACCAGCAACCTGTATCACCCATGTGCTATCAAAGTACAAAACATGGCATTTACCCAGCAAGTTTTCTGAGAGTATAGACTCCTCAATTCAAGTGCCCAGTGCACAGATCCCAGCTCAGTACTCCCTAGCTATGGGCTGCAGCCCTGGAGTGTCAGGACCTGCTTGCAGCTCCCTCCTTCAGACCCTTGAGACTGGGTTCTATTGAGTAGTGCAGAGTCTAAAGAACTTCCAGTCTTCTGGATTGTACCAGATGGAGCGAAGAACCCAGGCTGGGCAGTAAAGGCTGCACTGTGTACACACTCCTACAAGGTGATCAGACAGGACACCAAGGAGGGGCTAGAGGACAGGCAGCTATGCAGAACATACACGCACCAGTGCTGTGGGAAAGTCAACCCTACTTTATCCTTGTCTTGAAGTTAGCTGGGGTGCAGGCCTCTCAAAGGGATATGGGGAAACATGGTATATGTGCACTTATGACCAGAATCTACTCCAGCTTTCTCATGCACAAAGGTCCCCAGCTCTGTGCCTGCTGCAGCTGTATTTCAGTTTATCTCCTGAGAGATCTGCCTGTCAGCTCAAATATTCATGAACGAGTGTGGGGTCCTCTGCAGTGAGGATCCCAAAGGTCTGCAGTGAGAGTGGGCAGTCACCCATTCCCAGTACTCACCCATACCCAGTACTCACCCCTTCCCAAGAGCATTCAGTACTAGCATTTAGACACTCGATGTGGGGTCCCCAGCTTCCTTCCTATTTAGCCTCAGCATCTTCATCCACATTCAGGGTTCTTGCTCTTAAAATCTGTTCAACTTGTGCTGGTGTAATAGAAATTCCAGTGGCTCTCTGTGGGTCAGCACTTCCTGGCTGCATCTGGTAAGCCAACTTCCAGTCAAAATGGAGAACTTAATTTACTTACATTCAAGGTTAATACTGATATGTAAAGTTTTGTTCCTGTCATAATGCTGTTGTTATTTAGTTGCTTAGTAGATTATTTCTTCCTTTTTTATTTGTATCTGCCTTTGTGGGTTTGGTGGCATTTTTGTTGTTTTGCCATTGATATCTTTCTGTTCACCATTTGTGTAACTGATTTATGAGAACTGTGAACCTTATAGTTTTGTGTGTTTTTATGATAGAGAGTATTGACCTTTGTTTCCATGTTTGAAATCCATTGACCATTTCTGGTAGGTCTGGTCTTGTGATAAATTCTCTTGGTGACTGCTTTCTGATAAATACCTTATTTTTCTTTCATTTATGAACCTTATTTGAGCAGGATACAAAGTTTAAGGTTGACAGTTTTTTACTTTAAGCACTTTGAAAATAGAATCTCGATATTCTGGCTCTTAAGGTTTCTGTCGAGAAATTCACTGTTAGTCTAATAATGACCTTTCCTTTATAAGTGACCAGACACTTTTACTAATTTGATTATTTTTCCCCACTCACATTGACTTAGATAGTCTGATGATTATGTGTTTTGGTGAGATACTTCTTGCAACTGTATTTTCCTGGATTTCTCTGAGCCTTTTGCATTTGGATGTCTATATCTCTTGCTAGACTAGGGAAGTCTTTCTCAATTATTTCCTCAAATAGGTTGTCCACACTTTTTACCTTTTCTTCTCCCTTAAGAATACTTTGATTTATAGATTCAGACATTTTACATAGCCCTATACTTGTCAAATTTTTTTATATACTTTTGTCTAACTAGATTAATTCAAAAGAGCTCTCTTCGAATTCTGAGAATTTTTTCTTTTGCTTGGTAGTGTATTGGTTTTCAAATTTCTCTTTGGTCTCATCATTAAGCTTCTTTAAAATTAATATTTTGAAATCTTTATCTGATACTTCAAAATTTTATTTTTTGTTAGAATGTATTGCCGGAGAGTTAATGTAATTCTCTGGGGTTGTCATAAGGTCCCCTGTATTTTTCATCTTTTAGAATTGTTACACTGGTTTCTCATTTGGAGAGACTGTCAACTTCTTATATTTTAATTTATTTTGTTTGGATGGGATTTTTTTCTTCTCCCTTGACAATGTGAATAGAATGTATGTTGAAATGGGTCATTTGGCTTTGCTTCTTGGGTGGGTGCTTTTAGTGGCAAAGATTTTATATAAATTCCTCTCAGGTGTCCCAGAAAATATGCCCATCCATAAATCCTACAATAGCCTAGGTTCCAGGTTCAGTCCCGAAGTGATTGGTGAAACTGGGTGCAGCTGGATGGTGAAGCACTGTATATAGCAGGTGCAAGCATCATCCCTGACAGGGGTGGATGGGAAGTTGTTGAGTCACAGGTGCCTGAATTCAGGCACTGAATTTCAGGTTTTTGCATGAGGGGTGGGAGGTATTAGAGGTGGGAGGTGGGACTTTCTCAGAATCATGGCCTCAGCAGGCAGAAATGTAATCTGTTTTTTGTCATGCCCCTGTACCAGTGCTGGGGATATTCAGCTTAGTCATACACTTTCAGAGCCATAGTATAGCCTGCTGCATGGCTCAACACTAAACCTCTGTGCTACCTGGAAATAGCTGTAGTGCAAAGTCTCCCCGCTTAGCCCCAGACAAACAGCTTTCTGACCCTCCTGCTCCCCATGAGAGAAACACTGCAGCTCTGTGCAGAAATGGGAAAAGATCCTGCATTTTATGCAAACCGAGGCTGAATATCACACTGCCAGTGAGAACACACTCACTTTTCCTGGTCTTAAGCACTGAAGTTACTTGGCTGGTAGTATGGAATTTCACTCCTGGCTTGCAGAGCCTATCACAGAGTTTGTGTCTCTGCTGGAAATAGAGACGTTAATCACCCGCCAAGCATGGTGCTCTTCGGCTAGCACAGAGCAGCTCTCAGGCACTGAAAAGTATGTGCTTTGGTTTCTTTTGTTACACAGATTGCTCCCTTGTTGTGCTGCACTTTTCCCTTTTTTTGAGGAGAAGCATTCCCTCAAAACTAAATCACTGGGAACTTGCAGTTTTCTTAGTTCCAGCCAGATTGTTTGCTGTTGTCTTCCATGTGGGCACTGGGGAATGTCCATGGGAGCTTTAGGGATGTAGAGACACAAATATCAAGATTTCCTGGGTAAGATACCATCCCCCCACAGCTGTTCCCTTATGATAGCATGCTGCTACGGATGCTCAAGTCTGGTGCAAGGGCAAGCCACCCAGCACAAGTTTGCTATCTGGTACAATGCCACCAAGAAGTCTCTAAATCACCACCCTCACTTGTGTCTAGGTTTGTGAGGGCAGAGGAGCACACAATTCAGTTATTGGCTGTCTGCTGCAGAGGTGAGAAGGAGCCCAAACACTCCCACTTAGTATTTCCATGCAACACCAAGTTCCTTGGGGCTCCCAAACATTTCTGCTAGCTGAATTGGCCTCTTCTTTTCTCCCTCCTTGGAACCCAAGCCTTTTATTCATGAGTTTTTCCATTGAGTTTCAGTAATTGATATTCTCCTTGATATTCTATTTGAGATATGACTATTTACTTTTAACTTTAATTCTTCTTTTTAAGGAAAACTGGCATCTGATGTCACTATTAAGCTATCTTGAACCCTGGGTATCTTCTTTATAGAGATTTCTTTATTATTATTATTATTATACTTTAAGTTTTAGGATACATGGGCACAACGTGCAGGTTTGTTACATATGTATACATGTGCCATGTTGGTGTGCTGCACCCATTAACTCGTCATTTAGCATTAGGTATATCTCCTAATGCTATCCCTCCCCCCTCCCCCCACCCCACAACCGTCCCCAGAGTGTGATGTTCCCCTTCCTGTGTCCATGTGTTCTCATTGTTCAATTCCCACCTATGAGTGAGAACATGCGGCGTTTGGTTTTTCGTCCTTGCGATAGACTGCTGAGAATGATGGTTTCCAGCTTCATCCATGTCCCTACAAAGGACATGAACTCATCCTTTTTAATGGCTGCATAGTATTCCATGGTGTATATGTGCCACATTTTCTTAATCCAGTCTATCATTGTTGGACATTTGGAATGGTTCCAAGTCTTTGCTATTGTGAATAGTGCTGCAATAAACATACGTGTGCATGTGTCTTTATAGCAGCATGATTTATAATCCTTTGGGTATATACCCAGTAATGGGATGGCTGGATCGAATAGTATTTCTAGTTCTAGATCCCTGAGGAATTGCCACACCAACTTCCACAATGGTTGAACTAGTTTACAGTTCCACCAACAGTGTAAAAGTGTTCCTATTTCTCCACATCCTCTCCAGCATCTGTTGTTTCCTGACATTTTAATATTCGCCATTCTAACTGGTGTGAGATGGTATCTCATTGTGGTTTTGATTTGCATTTCTCTGATGGCCAGTGCTGATGAGCATTTTTTCATGTGTGTTTTGGCTGCATAAATGTCTTCTTTTGAGAAGTGTCTCTTCATATACTTCGCCCACTTTTTGATGGGGTTGTTTTTTTCTTGTAAATTTGTTTCAGTTCATTGTAGATTCTGGATATTAGCCCTTTGTCAGATGAGAAGGTTGCAAAAATTTTCTCCCATTCTGTAGGTTGCCTGTTCACTCTGATGGTGGTTTCTTTTGCTGTGCAGAAGCTCTTTAGTTTAATTAGATCCCATTTGTCAATTTTGGCTTTTGTTGTCATTGCTTTTGGTGTTTCAGACATGAAGTCCTTGCCCAAGCCTATGTCCTGAATGGTATTGCCTAGGTTTTCTTCTAGGGTTTTTATGGTTTTAGGTCTAACATGTAAGTCTTTAATCCATCTTGAATTAATTTTTGTATAAGGTGTAAGGAAGGGATCCAGTTTCAGCTTTCTGCATATGGCTGGCCAGTTTTCCCAGCACCATTTATTAAATAGGGAATCCTTTCCCCATTGCTTGTTTTTCTCAGGTTTGTCAAAGATCAGATAGTTGTAGATATGCGGCATTATTTCTGAGGGCTCTGTTCTGTTCCATTGATCTGTATTTCTGTTTTGGTACCAGTACCATGCTGTTTTGGTTACTGTAGCCTTGTAGTATAGTTTAAAGTCTCGTAGCATAATGCCTCCAGCTTTGTTCTTTTGGCTTAGGACTGACTTCGCAATGCGGACTCTTTTTTGGTTCCTTATGAACTTTAAAGTAGTTTTTTCCAATTCTGTGAAGAAAGTCATTGGTAGCTTGATGGGGATGGCATTGAATCTATAAATTACCTTGAGCCATATGGCCGTTTTCACGATATTGATTCTTCCTACCCCTGAGCATGGAATGTTCTTCTGTTTGTTTGTATCCTCTTTTATTTCATTGAGCAGTGGTTTGTAGTTCTCCTTGAAGAGGTCCTTCACATCCCTTGTAAGTTGGATTTCTAGGTATTTTATTCTCTTTGAAGCAATTGTGAATGGGAGTTCACTCATGATTTGGCTCTCCGTTTGTCTGTTATTGGTGTATAAGAATGCTTGTGATTTTTGTACATTGATTTTGTATCCTGAGACTTTGCTGAAGTTGCTTATCAGCTTAAGGAGATTTTGGGCTGAGACAATGGGGTTTTCTAGATATACAATCATGTCATCTGCAAACAGGGACAATTTGACTTCCTCTTTTCCTAATTGAATGCCCTTTATTTCCTTCTCCCGCCTAATTGCCCTGGCCAGAACTTCCAACACTATGTTGAATAGGAGTGGTGAGAGAGGGCATCCCTGTCTTGTGCCAGTTTTCAAAGGGAATGCTTCCAGTTTTTGCCCATTCAGTATGATGTTGGCTGTGGGTTTGTCGTAGATAGCTCTTATTATTTTGAAATACGTCCCATCAATACCTAATTTATTGAGAGTTTTTAGCATGAAGGTGGTTGAATTTTGTCAAAGGCCTTTTCTGCATCTATTGAGATAATCATGTGGTTTTTGTCTTTGGTTCTGTTTATATGCTGGATTACGTTTATTGATTTGCATATGTAGAACCAGGCTTGCATCCCAGGGATGAAGCCCACTTGATCATGCTGGATAAGCTTTTTGATGTGCTGCTGGATTTGGTTTGCCAGTATTTTATTGAGGATTTTTGCATCGATGTTCATCAGGGATATTGGTCTAAAATTCTCTTTTTTTGTTGTTATTGTGTGTCTGCCAGGCTTTGGTATCAGGATGATGCTGGCCTCATAAAATGAGTTAGGGAGGATTCCCTCTTTTTCTACTGATTGCAATAGTTTCAGAAGGAATGGTGCCAGTTCCTCCTTGTACGTCTGGTAAAAGTCGGTTGTGAATCCGTCTGGTCGTGGATGTTTTTTGATTGGTAAGCTATTAATTAATGCCTCAGTTTCAGAGCCTGTTATTGATCTATTAAGAGATTCAACTTCTTCCTGGTTTAGTCTTGGGAGGGTTTATGTGTTGTGGAATTTATCCATTTCTTCTAGATTTTCTAGTTTATTTGCACAGAGGTGTTTGTAATATTCTCTGATGGCAGTTTGTATTTCTGTGGGATTGGTGGTGATATCCCCTTTGTCATTTTATATTGCATCTATTTGATTCTTCTCTCTTTTCTTCTTTATTCGTCTTGCTAGTGGTCTATCAATTTTGTTGATCTTTTCAAAAAACCAGCTCCTGGATTCATTGATGTTTTGAAGGGTTTTTTGTGTTTTTATCTCCTTCAGTTCTGCTCAGATCTTAGTTATTTCTTGCCTGCTGCTAGCTTTTGAATGTGTTTGCTCTTGTTTCTCTAGTTCTTTTAATTGTGATGTTAGGGTGTCAATTTTAGATCTTTCCTGCTTTCTCTTGTGGGCATTTAGTGCTGTAAATTTCCCTCTACACCCTGCTTTGAATGTTTCCCAGAGATTCTGGTATGTTGTGTCTTGGTTCTTGTTGGTTTCAAAGAACATCTTTATTTCTGCCTTCATTTCGTTATGTACCAGTAGTCATTGAGGAGCAGGTTGTTCAGTTTCCGTGTAGTTGAGCAGTTTTGGGTGAGTTTCTTAATCCTGAGTTCTAGTTTGATTGCACTGCGGTCTGAGAGACAGTTTGTCATAATTTTTGTTGTTTTACATTTGCTGAGGATTGTTTTACTTCCAACTATGTGGTCAATTTTGGAATAGGTGTGCTGTGGTGCTGAAAAGAATGTATATTCTATTGATTTGTGGTGGAGGGTTCTGTAGATGTCTATTAGGTCCTCTTGGTGCAGAGCTGAGTTCAATTCCTGGATATCCTTGTTAGCTTTCTGTCTCATTGATCTGTCTAATGTTGACAATGGGGTGTTAAAGTCTCCCATTATTATTGTGTGGGAGTCTAAGTCTCTTTGTAGGTCACTAAGGACTTTATGAATCTGGGTGCTCCTGTATTGGGTGCATATATATTTAGGATAGTAGGTTCTTCTTGTTGAATTGATCCCTTTACCATTATGTAATTGCCTTCTTTGTCTCTTTTGGTCTTTTTTGGTTTAAAGTCTGTTTTATCCAAGACTAGGATTGCAACCTCTGCCTTTTTTTGTTTTCCATTTGCTTGGTAGATCTTCCTCCATCCCTTTATTTTGAGCCTATATGTGTCTCTGTATGTGAGATGGGTTTCCCGAATACAGCACACTGATGGGTCTTGACTCTATCCAATTTGCCAGTCTGTACCTTTTAATTGGAGTATTTAGCCCATTTACATTTAAGGTTAGTATTGTTATGTGTGAATTTGATCCTGTCATTATGATGTTAGCTGGTTATTTTGCTCAGTAGTTGATGCAGTTTCTTCCTAGCATCGATGGTCTTTACAATTTGGCATGTTTTTGCACTGGCTGGTACTGGTTGTTCCTTTCCATGTTTAGTGCTTCCTTCAGGAGCTCTTTTAGGGCAGATCTGGTGGTGACAAAATCTCTCAGCATTGCTTGTCTGTAAAGTATTTTATTTCTCCTTCACTTATGAAGCTTAGATATGAAATTCTGGGTTGAAAATTCTTTTCTTTAAGAATGTTGAATATTGGCCCCCACTCTCTTCTGGCTTGTAGAGTTTCTGCCGAGAGATCAGCTGTTAGTCTGATGGGCTTCCCTTTGAGGGTAACCTGACCTTTCTCTCTGTCTTCCCTTAATATTTTTTCCTTCATTTCAACTTTGGCAAATCTGACAATTATGTGTATTGGAGTTGCTCTTCTCGAGGAGTCTCTTTGTGGTGTTCTCTGTATTTCCTGAATTTGAATGTTGGCCTGCCTTGCTAGATCGGGGAAGTTCTCCTGGATAATATCCTGCAGAGTGTTTTCCAACTTGGTTCCATTCTCCCCGTACACCAATTAGACGTAGATTTGGTCTTTTCACATAGTCCCATATTTCTTGGAGTCTTTGTTCATTTCTTTTTATTCTTTTTTCTCTAAACTTCTCTTCACGCTTCGTTTCATTCATTTCATCTTCCATCGCTGATACCCTTTCTTCCAGTTGATTGCATTGGTTACTGAGGCTTGTGCATTCGTCACTTAGTTCTCATGCCTTGGTTTTCAGCTACAACAGGTCCTTTAAGGATTTCTCTGCATTGGTTATTCTAGTTAGCCTTTCCTCTAATTTTTTTTTCAAAGTTTTTAACTTCTTTGCCATTGGTTTGAACTTCCTCCTTTAGCTCGGAGTAGTTTGATCTTCTGAAGCCTTCCTCTCTCAACTGGTCAAAGTCATTCTCCGTTCAGCTTTGTTCCGTTGCTGGTGAGGAGCTGTGTTCCTTTGGAGGAGGAAAGGTGCTCTGATTTTTAGAGTTTCCGGTTTTTCTGCTCTGTTTTTTCCCCATCTTTGTGGTTTTATCTACATTTGGTCTTTGATGATGGTGATGTACAGATGGGTTTTTGGTGTGGTTGTTTGTTAGTTTTCCTTCTAACAGTCAGGACCCTCAGCTGCAGGTCTGTTGGAGTTTACTGGAGGTCCACTCCAGACCCTGTTTGCCTGGGTATCAGCAGTGGTGGCTGCAGAACAGCGGACATTGGTGAACCGCAAATGCTGCTGCCTCATCGTTCCTCTGGAAGTTTTGTCTCAGAGGAGTACCCGGCCGTGTGAGGTGTCACTCCACCCCTACTGGGGGATGCCTCCCAGTTAGGCTGCTCAGGGGTCAGGGACCCACTTGAGGAGGCAGTCTGCCCATTCTCATATCTCAAGTTCCATGCTGGGAGAACCACTACTCTCTTCAAAGCTGTCAGATAGGGACATTTAAGACTGCAGAGGTGTTTGCTGTCTTTTGTTTGTCTGTGCCCTGCCCCTAGAGATGGAGTCTACAGAGGCAGGCAGGCCTCCTTGAGCTGTGGTGGGCTCCACCCAGTTCAATCTTCCCCGATGCTTTGTTTACCTACTCAAGCCTGAGCAATGGTGGTGCCCCTCCCCCAGCCTTGCTGCTGCCTTGCAGTTTGATCTCAGACTGCTGTGCTAGCAGTGATTGAGGCTCCATGGGCGTAGGACCCTCCGAGCCAGGTGTGGGATATAATCTCCTGGTGCGCCGTTTGTTAAGCCCTTTGGAAGAGCGCAGTATTAGGGTGGGAGTGACCTGATTTTCCAGGTGCCATCTGTCACCACTTTCTTTAACTAGGAAAGGGAATTCCCTGACCCCTTGCACTTCCCAGGTGAGGCGATGCCTTGCCCTGCTCCGGCTCACACACGGTGCACTGCACTCACTGTCCTGCACCCACTGTCTGGCACTCCCCCGTGAGATGGACCTGGTACCTCAGTTGGAAATGCAGAAATCACCCGTCTTCTGTGTCACTGACGCTGGGAGCTGTAGACTGGAGCTGTTCCTATTCAGCCCTCTTGGCTCCACCTCCTCTTCTTTATAGAGATTTCTATTCAAGTCGTTTACCCACTTAAAAATCAGATGTTTTTTCCTATTGAGTTGAATTCCTTATATATTCCAGATATTAATCCTTATCAGAAATATAGTTTATATATATTTTCTTCTATTCTGTGTGTTTTCTGTTCATGATATTCATTGTTTACTTTGTTGTACAGAAGCTTGTTTAATAAAATTCTATTTATCAATATTTGTTCTGTTGCTGTGCTTTTGTGTTCTTATTCCAACAATTCTTGCCAACACCAATGTCAAGAAGCATTTCACCTATATTTTCTTCCAGTAACTTATTTTTTAGGGTTTTACATTTAAGTCTTTAGTTCATTTTGAGCTGATTTTTGTTTTCAGTGAGAGAGATAGTTGTAGTCTCATTTTCCTACTTCTGAATATTAAGTTTTCTCATCACTATTTATTGAAGAGATTATCCTTTCCCCAGTGTGTATTCTTGGCATTTATAAAAAGGACAGTTGGCTGCAAGTATGTGGATTTATTTCTGGGTTGTATATTCTCTTTATTGGTATATGTGTCTATTCTTTTTGTAGCAACACTATGGTGTTTTGTTTCCTATAGGCTTGTGGTATGTTTTAAAGACAGGTAGTGTAGTGTCTCCACCTTTGTTCTTTTGGCTCAGTATTGGTTTGTCTATCTGAGGCTTTTTGTGGCTTTGTACAGATTTTTTAAGTGCTTTACCCCCCTCCCCAGGACTTTGGGAGACTGAGGCAGGAGGATCACCTGAGGTCAGGAGTTAGAGACCAGACTGGCCAACATTGTGAAACTCCATCTCTACTAAAAATACAAAAAAATTAGCTGGGCATGTTGGCAGTGCCTGTAATCCTGGCTACTAGGGAGGCTGAGGCAGGAGAATCACTTGAACCCAAGAGGCGGAAGTTGCAGTGAGCCAAGATCACACCATTACACTCCAGCCTGGGTGACAAGAGTGAAACTTCATCTCAAAAAACAAAAAAAAAATGCTTTTCCCATTTAAGCAAAGTATATCATTACCATTTTAATAGGTATTACATTGAATTTGTGGATTGCTTTAGGTAGTATGGACATTTCAACAATAGTAATTCTTCCATATAAACCCAAGATGTCTTTACATGTATTTGTGTCTTCTTCAATTTGTTTCATCCATGTTTTATAGTTTTTATCAAAGAGATCTTTTGCTTCTTGGTTAAATTTATTCTAAATATCTTTTTTGTAGCTATTGTCAATGGGATTGACTTTTTAATTTATTTTTTCAAATAGTTTACTCTTGGCACATTCAAAATTTTCTAATTTTTGTATGTTGATTTTACATCCTGACACTTTATTGGATTTGTTTATACATTTTAACAGTATTTGGTAGAATCTGTAGTATTTTTCTATATATGTAATTATGTTATCTGCAAACAGGGACAAGTTGACCTCGTCCTTTCCAGTTTATATGCCCTTTATTTCTTTCTCTCATCTAATTGTTCTGGCTAGAATTTACTATACTATGTTGAATAGAGCTTCCAAAAGATAAAATCATTATCTTGTTTCAGATCTTAGAAAAAATATTTCAGCTTTTCCTCATTAAATAAGTTGTTTTCTGTGGGTTTGTCATATATGGCCTTTCTTGTGTTGTAGTACATTATTTCTATATCTAATTTGGGGACAGTTTTATCATAACGGGATATTGAAGTGTGTGTAATGCTTTTCTGCATCTATTAAAATGATCATGTAGCTTTTCTCCTTGATTCTGTCAAGGTGAGTATCTTATTTATTGACTTGGCACATGTCGAAACATCCTTGCATCCCTAAGATGCAAGCTTCTTGATTATGGTGAATAATCATTTTAATGCATGTTGGGGACCAGCCTCAACATCACATGTAGGGTACCCAAAGTCTGGTGGCGATGTAGGAATGAGAAGAGACAGGCTAAGAGTGCATAAAGACTGGGGTCCAGGAGGCCAGCTGCAAAATAGAGGCTGCAAAAGGCTCAGAGTTTTGGTCTCCACACTATTTATTGAGTATAAGTACTTAGATCTAAGAAGCAGATGTTCAGGGGTGAAATGGGGAAAGGGAAACAGTGCATCACAGGCATAATCTCTAGCAATAGTGGTATAAATGAATCTCCTTTGTGCTCAAACAGTGTATGTTTAATTTATCGGAGAGTAGCTAGTGGGAGCGGGCTTAACTAGGAGTCTGCACATCTGCCCATATTGCAATGCCTCAAAGGAGCATCTTTCTTCTTGAACACAGTGTTTACAGATAAGACAGTGGGTCTGGCTCTGAGCATGGGAACACAATGGCAGTTAGGAGGCTTTCCTCCTCAGAGGCCTCTTGTGGCTTTCCACAACTTATTGTCCCATATTTTTATGGCCAGTTTATGCAGGCACCCCAAAAGCCTTTTTCCCAACATGCCCCCCCACTTTTAAAAAAAAAACTGTCATTGTTATTAAGGCTTGTTTGTGGTGTTTTTTTTTTAAAGGCATCTTTCACGTTTGTAGAATAAAAGTAAACAGTATTGTAGCAGGATGAGCCGCAGCAAAACCTCTCAGACACAAGTTGTAGAAGGAAGGGCTTTATTCAGCTGGCAGCATCGGCAAGCTACTGCCTTAAAATCCAAGCTCCCCAAATGCACAATTTCTGTCCCTTTTAAGGGCTCACAACACTAAAGATTTCACATGAAAGGGTTGTGATTGATTTGAGCAAGCAGGTGGTACGTGACAGGGGCTGCATGCACTGGTGGTCCGAGAAAAACAGAACGGGGCAGGGAGTTTCACAATGTTCTTCTATACAATGTCTGGAATCTATGAATAACATCAGTTTCTAAGTTATGAATTGATTTTTAACTACTGGGTTTAGGCCATGCAGGCCCAGTCCTGGTTTCAGACCTGGCGCCGGGCTGCCTGTCTTTGGTTTTACTTCCTTGTTGTTTTTTCTTAAAACAGGTACTGAGTATAAAACAATATAAAACAATATGAGAGGGTCTCTCTCTTCAGTATAAACAGATACACATTAAAGTAAAATTTGTAATAGTTGATTTTTTAATGGTCTTAATTTATTTAAGAGGGTTTACATTTGAAACTCTATTAGCAGTTTTAGTGAGAATGTCAGTCTCAGGCAGGAGAGTTAAATGAGCCTAAGATGTTTTAAAAACCTGGTTTTTTAATGTGGCTGTATTTAATATTAATTTTTTTTTATTTTTTTTACATGATGTCTAACCTTTTTTAAATGATGTTTAGTAGTAGTATATGAATGGGGAGTTATGTAGAAATTAGAAGAATTTTAATCCCATTGTATTTGTAATTGATACTTTAAGTTTATTATATGATTTTTTATTTAAATAACAGTCCGTTTAAGGTTATTTGTTTGATTTACCAATTGGTGTATCTGGGTCTGAAAATTTCACAATTTTGAGGAATTTTTTTGACCAATTTTGTAGTTTGAACAGAGGAATGTAAAGTAATTTCAGCAGCTGCAGCAGTAGCTGTGATGCAATAAGGCCTATAATCACTGTTATAAGGGTAAAAATAATTTTTTTTGTTTTGGTAAACACTTCCTTTAACATTTTTGTGATGATATGAATGGAAGGAGAGGATTTTTAAGGTCTATTGAGGGAAACTGGTATCCAAACTCTTTTTTTACTCTTTACCAGTACACAGATGTTTTTACACTAAATGTGGAATCAATACAGGTGAAAAGGTGACAGTTTTGACAAGTAATAGTTTCAGAATTAGGTTGAATATTAATATTTTTGATTATTAACATAAAAGGAGGCTTGACACAACTTTGAATGGGCACCATTTTGTTGGAAGAAATCTGATACACCAATTGAAGTCTCTCACGCTTTTCCTCAAGATAATATATTTTTTTCAAACTTTAATATGAGATTGGGCCATCATTAACTTTTATAATTTGGGACATTTAGGGCCTATTATAGGATTAATCATTTTTGGATGTGGGCCAGCCATACCAAAATCAGTCCAAATTATGGGAAAATGGGCATGTTTTTTACTAGTGTCACTTTTTGATAGTATAGTTTTAGTTTTAGTTTTGTGTTTATAATTTTGATTGGTACAATTAACTGTAAAGGTCATCTTAGGGGACAAACTAATGACGATTTTATAGGAATTATTTTGTAGTACTACAGGGTGATTAGACATGTAATTTTTTCAAATCAGTATTTTTAAATTTTTTGACCATTGTTGAGGTTGTTGACACCTCTCTTTTTTGGGCTTAAATTGTTTTAATTGAACCAAACTTTGTGAATGACCCGGGCTCCATTTAGAAAATAAATGATGGGATACTGGTTCTTTGATTATGACCTGAATAGTATTATACTAATGGGGAGTTATGTAGAAATTATAAGTATTTTAATCACATTGTTTTTGTGATTGTTGTTGTTGTAGCATTTTAGGCAACCAATCGCCGACCCTATGTAAAGAGGGGAGATCTGATAACCTATGGACACATTTATTATTTTTTCTGGGTAAGAGAGCCTATGAGTATTTGTAGGCTTAGTCATTCAAACACATTAACATAAACCTCAACCGGGGGTTTCAACCATGTGACAGGCCTAATTAAAGGCGGAAATGGGACATATGTCCAATAGGTATAGTTTTGGTCTGTTGTAGTCACAGGCTTGTCAGGTGAGGAGGTCACTGTTCTTATTTCAGCTTTGTATCCTAGGATTAGTAAATAACAGAAGACAAACATGAGTATAATTAGCAACTTTTTTTTCAGTCAAAGAAATGCCAAGTGTTACTTGGCATCTTAGTTTACTATATATTATTAATGAGGAACCCCACTGGGGGTATGTTAATTTATTTTAGCCAAGTAGTTATGTTATTAGAAGCTGAAAAGGGGTGTTTGTTAAAGTAGTAGGGCAGAAGAAAGGCAGATTTAAAATATGAGCTTAATAGAGTGTAGTAGGTATAAGCAGTAGGCAAAGAGAGAGAATTAAAAATGAATAAATTATTTGGCTTAGTCTTTTTTTTTTTTTTTAGCATAATGTTTGGGGCCTGTGTTGTTTGTGGAAGCAGCATTGTTGAGGCTGCAGTTTCTGTAGGGTTTTTTTTAGGCTGGCTTGAATTTTTTCTTTTTTTTTTTCATCCTTTGATGAGGATGTAGTCTTCAGGCTGGTACTGGAAATTTCAGGGGTGGTGCCTGTGCTAAGAGACTTTTTACAATTTTTAAAAAGTAGCTTACTGTTTTAAGAAAAACTTGTATTTTATTTTAATGTTAGTTTTTAGAAAAACTGGATGATACTTTTTTAACTTTAGTAAATATGTTTCCACACATAATTTTTAAAAATTATTATCATAAAACTTGTTTAGACCTTTAAAACAAAAATTATACATTTTTGTATAAATTCCTTTTTATAACATTTTTTACAACTTTTACAGATAATCTTCAACATGTCTTAACTTTTTAGGTTTTATAACTTTCCTTACTAAAGGTACATTTTTATAACTTTTTAAATTTTTTTTTCCTTTTTTCCTTTTTTTTAGTCTTTTTTTGTATTTTTTTATTTTTTTTTTTTTTAGTCTCTTCTTTTTTAAAAATTTTCTAATGTGTAATAATTAGATAAGTGTTGGTAACAATGGATATATGTACATATCTTAGTTTTTAAAATTCAGGGATGTGTTTAACATCTGTGTGTCACTACTGATTAGGTTCTAATTCTCTAGGGTTAACACATTTTGAAGGAGGGACATGCCTGTGAGCTGGTAATCTGGGCATTGTAGGATAATTTGTTTAGCCAGTCTCTGTGTAAGTTGAAATTATTTGGGTAAGTTTTTCTAACTTTGCTGGAAAAATTGATGTGATTGGGTGGCTTGGTCAGGCAGTGATGTCATTACCTGAAGGTCTGCTTGATTATTGTCATAAGCCAATGAGCCAGGCAGAGAGCTGTGGCCTCGAATGTCTGTAATAAAAATAGGATGTGTAACTTGGTCTAGTAATTGTTGAAGTTGAAGAAAAAGAGCACACAGAGTGGGCTCCAGAGCAAACTTAAGGCTGTAAAAATTCTTTAATAAATAAACAGAATAAGCTTAGCTCTTTGAATGTTGGTAAATTTAGATTGAATGATTGGATTATGTGGTCTCCACCAGACTGCCATTTTTTCATGTTTACCAGACCCACCAGTAAAAACAGTCACGGCTCCTTCCAAAGGGGCATCATGAGTAATTTTCAGAAGAAACTATGTAGTTAATTTTAAGAACTGGAAAGTTTTATTTTTAGGATAATTATTATCAATACATCCAATAAATTTTGTTAAATTAACTTGCCATGTAATTGAATTAATAAATGCCTGTTTAACCTGATGTTTATTTAAGGGAATTCTAATCTTATTGGACTCAGTACCACAAAGTTTAACAATTTCTATACGAGCGTCTCCAATTAAAATTGTCATTTGATCTAAATATACTGTAAGTGTTTTTATGGGATTATGTGGCAAAAAGGACCATTCAACTAAATCATTATTTTGAACAATAACCCCCTTTGGGGAGTGGGAAGGCGGGAAAACAATAAATTGTAAAAGCAAGACTGAGTCAATCCTACTGATCTGGGCTTGCTGAATTTTTTTTCAATTACTCTTAACTTTTTTATGGCCTTGGGTGTTAGTTTTTTTTTTTACTGTTAAGTTGGAATCTCCCCTCAATATTGAGAAAAGACATAGTGTAAGTAGGAATTCTTAAGGTGGGTTGAATCCAATTAATATCATCTAACAATTTTTGAAAATTATTTAAGGTTTTTAAAGAATCTCTTCTAATTTGAATCTTTTGAGGCTTAATGGCTCTATCCTGTACTTGCATCCCCAAATACTGAAAAGGAGTGGCTGTCTGAATTTTGTCAGGTGCTGTAAGTAATCCAGTGTTTGTAATTGCCTTTTGTAAAGATGAGTAACATTGAATAAGTTGGTCTCTATTTTTTGCTGCAAAAATTTGGACATTGATCTCTAACATGCTGGATAGTTCTGCCTACAAAAGTTTGCCAAATTGTGGGACTGTTTAACATACCCTGGGGTAAAACCTTCCACTGATGTCTGGCTGCAGATTCTTTGTTATTAATGGCAGGGATGTTGTAAAGGCAAATTTTTTGAAATCTACTTCTGCTAAAGGAATTGTAAAAAAGCAGTCTTTAAATCTGTAATAACAAGTGGCCAGTCTTTAGGGAGCATGGTGGGGGATGGGAGCCCGGGTTGTAAGGCTCCCATCCGTTGAATTACGGCGTTGACAGCTCGTAAGTCGGTCAGCCTGTGCCGTATACCCAACTTTTTCATTTTTCCTTTTTTGAGACGGAGTCTCTCCCTGTCGCCCAGGCTGGATGGAGTGCAGTGGCGGAGTCTCGGCTCACTGCAAGCTCTGCCTTCCGGGTTCACACCATTCTCCTGCCTCAGCCTCCCTAGTAGCTGGGACTACAGTTGCCTGCCACCACGCCCAGCTAATTTTTGTATTTTTAGTAGAGACAGGGTTTCACTGTGTTAGCCAGGATGGTCTCGATTTCCTGACCTCATGATCCGCCTGCCTCAGCCTCCCAAAGTGCTGGGATTACAGGCGTGAGCCACCACACCAGGCGTACCCAACTTTTTCTTAATTACAAATACTGGGGAATTCCAAGGAGAGAAAGTGGGTGAAACATGTCCTTTTTCTAGCAGTTCTTTAACTATTTCATGAAGTGCCCCCAACTTTTCCTTAGGGAGCGGCCACTGTTCAACCCAGACAGGACGCTGGGTCATCCATTTTAAGGGAAATTGCTCCTTCACCTTAATGAACTGCAGGGAGAACCTAAATTGCCCCCTCTCCATAATGAACTGTGGGTCAGCAGTAATAGGCGCGGGGAGTGGAGTGGTGGTGAGTTGAGTCTCGGGGCTCCCTCTTCCAGCACTCACTGGGCTGAGGAGGTGGCCATTCCAGACATTCCTCTGAAGGAGCCCTGGGCTGAACAATTTTCTGAGTAGGTTAAGGAGACTGGGGGAATTGGCAGAAATCTTGTTCGGGCTCTCCTTTTTGTTAGTACTCGGTAGAGGCGGTTTAGAGTTGTGATCATCAAACTTCTCTCTCTCCTCCTCTGACTCAGTCTCATCAGCTGTCTGAAAAGGCTCCAATGTTGCATGCACCAATGATCAAACTGACCAAACATGCAAAGGAATTTTCTTTCCTTCTCTATATGCTCTTTTAAAGTCTTTTCCAACTCCTTCCCAATCGTTTAATTCTAAAGTTCCCTGTCCAGGGAACAAAGGACAAAATTATTCCACAGCATGAAATAAATCCATAAGATTTTCCGTATCAACTTTTACCCCACCACGCTTCAAGAGCTGCCATGGCAAGCTCAGATACGTGGTGTACTGACTTTCAGTTTGTCCCATTTGTGTCCCTAGCTTTTTTCCAAGCGCCCCATTTACCTGCAAAGCTTACAACTTTTTATCCTCGGGAGTCCTTTGTCTGTCGTTCCTCCATTTCACATGCTCCAGCATTCCTTTACTGGATTCTTTCCGGCCCCACGTTGGATGCCAGAATGTTGGGGACCAGCTTCAACATCACTTGTACTGTACCCAAAGTCCCGTGGCGATGAAGGAATGAGAAGAGATAGGTTAAGAGTGCATAAAGAGTGGAAGCCAGGAGGCCAATTGCAAAATGGAGGCTGCAAAAGGCTCCAAGTTTTGGTCTCCAGACTATTTATTGAGTACAGTTACTTAGATCTGAGAAGCAGATGTTTAGGGGTGAATCAGGGAAAGGGAAACAGTGTGTCACAGGCATAATCTCTAGCAATAGCGGTTTAAATGAATCTCCTTTGTGCCCAAACAGCATATGTTTAACTTATCGGAGAGTAGCTAGTGGGAGCGGGCTTAAGTAGGAGTCTGCATGTCTGTCCGCATTCCAATGTTTCAAAGGAACGTCTTTCTCCTTGAACACCGTGTTTACAGATAAGACAGTGGGTCTGGCTCTGAGCATGGGAACACAATGGCATTTAGGAGGCTTTCCTCCTCAGAGGCCTCTTGTGGCTTTCCACAACTTATTGTCCCATATTTTTATGGACAGTTTATACAGGCACCCCATAAGCCTTTTTCCCAACAAATCCATTGTTGAATTTGTCTTGCTATAATTTTGTTGATAATTTTTACATCTATGCTCATCAGGGTTATTGATCTGTAGTTTTCTTCTTCTCTGGCTTTGTCTGGAGTAGTGCTGGACTTGTAGAATGAGTGTGGAAGAAGTTCCCTCTCTTCAATGTTTGGGAAAAATTTGTAAAGTATTGGTATTTGTTCTTTAAATTTTTGGTACAGTTCAGCAGTGAAGCCATCAGGTCCTGGGCTGCTCTTTTCATTTCTTTTTTTCAGTTTTATTTACTTACTTATATAATTTTAAAATTGTTTTAAATTCATGGAGTATGTACAAGTTTTTTACATGGTATATCGCATAACACATAATGCTGAGGTCGGGGTGCAAATATCCTTCCAAGGACATGATTTCATTATTTTTTATGGTTCATCGTATCCCATAATGTATATGTACTACATTATATTTATCTAATGATACAGTTTGGCTCTGTGTCCCCACTCAAACCTCATCCTGAATTATATTTCCTACATGTCAGAGCAGGGGCCTCATGGGAGGTGATTGGATTATGGGGCATATTTTCCCCTTATTGTTCTCGTGACAGTGAGTGAGTTCTCATGAGATCTGATTCTTTGAAAGTATGTGGAACATCCCCCTTCACTCTCTGTCTCTTCTGCTTTGCCCTTGTAAGACATGCCTGCTTCCCCTTCACCTACCACTGTGATTGTAAATGACCCAAGGAATTCCAAGTCATGCTTTCTGTTAAGCCTGCAGAACTATGAGTCCATTAAACCTCTTTTCTTCATAAATTATCCAGTCTCAGGTAGTTCTTCACAGCAGTCTAAAAATGAACTCATACATCCAATCTACCATTGATGGGCACCTGTGTTGATTCCACATCTTTCTATTGAAAATACTGCTGCCGTGAATATACAAGTACATGTATCTTTTTAATGCAATGGTTTATTTTCCTTTGAGTATATACACAATAATGGCATTGGTAGCTTGAATGGTAGTTATGTTTTAAGTTCGTTGAGAAATCTTCAACCTGCTTTCCCCAGTAAATGAACTAATTTACATTCCCAATAACAAGGTACAAATGTCTCCTCTTTTTCAGCAGCCTCACCAACTCTGTTATTTTTTCACTTTTAATAATACTGGGCTTTTCCTTAATAGGAAGCTTTTATTACTGATATCTTATTACTTGATATTTTCTTTGGGTTTTCTATTTCTTTGTGTTTTAATTTTGGTAGGTTGTGTGTGTCCAGGAATTTATTAACTTTTTAAAAGATTCCTAATTTGTTGGTGTATAGATGTTCATGATAGTCTCTTTTGATTCTTTATATTTTTGTGCTACCAGTAGTAATGTTTTCATTTTCACCTTGGCTTTTATGAAACTTTTGTCTTTTTTTTCTTAGTTTGTCCAGCTAATAGTTTGTCAATTGTGTTTATCTTTAAAAAACCTCTTTTAAATTAATCTTTTTGTATTTTTTGTTCTCTATTCTATTTATTCCTGCTCTTCATTATTTCTTTCTACTATTTTTGAGTTTAGTTTCTTTTTGTACTTCCTTCAAGTGAAATGTTAAATTGTTTGAGAACTTTCTACCTTTTTTAAATGTAATGCTTTAATACTATGAACTTCTTTCTTATCACAGGCTTTGCTGTGTCCCACAGGTTTTGATATGTTGTGTTTTTATTTTTGTTTGCCTTATTAACATTTTAATCTTAGTTTTAATTTTTCATTGACCCATTAGTTATTCTAGAACAAGTTGTTAATTTCCATGTATTTGCACAGCTTTCAATGGTCTAATTGTTATTGATTTCTAGATTTATTGCATTGTGTTCTAAAGAAGTACTTGATACGATTTTGATATTAAAAATTGCTTAGATTTTTTTATGGCTTGACATGTGAGCTATCCTGAAGAATAAGTACTGCTGAGAAGAATGTGTATTCTTCAGTGGTTAGATGACATTTTGTAAATATCTGATAAATCATTTGGTCTAGAATGCACTTCAGTTCTAAAGCCTGTTGATTTTCTGTTTAAATGATCTGTTCATTGCTGAAAATGCAATGTTGAAGTTTCTTGCTTTTATTGTATTGCTATCTATTCCTTTAGGTTTATTAGTATTTTCTTGATATATTCAGGTACTTCGATTCTTGGTGCATATATATTTGTAATTGTTATGTCCTCCAACTGTATTGAAACCTTTTATCATTATATAATGGTCTTCTTTAAGTCTTTTTAAAGTTTTTGTGTTAGTGTATTTTCTCTAATATAAATATTTTTAAAATTTCTTTTTGAGACAGGGTCTTGCTTTGTCACTGAAGCTGGAGTGCAGTGGCGTGATATGGCTCCCTGCAGCCTCTAACTCTTGGGCTCAAGCACTTCTTCCACCTCAGCATCCTGAGTAGCTGGGTCTACTGGTGGATGCCAGCACAGCTGAAGAAATTTTGTTTTATTTATTTTTTTTTGTAGACATGGGTTTGGCCAGGTTAGGGAGTCTGGTTTTGAACTCCTGGGCCCAAGTGATTAGCCCACTTTGGGCTCCCAAAGTGCTGGGATTAGAGCATGAGCAACTATGTCAGACCAGATTGCTTTCTTCTTCTTTTTCTTTTTCTTTTTTTTGAGATGGCGTCTCACTGCATTGCCCAGCCTGGAGTGCAATGGCATGGTCTTGGCTCACTGCAACCTCTGCCTCCCAGGTTCAAGCAATTCTCCTGTCCCAGCCTCCTGGGTAGCTGGGATTACAGGTGCCTGCCACTGCGCCAAGGTAATTTTTGGTGTTTTTTTTTAGTAGCGATGGGGTTTCACCATGTTGGCCAGGTTGGTCTCCAACTCCTGACCTCAGGTGATCCACCCGCCTTGGCCTCCCAAAGTGCTGGGATTACAGGCATGAGCCACCGTGCTCCACGCTGTCTTCTTTACAACAGTAACTAGCAGCCTAAACCCACATTTGTCAAAGCTCTCACAGAGCTTCTGAGTTTGGAGTGCTGCCCATTTCAGGTGGCCTGCAGGTCACAAGGGAATGCCCCAACTGTAGAGGTAGTCTGACTATGTATTTGTGCCCAGAAATCCTATGAAGTATGCTTTCTACAGTGTTTCACTGATGAACACACTCTCTGATTTGGGTTGCAAGTTTGCAAAATTTTAAAGTAACAAAAAGTGGGGCGGTTCCAAGATGGCCAAATTGGAACAGCTCCAGTTTACAGCTCCCAGCGTGAGCAACACAGAAGACGGGTGATTTCTGCATTTCCAACTGAGGTACCGGGTTCATCTCACTGGGGCTTGTCAGACAGTGGGTGCAATGTACTGAGTGTGAGCCAAAGCAAGGCGAGGCATCACCTCACCCGGGAAGCGCAAAGGGGTCAGGGAATTCCCTTTCATAGCCAAGCAGAGCTGTGACACACAGCACCTGGAGAATTGGGTCGCTCCCACCCTAATACTGTGCTTTTCCAGTGGTCTTAGCAAACAGCACACCAGGAGATTATATCCCACACCTGGTTCAGAGGGTCCCACACCTAAGGAGCCTCACTCATTGCTAGCACAGCAGTTTGAGATCGAACTGCAAGATGGCAGCGAGGCTGGGGGAGGGGTGCCCGCCATTGCTCAGGCTTGAGTAGGTAAACAAAGCAGCTGGGAAGCTCGAACTGGGTGGAGCCCACCGTATCTCAAGGAGGCCTGCCTGCCTCTGTAGACTCCACCTCTGGGGACAAGACATAGCCAAACAAAAGGCAGCAGAATCCTCTGAAGACTTAAATGTCCCTGTCTGACAGCTTTGAAGAGAGTAGTGGTTCTCCCAGCATGCAGCTGGAGATCTGAGAAAGGACAGACTGCCTCCTCAAGTGGGTCCCTGACGCCCGAGTAGCCTAACTGGGAGGCACCCCCCAGTAGGGGCAGACTGACACCTCACACAGATGGGTACTCCTCTGAGACAAAACTTCTAGAGGAACGATCAGGCAGCAACATTTGCTGTTCACCAATGTCCGCTGTTCTGCAGCTTCCGCTGCTGATACCCAGGCAAACAGGGTCTGGAGTGGACCTCCAGTAAACTCTAACAGACCTGTAGCTGAGGGTCCTGACTGTTAGAAGGAAAACTAACAAACAGAAATGACATCCACACCAAAAGCCCGTCTGTACATCACCATCATCAAAGACCAAAGGTAGATAAAACAACAAAGATGGGGAAAAAACAGAACAGAAAAACTAAAAATTCTAAAAATCAGAGTGCCCCTCCTCCTCCAAAGGAATGCAGCTCCTCACCAATAATGGAACACAGCTGGATGAGGAATGACTTTGACAAGTTGAGAGAAGAAGTCTTGAGATGATCAAACTTCTCTGAGCTAAAGGAGGAAGTTCGAACCCACTGCAAAGAAGTTAAAAACCTTGAAAAAAGATTAGAGGAAAGGCTAACTAGAATAACCCATGCAGAGAAGTCCTTAAAGGACCTGATGAAGCTGCAAACCATGGCATGAGAACTACGTGATGAATGCACAAGCTTCAGTGGCTGATTTGATCAACTGGAAGAGAAGGTATCAGTCATTGAAGATCAAATGAATGAAATGAAGTGAGAAGAGAATTTAAGACAAAAAAGGATAAAAAGAAATGAACAAAGCCTCCAAGAAATATGGGACTCTGTGAAAAGACCAAATCTACATCTGATTGGTGTACCTGAAAGTGATCGGGAGAATGGAACCAAGTTGGAAAACACTCTGCAGGATATTATCCAGGAGAACTTCCCCAACCTAGCAAGGCAGGCCAACATTCAAATTCAGGAAATAGAGAGAATGCCACAAAGATACTCTTCAAGAAGAGCAACTCCAAGACACATAATTGTCAGATTTGCCAAAGTTGAAATGAAGGAAAAAATGTTAAGGGCAGCTAGAGAGAAAGGTTGGGTTACTCACAGAGAGAAGCCCATCAGACTAACAGCTGATCTCTCGGCAGAAACTCTGTGTGACAGAAGATAGTGGAGGCTAACATTCAATATCCTTAAAGAAAAGAATTTTCAACCCAGAATTTCATATCCAGCCAAACTAGCTTCATAAGTGAAGGAGAAATAAAATACTTTGCAGACAAGCAAATGCTGAGAGATTTTGTCAACACCAGGCCTGCCTTACAAGAGCTCCTGAAGGAAGCACTAAACATGGATGGGAACCACCGGTACCAGCCAGTGCAAAAACATGCCAAATTGTAAAGACCATCGATGCTAGGAAGAAACTGCATCAACTAACGAGCAAAATAACCAGCTAACATCATAATGACAGGATCAGATTTACACATAACAATATTAACCTTAAATGTAAATGGGCTAAATGCTCCACTTAAAAGACACAGACTAGCAAATTGGATAAAGAGTCAAGACCCATCAGTGTGCTGTATTCAGGAAACCGGTCTCATGTGCAGAGACACACATAGGCTCAAAATAAAGGGATGGAGGAAGATCTACCAAGCAAATAGAGATAAAAAAAAAAAAAAAAAAAAAAAAAGCAGGGATTACAATCCTAGTCTCTGAAAAAGCAGACTTTAAACCAACAAAGATCAAAAGAGACAAAGAAGGCCATTACATAATGGTAAAGGGATCAATTCAACAAGAAGAACTAACTATCCTAAATATATATGCACCCAACAAGAGCACCCAGATTCATAAGGCAAATCGTTAGAGACCTACAAAGAGACTTAGACTCCCACACAATAATAATGGGAGACTTTAACACCCCACTGTCAACATTAGACAGATCAACAAGACAGAAAGTTAACAAGGATATCCAGGAACTGAATTTAGCTCTGCACCAAGTGGACCTAATAGACATCTACAGAACTCTCCATCACAAATCAACAGAATATACATTCTTCTCAGCACCACACTGCACCTATTCCAAAATTGACCACATGGTTGGAAGTAAAGCTCTCCTCAGCAAATGTAAAAGAACAGAAATTATAACAAACTGTCTCTCAGACCTCAGTGCAATCAAACTAGAACTCAGGATTAAGAAACTCACTCAAAACTGCTCAACTACATGAAAACTGACCAACCTGCTCCTGAATGACTACTGGGTACATAACAAAATGAAGACAGCAATAAAGATGTGCTTTGAAACCAATGAGAACAAAGACACAACATACCAGAATCTCTGGGACACCTTTAAAGCATGTGTAGAGGGAAATTTTAGCACTAACTGCCCACAAGAGAAAGCAGGAAAGATCTAAAATCAACAATCTAACATCACAATTAAAAGAACTAGAGAAGCAAGAGCAAACACATTGAAAAGCTAGCAGCAGGTAAGAAATAACTAAGATCTGAGCAGCACTGAAAGAGATAAAGACATAAAAAACCCTTCAAAATATCAATGAATCCAGGAGCTGGTTTTTTGAAAAGATCAACAAAATTGATAGACCGCTAGCAAGACTAATACAGAAGAAAAGAGAGAAGAATCAAATAGACACAATATAAAATGACAAAGGGGATATCACCACCAATCCCACAGAAATACAAACTGCCATCAGAGAGTACTATAAACACCTCTATGCAAATAAACTAGAAAATCTAGAAGAAATGGATAAATTCCACAACACATAAACCCTCCCAAGACTAAACCAGGAAGAAGTTGAATCCCTTAATAGAGCAATAACAGGCTGTGAAACTGAGGCAATAATTAATAGCTTACCAACCAAAAAATGTCCAGGACCAGACGAATTCACAGCCGAATTTTACCAGATGTACAAGGAGGAGCTGGCACCATTCCTTCTGAAACTATTCCAATCAGTAGAAAAAGAGGGAATCCTCCCTAACTCATTTTATGAGGCTAGCGTCATCCTAATACCAAAGCCTGGCAGACACACAATAACAACAAAAAAGGAGAATTTTAGACCAATATCCATGATGAACATGGATGCAAAAATTGTCAATAAAATACTGGCAAACCAAATCCAGCAGCACATCAAAAAGCTTATCCAGCATGATCAAGTGGGCTTCATCCCTGGCATGCAAGGCTGGTTCAACAAACGAAAATCAATAAACATAATCCAGCATATAAACAGAACCAAAGAAAAAACCACATGATTATCTCAATATATGCAGAAAAGGCCTTCGACAAAATTCAACAGCGCTTCATGCTAAAAACTCTTGATAAATTAGGTATTGATGGGACGTATTTCAAAATAATAAGAGCTATCTATGACAAACCCACAGCCAATATCTTACTGAATGGGCAAAAACTGGAGGCATTCCCTTTGAAAACTGGCACAAGACAGGGATGCCCTCTCTCACCACTCCTATTCAACATAGTGTTGGAAGTTCTGGCCAGTGCAATCAGGCAGGAGAAGGAAATAAAGGGTATTCAATTAGGAAAAGAGGAAGTCAAATTGTCCGTGTTTGCAGATGACACGATTGTGTATCTAGAAAACCCCATCGTCTCAGCCCAAAATCTCCTTAAGCTGATAAGCAACTTCAGTAAAGTCTCAGGATACAAAATCAATGTGCAAAAATCACAAGCATTCTTAAACACCAATAACACACAAACAGAGAGCCTAATCATAAGTGAACTCCAATTCACAATCATTTCAAAGAGAATAAAATACCTAGGAATCCAACTTACAAGGGATGTGAAGGACCTCTTCAAGGAGAACTACAAACCACTGTTCAATGAAATAAAAGAGGACACAAACAAATGGAAGAACATTCCATGCTCATAGGTAGGAAGAATCAATATTGTGAAAATGGCCATACTGCCCAAGTTAGATTCAATGCCCAAGGTAGATTCAATGCCATCCCCATCAAGCTACCAACGACTTTCTTCACAGAACTGGAAAAAACTACTTTAAAGTTCATATGGAACCGAAAAAGAGTCCACATTGCCAAGAGAATCCTAAGCCAAAAGAACAAAGCTGGAGGCATTATGCTACCTGACTTCAAACTATACTACAAGGCTACAGTAACCAAAATAGCATGGTACTGGTACCAAAACAGATATAGACCAATGGAAGAGAACAGAACCCTCAGAAATAATACCATATGTCTACAGCTATCTGATCTTTGACAAACCTGACAAAAAGAAGAAATGGGGGAAGGATTCACTATTTAACAAATAGTGCTGGGAAAACTGGCTAGCCATATGTAGAAAGCTGAAACTGGATCCCTTCCTTACACCTTATACAAAAATTAATTCAAGATGGATTAAAGACTTAAATAATAGACCTAAAAACATAAAAACCCTAGAAGGAAACCTAGGCAATACCATTCAGGATATAGGCATGGGCAAGGACTTCATGTCTAAAACACCAAAAGCAATGGCAACAAAAGCCAAAATTGACAAATGGGATCTAATTAAACTAAAGAGCTTCTGCACAGCAAAAGAAACTACCATCAGAGTGAACAGGCAACCTACAAAATGAGATAAAATTTTTGCAATCTACTCATCTGACAAAGGGCTAATATCCAGAATCTACAAAGAACTCAAACAAATTTACAAGGAAAAACAACCCCATGAAAAAGTGGACAAAGGATATGAACAGACACTTCTCAAAAGAAGACATTTATGCAGCCAACAGACACATGAAAAAAATGCTCATCATCACTGGCCATCAGAGAAATGCAAATCAAAACCACAATGAGATACCATCTCACACCAGTTAGAATGGCAATCATTAAAAAGTCAGGAAACAACAGGTGCTGGAGAGGATGTGGAGAAATATGAACACTTTTACACTGTTGGTGGGACTGCAAACTAGTTCAACTATTGTGGAAGTCAGTGTGGCGATTCCTCAGGGATCTAGAACTAGAAATATCATTTGACCCAGCCATCTCATTACTGGGTATATACCCAAAGGAATATAAATCATGCTGTTATAAAGACACATGCACACATATGTTTATTGTGGCACTACTCACAATAGCAAAGACTTGGAACCAACCCAAATGTCCATCAGTGATAGACTGGATAAAGAAAATGTGGCATATAGACACCATGGAATACTATGCAGCTATAAAAATGATGAGTTTATGTCCTTTGTAGGGACATGGATGAAGCTGGAAACCATCATTCTCAGCAAAGTATCGCAAGGACAGAAAACCAAACACCTCATGTTCTCACTCATAGGTGGGAATTGAACAATGAGAACACTTGGACACAGGAAGGGGAACATCACACACTGGGGCCTGTCAGGGGGTAGGGGGTGGGGGGAGGGATAGAATTAGAAGATACACCTAATATAAATGAAGAGTTAATGGGTACAGCACACCAACATGACACATGTGTACATATGTAACTAACGTGCACATTGTGCATGTGTACCCTAGAACTTAAAGTATAATAATAAAAATAAAAAAATATATATATAAAGCACCAACTCTGATTATAATGAATTATATTTACACATCAAAGCATGGAGTGTTAGATCTAAGGAAACATTAAGAAATTTAGTCTGAACAATTTCACTAAAGCTGTGAAAATTATTTTTTGTCATGTTTTCAGTTACACTCCAGAATTTCCAACATGTGGCATAAAAAAAGTTAGAATTCTCCCTCAGTTTCTAAGTACATTAAATTTAATTGTAAATTCACAAAACAAAACAAAAAAACAAAAAGGGAAGTAACCACTGAGTTGATGCTCTGGTTGTTGCTAGTCCTACTTCCACATTCGTCTCTAGCAAATTTCAGGAGTTTTCACTTTATTGGCCCTTGCAGTATTTCTTATGGATTGAGGCAAGAAGGGTTTCACTGAAAAGCAACCCACGATGATAAGAATGCCAGCTGCCTGCCTTCATCTCACTTTTTGAGGGTTAAAAGTGTAAGCCCAGGGGTACTTTTCTGCAGAGTCTGGCAACTTGGGGAACACTGTTACAGTTAGAGAGGTTTATTCCCCTTATCACTGGCTTGTGATTTTTCACTTTTCTGTGATTCTAGGGATTATGATAACATTAGTTTTGAGTTTTAAAATATTCTGGATGATAATATTGCTAATGGTTAGTTGCTTTTGGTTTTCTGTAGGGGAGAATAAACCAGATAGCTCCTTTTCCACCATTTTGGTGACATCATTTCTGCTGGGCTTATTTCAATTTGCACAGTGCCGTTCAATTCAATACGTGTTGTTGCAAATGACAGGATTTTCTATTTTTTAAAAGATTGTGGAATAGTATCCAATCATGTATATATACCACATTTTCTTTATTAATTCACCCACCAACATATACTTAGTTTACCTCCATTATTGGCTATTGAGAATAATGTTGAATAAACATGAAATGCAGAAATCTCTTCAACATTCTGGTTTCAGTTTCTTTGGATATATCCCCAGAAGTGAAATTGTTAGACCATGTCTTCATTCTAATTGTAGTTTTTGGAGGAACCTCCAAATGGCTGCATGATTTATGTTTTCCAAAATGGCTGTACAGGGATATTTTTCCAAGGCTTTTCCAAGGCTGTACAGGGATCTTTTTTGTTCACATCCATGCCAATACTTGGTATCATTTGACTTTTTGATAATAGCCATTCTAAAGGGTGTAAAATGATATCTTGTTGTGGTTTAAATGTGCATTTTTCCGATGATTAAAGACATTGAGATTTTTTTCATATGCCTATAGGCCTTGGAAATAAATGTCTATGTAGATGTTTTACCATCTTAAAATACTAAATGTCAACTGTTATAAATGATTTATTTTGGTGGCCTATTGTGAATTTCAAAATAAAGTCACGCACTGAGAATATAATTCCATTAGAGATAATTTCTCTATTTAAATATTTATCTTATAAAGAAAAAAGAGAAAAACATTTTTATCTTATCAGTAAGTTTATTTTTAAAGATCATATTAATAGGCAGAAAAATCGATCAGTATACTTTTAGAATTTTCCATATTTTTATATTCATGATAAAAGGTAGTATTAGAAACTTAGAGAAAAGTTTGTTACTTTAAAATGTTGCAAACTTGTACCTATTAAAGGTTTATATGTTTTTCTTTTTAAAAAATTGTATTTCATTTTTGAAACGGGGTCTCCTCTGTCAGTCAGACTGGTGTGCAGTGGCATGATCTCAGCTTACTGCAACCTATCCTTTCTGGGCTCAAGCCTCCCAAGTGGCTGGGACCATAGGCATGTGCCATCACACTTGGCTAATTTTTTCTATTTTTTGTAATGATGGGGTTTCGCCATGTTGCCCAAGCTAGTCTTCAACTCCTAGATTCAAGCAATCTGCTTGCTGCAGCCTCCCAAAATGCTGAGATTGCAGGTATGAGCCACTTCACCCAACATTATGTTCTATTTTTTATTGACAAGTAAAAATTATATATCTTTATAGTCTACAGTATGATGTTTTGACATATGCATACATGGTGGAATCGCTAGATTGAGCTAATTTGAATATACATTTTACCTCACATAATTTTGAGAAAAGTTAAGATCTGCTTCCTTAGCAATTTTCTCTTTTTTTGTTGTTGTTTAAATATAGAAACAAATGTGTTTATTTTCCCATGTGGTCTGTTTTTTTCTGAGTGGCTTTTGAAAATGGACACATAATAATTGTGTATGTGTATGACGTATACCCTAATATTTTGATCCATGCATGCAATGTGTAATGATTAAATCAGGGTGTTAGCGTATCCATCCCCTAAAACACTGTTCATTTATTGGTGTTGGGAATAATAAGAATCTTCTTTTCTAGCTATTTTAGAATATACAATAAATTAACTATACTCACTCTGTGGTGCTACAGAACACTAGAGTTTATTTTACCTATCTAGCTGTAATTTACACAGTTAACTAATCTGTTAACTAATATCTCCATATTCTCCCCTCCTGTATCCTTACAGCCTCTAATAACTACCATTTTTATTGTGTACTTCTGTGAAATTAAATTTTTTAGCTTTTACATACTAGTGAGAGCACATAATATGTATCTCTCTGTGCCAGTTTTATTTCACTAACATTTTGTCCTCCAGGCTCATCCATGTTGCAATAAATGAGAGTTTTGTTGTTTTCAGGGCTAAATAGTATTCTATTGTTTATACATATGCCACATTTTCTTTATCCATTAATTTACTTGGGAACGTTTAGGTTGATTCCATAATTGATTATCGTGAATAGTTCTGCAATAAATGTGGCAGTGTAGATGTGTCTTTGACATACTGATTTGTATTCCTTTGGATATGTACCCAGAAGTAGAATTACTGGACTACATGGTAATTTTATTTTTACTTTTTTCAGAAACCTTCATATAGTTTGCCATAGACATTTCAGGTGTCTTTCCATGATTTTGTGTTTTCTTCATTTCTTTTAGCAAAGTTTCATTGTTTTCAGTTTTTAGCTCTTTTACCTTCGTGTTTATTCTACATATTTTAATTTTTGTAACTACTTTAAATGTGTTGTTTCTTTGATTTTTTAACAGTTTGTTGTTAGCATATAAAAATGCAATTTATTTTGGTATATTAATTTTGTAGCCTGCAACTTTACTGAATTTGTTTCTTAGTTCTTACAGTTTATGGTGAAGATTTTAGGGTTCTCTGTTTAAGATCATATCACCTGCAAACAAAGACAATTTAACTGCTTCTTTACCTATTTGAACCTTTTGTTCTCTTGACTAATTCTCTGGCTAGAACTTCCAGTATAATGTTGAATAGAAGTGGTGAGAGTGGGCATCCTTGTCTTGTTTCTGATCTTAGAAGAAAAGCTTTTAATCTTTCACCAATAAGTATGATGCTAACTGTGGGCCTCTCATAAATGGTGTTTATTGTGTTAAGCTACAATTTGTCTATACATAACTTGTTGGAAGTTTCTTTAATTATAAAAGGATAGTGAATATTGTCAGAAGTTTTTCTTTACATGTTTGGAAATAATAATGTTGTATTTATTTATTCTGTTAATGTATCACATTTATCAATAAGCCGATGTTAAAAATCTCCTACAATCACACTTAGTCATGGTATACAATATTTTAATGTACTGTTTGTAAACCAAAAATAAAATTCTGAGACCTCCACCCCAACTATCTGAACGGACTTCGTCTTTGGCCACAGTACTCTAAAATTTAATCTGAAAGACTGGTTCATGCCATGATAGGAAGTGGGGTGGGCATGCCTCATTCTACCCCTCCAGCATTAACATCAACACACACCTTAAGTCTAATAAGAAACTTACAATTTATTCTCTCTGAAGCCTGCTACCTGGAGGCTTCATCTGCATAATAAAACTGGTCCCCACAACCCCTTATCATAACCCAGAGATTCATTTTTATGGATAATAACCATTTCAACAAATTGCGAATCAGATAAATTTTAAATCTACCTATAACCTGGAAGCTCCCACCCACTTCAAGTTGTCTTACCTTTCTGGACTCAACCAGTGTATATCCTAAGCATATTGAATGATGTCTTACGTCTCCCTAAAATGAGACCACCTTGGGGCATATACACTTAGGTTCTCCTGAGGGCTATGTCGTGGGCCATCATCACTCATATTTGTCTCAGAATAAATCTCCTCAAATATTTTACAGAGCTTGATTGTTTTTGTTGACATGTTGAATTATGTTTGTTAGTATATTTTAGAAGGATTTTGTATCTGTGCTTTTTGCAGTGTTTTTATCTGTGTTGGTATCAATGTAATCATAGCCTCTTGAAAAGAGTTTTGAAGTATCCACTGTTCTTCAAGTTTTTGAAAGAGTTTGTGAAGAATAGTTTAGATTAAAAAAATTAGATAGAATTTAATAGGAATGCCATTTTTAGTTGCTCAGCTTTCCTTTGGTTTTTAAAAATTATTATTATTACTGATTCAATCTCCTTCCTCATTTTTGGTCTGCTCAGATTTTCTGTTTCCTTAGGATTCAGTTTGGTTGATTGGATATTTCTAGGAATTTATTTATTTATTCATTTTTCCTTCCAACTTTAATTTTAGATTCATGGGGTACATGCATAGGTTTGCTATATAGGTAAATTGTGTGTAATGGTGATTTGGTGTACAGATTATTTCTGCTATCCAGGTAATGAGCATAGTACCCAATAGGTAGTTTTTAAATCCTCTTTCTCCCACATTCCATCCTCAGGTAGGCCCTAGGGTCTATTGTTCCCTTCTTTGTGTTCACTTGTATTCATACACGCATGTGTATTAGCCCCCACTTATAAGTGAGAACATGTGATCTTTGGTTTTCTGTTTCTGTGTCTATTTGCTTAGAATAATGGCCTCTAGCTCCATCCACCTTGCTACAAAGGACGTGATTTCATTGTTTTTATGACTGCATAGTATTCCATGGTATGTATGTACTATATTTTCATATCCAATCCACTCTTGATGGACACCTAGGTTGATTCCATTACTTTGCTATTGTGAATAGCACCGCAATAAATATGCAGGTGCACGTGTCTTTTTGATAGAATGAATTATTTTTCTTTGGATGTATACCCAGTACTGAGATTGCTGGGTTGACTGGTAGTTCTATTTTAAGTTCTTTGAGAAACTTCCAAACTGCTTTCCACAGTGGCTGAACTATTTTGCACTCTCACTAACAGTGGATAAGTGTTACTGTTTCTTGGCAGTGTTTCCAGCATCTGTTTGTGTTTTTTTTGAGACTGAGTCTCACTCTGTTGTCCAGGCTGGAGTGCAGTGGTACAATGTTGGTCTCACTGCAGCCTCCACCTCCCTGGTTCAAGCTATTCTCCTGCTTCAGCCTCCCAAGTAGCTGGGATTACAGGCATGTTCCACCATGCCTGGCTAATTTTTTAGTAGAGACAGATTTTTGCCATGTTGGCTAGGCTAGTCTTGAACTCCTGACCTCAGTTGATCCACCTGCCTCAGCCTCCTAAGGGGCTGGGATTACAGGTGTGAGCCACAATGCCTACCACATCTGTTATTTTTTTACTTTTTTTTTTTGTGACATATTCTCCCTCTGTTGCCCAGGCTGGAGTGCAGTGGCACAATCTTGGCTCACTGCAACTTCCACCTTCCAGTTTCTAAGTGGTTCTCCTCCCTCAGTTTCCAGAGTAGTTGAGATTACAGGCACGCACCACCATGCCTGGCTAATTTTGTATTTTTAGTAGATGTGGGGTTTTGCCATGTTGGCCAGGCTGGTCTTGAACTCCAGACCTCAGGTGATCCACCTGCCTTGGCCTCTGAGAATGCTGGGAATATAGGCGTGAGCCACTGTGCCCGGCCTTTTTTTTTTTTTTTTTTACTTTTGAATAACAGCCATTCTGACTAGTGTGAGATGGTATCGCATTGTGGGTTTTTTTTCCCCCTCCTTTCCCTCCTTCCTGTTTTGGTTCTCTGATGATTAGTTATGTTGAGCACCTTGTCATGTTTGTTGGCTACTTGTGCATTCTTTGAGAAGGGTCTGTTCATGTCCTTTGCCTACTTTTTAAATTCGATTTTTTGTTTTGTGCCTGTTGGTTTGTGTAACTTCCTTGTAAATTCTAGATACTAAACGTTGTCAGTTGCATAGTTTCCAGATATTTTCTGCCATTCTCTAGGTTGCCTGTTTACTCCATTGAAAATTTCTTTTGCTATGCATAAGCTCTTTAATTATACTCTACTTGTCAGTTTTTTGTTTCAATTGCTTTTGGGGTCTTAGCCATAAATTCTTTGTCAAAGCGTATGTCAAGAAGGGCATTTCCCAGGTTATCTCCTAGAATTTTTATAGCTTGAAGTGTTACATTCAAATCTTTAATTCATCTTCAGTTAGTTCTCATATATGATGAGAGATGGGAGTCCAGTGCCATTCTTCTGCATATTGCTGGCCAATTATTCCAGCACAATTTATTGAATAGGGAGTCCTTTCCCCTTTGCCTATTTTTACTGATTTTGTCCATGATCAGATGGTTGTAGGTGTGCAACTTTATTTCTGGGTTATCTTTTTTTGTTCCACTGCTGTATGTGTCTGTTTTTGTAGCAGTACCACGCTGTTTTGATTATTGTGGCTTTCTGAAGTTGGGCAATGTGATGCCTGTGGCCTTGTTCTTTCTGCTTAGGATTTCTTTGGCTATTCAGACTCTTTTTTATTCCAGATGAATTGCAGAATAGATTTTTCCAGTTCTGCTTTGTGGTTCTCTTTATAAAGGTCTTTTACCTCCTTGGTTAGATTAATTCCTACATATTTCATTTTCTTTGTGGCTATTGTAAATAGATTCTGTTCTTGATTGGTTCTCAGCTATAATGTTTATTGGTATATAAAAATAGTAAAATAAAAATACTGATTTCTCTACATTGGTTTTGTGTCCTAAAACTTTACTGAAAACTTTGGTTTTCAGTCCCAGGAGTCTTTCGGTGAAGTCCTGAGGATTTTCTAGATATAGATCTTATCATTGGCAAAGAGAGGTAGTTTGACTTCTTTTCTTATTGGGATGACTATTACATCTTTCTCTTGGCTGATTGCTCTGGCTAGGATGTCTGTTTGTATGTTAAATAGGCATGCTAGGAGTGGGCATCCTTTTCTTGCTCCAATTCTCAACCGGAGTCGTTCCAGCTTTTGCTCATTTATTATGATGTTAGCTGTGTATATATCACAGACGGTTCTTGCTATTTTGAAAAATGTTTCTTGAATGCCTACTCTGTCAAGAGTTTTATCATGAAGTGATTATACTGAAAGCTTTTTCTTCATCTGTTGAGATCATATGGTTGTTTTGTTTGTTTGAGACAGGATCTTGGTCTGTTGCCCAGGCTGGATTGCGGTGTCACAATCATGTCTCACTGCAGCTTCAATCTTCCAGTCTCAAACAATCTTCCCATCCCAGGCTACCAAGTAGCTGGGACTACAGGTGTGTGCCACCATGCCCGGCTAGTTTTTGTATTTTTTGTAGAAATGGGGTCCAACTATGTTGTCTGGTCTGGTTTCAAACTCTTGGGCTCAAGCAAAATGATTATATATTTTTGTTTTTTATTCTGTTTCATGTGAATCACATTTATTATGTATTTATTGCTTATGTTGAACCAACCTTGCATCCCAGCAATAAAACCTATTTACTTGAGATAAATTAACTTTTTCATGTGCTGCTAAATTTGGTTTGCTAGTATTTTGTTGAGGATTTTTGCATCTGTGATCATCAGAGATATTGGCTTGTAATTTTCTTTTTTTCTGCCTCTGCCAGATTTTGCTATCAAGCTGATACTTGCTTCATAGAATAAGCTAGGGAAAAACTCCCTTATTGTCAATAGTTTGGAAAAGTTTCAGTAGGACTTGTATCATTTCTTTGTACATCTATTAGAATTTGGCTGGTCTTTTTACTTGACAGGTTTTTTATGACTGATTCAATTTCTGAACTGTTAATTGGTCTGTTTAGATTTTTACTTTACTTTCTTCATGCAGTGGAATGATTCAATATCGGGAGGATTGTGTTTCTAGGAAGCTACCCATTTTCTCTAGATTTTCTAATTTGTATGCATGGAAGTGTTCATAAGAGTCTCTGTGGATCTTTTGTGTTTCTCTGTGATCAGCTGTAATGTCATCTTTTTCATTTCTGATTGTGCTTATTTGCACCTTCTCTCTCTCTTTTTTTCTTTCAAATCTAGCACTATAAATTTTCCTCGGTAAGTTTTACACTGCTTTGGTGACATCTCAAAGGTTTTGGTAAGTTGTCTCTATTTTCATTAATTTCATATAATTTTTTTCATTTCAGCCTTAATTTTATTGTTTACCTAAGAGTTATTTATGAACAACTTGTTTAAATTTTATGTTTCTGTATAGTTTATAAAAATATGCTTTTTATCAAATTACTGTAAATTATAGATAGATTAAAAGAAACGAATTCTTATATTGGGAAAACAAAGTATTTCAGCAAAGGATCAATAATGTTTCAAATAATAATAACACTATCTTCATCAATTATTTCATATCATGGAATATCATTACCTTTTGTTTGGCTTGATCTTAATAAGTAGTTTTATAAACCCACCAGTTTTTTAAAATTAAAATTCTATAAATTTTGTGTATTCATCTCAATTTCAATTTTAATTTTAGACTAAAGAGTATATTTGCAAGTTTGTTACATGGGTATATTGTGTGATATTGAGGTTTGGGGTTCAAATGATGCTGTCATCCAGATAATGACTAGAATACCCAAAAGGCAGACTGGCCCTTTTACTATTTTCTCTCTTCCCCTTGTACCAGTCCCCAGTGTCTTTTTACCCATCTTTATGTCCATGCATACTCAATGTGTACCTCCAATTTATCAGTGAGAACTTGTAGGACTTAGTTTTCTGTTCCTGTGTTAATTCACTTGGGATTATGGCCTCCAGCACCAACCATGTTGCTGAAAGGACAAGATTTCATTTGTTTTATGACTGTGTGGTATTCCCTGGTAGGAATGTAACACAGTTTATTTATTTATTTAATTTTCAAATTTACTCTTGATGGGCACCTGGGTAGATTTCATGTCTTTGCCATTGTGACTAGAGCAGCAAAGAAAATACTTATGTATGTGTCTTTTTGGTAGAATGCTTTATTTTCCTTACGGTATACACCTAATAATGGGATGGCTGGGTCACATGGTAGATCTGTTTTAAGTTCTTTGAGAGATCTTTAAACTGCTTTTCACTGTGACTGGAGTAACTTCATGTGTATTCCCACCAACAGTGTATAAGCATTCCCTTTTCTCCACATCCTCATCAGCATCTGTTGTTTATTATCTTAAACATTCTGACTGATGTGAGTTGGTATGTCATTGTGGTTTTGATTTGATTTGCATTTCATTCTTTCATATGTTTGGTGGCAACCGTATGTCTTCTCTCGAGATGTGTCTGTTCATATCCTTTGCCCATTTTTTAAATGGAGTTATTTGGTTTTTTGCTTGTTAATTTGTTTAAGATCCCTATAGATTCTAGACATTAGGTCCTTGTCAGATGCATAGTTTGTGAATATCTTCTTTCATTCTGCAGGTTTTTTGCTATGGTCTCCCTCCTTCCCTTCCTCCCTCCCTCCCTCCCTCCTTCTCCTCCACCTCTCTCTCTCTCTTTCCTTCTTTTTTTTGAGATGGAGATTGCCCAGGCTGGAGTGCAGTGATACAATCTCAACTCACTGCAACCTCCACCTCCCAGGTTCAGGCAATTCTCATGCCTCAGCCTCCCGAGCAGCTGAGATTACAGTTCTCAGTCACCATATCAGCACATTTTTTTTTTTTTTGTATTTTTAGCAGAGTTTTACCACTTTAGCCATGCTGGTCTTGAACTCCTGACCTCAGGTGATCCACCCCCTCCCTTGGCCTCCCAGAGTGCTGGGATTACAGGCATGAGCCACGGTGCCCAACCAATAGTTTCTTTTGGTGTGCAGAAGCTCTTTAGTTTAATTAGTTTTCACTTGCTTATTTTGGTTTCTGTTTCAATTTCTTTTGGGGATTTAACAAAAATTATTTGCCAAGGGTGATATTAAGAAGATTTCCTAGGTTGTCTTCCAGAATTTGTATAGTTCAAGTTCTTACACTTGAATCTTTTTCCATTTAGAGTTACTTTTCTATATGGTGAAAGGTAAGGATCCAGCTTCAATCTTCTGCATATGGCCAGCCAGTTACCCTGGCAATATTTATTGAATAGGGAATCTTTTCTCTCTTGTTTATTTTGATGGGCCTTATCAAACATCAGGTGGTTGTAGGTGTGCAACTTTGTTTCTGAGTTTTCTAATTTGTTCCCTTCATCTATGTGTACATTTTTGTAATACTACCAAGTTTTTTGGTTACTGTGGCTTTATAGTATAATTCAAAGTCAGGTAGTGTAATGTCTCTAGCTTTGTTCTTTTTGCTTAGGATTGCTTTGGCTATTTGGGCTCTTTTTTGCTTCCATATGAATTTTAGAATAGTTTTCTGTCATTCTATGAGGAATAACACTGGTAATTTATTTAAAAATAGCTTTGAATCTGTAAATTGCTTTGAGCAGTATGGTCATTTTTATGATATTGAGTCTTCCAATCCATGAGCATAAGATGTATTTTCCTATGTCTGTGTCATCTCTGATTTCTTTCAGTGATGTTTTACAGTTTCCTTGTAGCCATCTTTCACTTCCCTCATTAGCTGTATTTCTAGGTATTTCATTTTCTTTGTGGCTGTTGCAATGGGGATTCTGTTCTCAGTTTCATTCTAAGACTGGATATTGTTGGTGTTACAAATGGTATTGATTTTTTCACATTGACTTTGTATCCTGAAACTTTACTAAAATCATTTATAAGTTCTAGGAAGTCTTTGGCAGAGTCTTCAGGATTTCCGAGGTATATAATCATATTGCCCGTGAAGAGGGATAGTTTGACTTTGTTTCTTATTTGGATGTCTTTATTCTTTCTCTTGCCTGATTGCTCTGGCTAGGATTATCAGTACTTTGTTGAATAGGAGTTGTGAGAGACGGCATCCTTGTCTTGTGCCAGTTCTCAAGGGGAATGGTTCCGGCTTCTGTCCATTCAGTATGATGTTGGCTGTTTGCTTTTTATAAATGGCTCTTATAATTCTGAGGTATGTTCCTTTATTATTCCTTATAATATATATTATAATCAATAGTATAATATTATTTATTATTATTGTACTTTTGAGTGTTTGTATAAAGAATGGAGGTTGGATTTTACTGAAAGCTGTGTCTATTGTATGGTTTTTGTTTTTTATTCTGTTTATGTGGTAAATCACATTTATTGATTTGTATATGTTGAGCCACTCTTATATGCCAGAAAGCAAGCCTACTTGATTATGACAAATTAACATTTTGATGTGCTGCTAAATTTGATTTGCTAGTATTTTGTTGAGAATTTTTGGCACCTATGTTCTTCAGGGATATTGGCCTGAAATTTTCTTTCTTTGTCATGTCTCTGCTAGATTTTGGCTACCAGGGTGATGTTGGTTTCATAGAATGAGTTGGGTAGAGTCCTTTCTCCTTGAGTTTTTAGAATAGTTGGAGTAGGATTGGTACCAGTTCTTTATATATCTGGTAGAATTTGGCTGTGAATTCATGTGGTTTTACATTTACATTTTTTGTTTTACATTTTTTGGTTGGTAGGTTCTTTATTACAGATTCAACTTCAGGGTTCCTTTCTGTCTGATTCAATGTTGCGAGATTGTGTGTCTCCATAAATTTATCCATTTGCTCTAGATTTTCCAATTTGTGAAGCTTAGTTTGTCAGAATATGAAATTTTTTATTAGAGTTTCTTTTCTATAAGTACACTAAAAATAGACACCCCTCCCCCTCAATCTCTTTGGCTTACAGGGTTTCTGCTGAGAAGCCTGCATAGCATTTCCTCTGTAGGTGACCTACCCTTTCTCTCTAGCTGCCTTTAAGATTTTTTTCTTTTGTATTTACCCTGTGGAATCTGATGATGATGTGCCTTGGGGATGGAAGTCCTGTATTGTACTTGACTAGGGCTCTCTATATTTCTCGTATTTGCATGTCAACTTCTGATTAGGCAAATTTTTGTGGACTATATATGAGGAAATTTTGTGGAAAATATCAAGTATATTTTCCAAGTTGCTTATTTTCTCTTATTTCTCAGGAATGCTGATGAGTCACAGATTTTGTCTCTTTACATAATTTGATATTTCTGAGAGGTTTTGTTCATTTCTGTTAATTCCATTTTCTTTATTTTTGTCTGGCTGAGTTTATTCCAAGAACTTATCTCTGAGCTTTGAGATTCTTACCTCAGCTTGGCCTATTCTCTTGTAATACTTCCAATTGTATTATGAAATTCTTGTAGTGAATTTCAATAGGTTTTAGAATTTCAGTATGAAACTTTATTAAAATGGTTATTTTGTGTGTCAGTCCTTGAACGATTTTAGTGGATGGCTTGGCTTTCTTGAACTGAGTTTCAACTTTCTCCTTGATCTCATTGAGCTTCTTTGCCATCTAGACTCTGAATTCTGTGTTTGTCATTTCAGAAAATTCAGACTGATAAGGAACCATTACTGGGGACCTAGTGGATGTGTTTGCAAGTTAGGGGACTGTCTAGCTTTTTGAATTGCTAGACTTCTCATGCTGATTCTTTCTCATTTAAGAGGGACTGTAGTCCTTCAATTGTGGTATAATTTGAGAACAGTTAGTTGGGTTCATTTCTGGAAGTTTTCAGAGGGCTAACACTCTATACATGGTCCTTGCTTTGAATTCTTGCTTTTGGTTTCACTGAGGGGAAAATTAGTAGTGGTTTTTTGGTTGTTTGGGCTGAGATCATGTAGGAGATGATGCTTGAGAGCAGCAATGGGCAGTAGATGGGCTCTTGCTCAAGCACGTGGGTTCCATAGGTATCCTGATATTTGCAGCTGTGCAGCTCCCACTTCAGCCCACTAACCTGTGTGATGCAGTCCTCTCAGTTTTCTGAATGTGGGCTCCTCCCCTAGTCAAGGGGGAGAGAGGTGACTGCCTCACCACATCTGCTCATTTACCTTAGCAAAATGACCCTCAATCACTGTCCCTGTGCCCACAATTTTGTTTGTTGTTGTTGTTGTTAGGTCTTCCAGGCTGCAGTGCTCTCTTGAGGGGAGGTCTGGTAGGGAAATAGGCTACATGTTTAACGGACCAACCCTGTGGAGGGATGCATACCTAGGTCCCACTTCAGCCCATGAACCTGTGTGATGCAGCCCTCTCAGTTTGCTGAATGTGGTCTCCTCCCCTAATCAAGTGCCAAGCACAGATCCAAGCTCAACATTCCTAAGTCACAGGCAGCAGTCCCGGATGTGAGGTCTTGTGGGTGGCTCCCTCCTCTAGACACTCAAGATTTGGTTCTGGTTGTGGTGGGGGATCAGAAGAGCTCCCAGGCTGTGTAGTCAGGTGAAGCAAAGCGCCTAGGGTGGACACGGGAGGCTGCACTGTGTACATATTCTTATGGGGCAGCTAGGCAGGAACCCTGAGAGAGGCTAGAAGGCTGGAAGGCCTGCAGGACAGACATGCCCCAGTCCCATGGGGAAGCAGGCCCTGCTTTCTCCCCAGTGGTTAGTTGGGGCCAGAGCTTCTCAGAGTGAGATGGGCTGCCTTGGAGCAGGTGGCACCTGTGCATAGGCTTTGCTTGAGCTGATTCAAGCTCAAAGGTTCCTGGTTCTGGCCTGGCAGTGGCTCATGCCTATAATGCCTGCACTTTGGGAGGCCAAAGCAGGTGGATAAATTTGAGGTCAGGAGTTCAAGACCAGCCTGGTCAACATGGCAAAACCCTGTTTCTATAAAAATACAAAAATTAGCCAGGGGTGGTGGCAGGCACCTATAATCCCAGCTACTTGTGAGGCTGAGGCAGGAGAATTGCTTGAATCTGGGAGGGGGAGGTTGCAGTGAGCCAAGGTCACACCACTGCTCCCCAGCCTGCGCAACAGAGCAAGACTCCACCTCAAAAACAAAAAAAGTTCTTTTTTCTGTGTTTGCCGCAGCTCCATCTCTGTGTAATCTCCAGGGAGATCTCCCTGATAGCTCACACATCCATGGCGGTGTGAGATCCCCTACAGCTGGTATCCCAGGTGTCTGCATGAAGAGTGAGCTGTCCCTTTGTGCCCCAGTCACCCCTTTCCCAACCACCATTCAGGGTCAAAATCAGCCATAGCATTCAGATAGTTCATGCAGAGTCCCTAGCTTTCTTCATCTGCAGCCTAGGCATCTGCATTTTTCTTCATCTGCATTTGGTGTCTTCTCTCAGAAGCTGTGTTCAAATTATGCTGATGTAGTCAAAATCATGGTGTCACTCTGTGGAAGTGGTACTTGCTAGCTGCATCTAGTGAGCCATCTTGGAGATAAACCTCTGTTTGGGTCTTTAAATCTAAATTATTTTGTAGACAACACATACTTGCATTCCTGTTTTGTTATGTTTTGTCTTGTATTTTTAACCATTCATGAATTTCTGTGTTTTGATTAGATAATTTAATTCATTTACATTTAAAAAATCAATCATAAGGAAGAACTTATTTCTACCAATTTGCTACTTATATTTTTATGCTCTACACCTTTTTGTTCCTTCTTTTCTACATTACTGCCTTTGTGTTTAGGTGATTTTTGGTAATAAGCAGTTGCCATTTTTTTCTAATTTTCTTTTGTGTATATGTTATAACTATTTTGTTCGTAGTTGCCATAAGAATTATTTATAACACTATACTTTGAATTTATAGCAAGTTTGTTTTAATAGCATACAAAAATTCTGCTCCTATAACTATCATCAGTACCTAAATTCTATCCGGTATTGATGTCACAAAATTGCTTCCTACTGAATTGAGTGTCCAAAGTGGATGTTTTTGCATTAATGTTGAAATAATGTTGACAACAAAACAGGGAGTCAAAGACCAAAGTTAAATAGTACTATCTTTTACATTTCATTTACTTTGGCCATAAGGCTTCATTTTTTCTTTTACTTACTCTCTAGTGCTCTTTCATTTCAACCTGAAGTACTATTTTTAGTGGAAAGTAGAAAAAAGTCTAGTGGTAATAACTTCCATGGAAAGTCTAGTGGTAATAAACTCCCTCAGCTTTTATTTATCTGAGGATAGCTTGATAACTTAATTTCTTCCTTATTTAGAAGACAGTTTTGCTGGATTTAGAATTCAAAGTTGACAGATTGTTTTTCTTTCAATATTTTGATTATTAACCTATTTCCTTCTTGCCTCCAAGTTTTCTGATAAAATATCTGCTCGCATTCTTAATAAAGATGCTTTGTATGTGGCAAGTCATTTTTCTCTCTGACTTCAAACTCGCTTAGTCTTTGACAAGTTTGATTATAAAGTGTGTAGATGTAGGTTTCTTTGAGTTCATTCTACTTGGAAGTCATTGAACTTTTTGAATGTTTATATTCATGTATTTTCTCAAAATTTCAGTTTTCAGCCATTATTTCTTCAAATAATCCCCCCACTCCCTCCTTCCCTCTTTTCCTTCTTTCCTTCCTTCCTCTGGAACTCCAGAGTGTCTATGTTGGTCTGCCTGATGGGGTCCCATATGTGCCTTAGGCTCTATTTACTTTTCTTCAATATTTTTCTTTAATACATTTTTTTCCATCATCAACTTTTCTGATACTTTCTTCTGTGTGCTCAAATCTGCTTTTGAACCCCTCTAGTAAATTTTTTACCTCTGTAGTGAAAATACAGTTCAGTTCAGAATTTCTTTTTGGTTCCTTTCTATGTTTTTTTTTCTTTTTTTTTTTTTTTGTGAGACACAGTTTCACTCTTTCACCCAGGCTAGAGTGAAGTAGCATGATCTTGGCTCGCTGTAACCTATTCCACCCAGGTTCAAGTGATTCTCCTCCCTCAGTCTCCCCAGTAGCTGGGATTACAGGCACCTGCCACCATGCTCGGCTAATTTTTGTATTTTTAGTAGAGAATGGGTTTCACCATATTGGTCAGACTGGTCTCAAACTCCTGACCTCAGGTGATCCCCCAACCTTGGCCTCCCAAAGTGCTAGGATTTACAGGCATGAGCCACTGCGCCCAGCCTGTTTTCTATTTTTAATTTATATTTATATTTTGTTCACACATCATTTTCTTGAATTTGTCCATGTGTTTCTTTTACTCTTTAACCATCTTTTAAACAGTTGGTTTAATACCTTTGTCTAATAAGTCTGCCATCTGATCTTTCTCAGAGTTTTTTCTGTTTATATTTTCCTTTAAATGAGCCACACTTTTTTGTTTCTTGGTAGGCCTTATGTTGTTTGTTGAAAGCTGGATATTTGAATCTTAAAATGTACGTGCCCTGAAAATCAGATTGTTTGCCCATTGTATTTATTTTATTGTTGCAAGGTGTCTGTGTGTCAGGGATTGGCTTTCACAGAAGTATAAACACGAAGTCTTCTCATGTCTATTCTAAGTTGTGCCTTACCTTGGGCAGCAAAGCTGCTGACTTTCTAAATTCTTCTACATTTGTAGTAGCTAGATTTTGGGAGTTCTAGCCTTTCAATCCTAGTCTGAATGCTAACAGGATGAAAAGGAAAAGTAAGCAGACTAAAGATGGCTTTAGCTCTTACATCCCCTAGAATACTCTTCAGTCAGGGCATACTGCAAAAATGGTGAATTGACTTTGTGCCTTTACCTCTTTTATTAGACGCAGCAATCAGCCATTTCTGATATCTGGATAATAAGGTCCTTGTTTCCCTCCTTGACTTCTGCATGTCACATGCAAGCTGCTCCAGGAACATGGGTAGGGCTGCTTGTCATGGTAATTAGGGTTGGAGTTGAGTCATGTGGTCATGCTATATTCATCTAAGAGCTAAGAGCTGAATTACTGGAAATCAACTGAAATTTAACAATAAAGTTTGACCTTGGAAGTGACAAATTACCAGATAGACTCCAGAGTTCTGCGATAGTTACATCAAACAGGTTCTGCCAGTAGAATTGTTATTTTGGGGAGGAGATTGGTTTCTAGCACTTTCTACTGTGCTGTCTTCCCTTACCCCCCTCCCTCAATAAAGTTTTAAAACATTAAAATTTCCTGTTTCAATTTCTACTTAGGATAGAGTAAGCACATTTTATTCTCCCTTTGTCTGACTATGATAATATCCTGGACATTATGTAGCTACTAGAAAATTCAAAAAGGAGGGCAATAGTGGACAGGCTGGGGAGAAAATTAAAGTCTTTTGGGTTCTTGAAACATTTTGTTTTGTGTTGTCTTTAGGTACTATATATCTCATGTAATTTCTGGGGAGAACTGAAATCTGAAACCAAGGGAAGGCACAGACAGGGGAAACTTCTAGAAGAAACTTTGGAAACCAGAGACTGGAGGGAAGAGCTAAAAGAGTAAGTGATTTAACCTATATATAAAATTCTGAGCTGTATGTAATGTTCCTTTTTAGCCAGTGGACAGGCATAAAAGAAGAAAAAACAAGGCTGGGTCAAAAAAGAAATTTTTGGAAGTTTCCGTATCCTACACTAGTCCAAAGCCTAAAAAGCAAAATCTACCTACTGCCATCAGCTACTCTAATGGTTACTACAGGAGAAAGGTTGGTTACCTCTCTGTGAGCTATGCATTAGCAGCAACAGTGATTCCAGGGCAAATATCTGTGCTTCTCACCATCTACATTAGGCAACTGGCAACAGCTGGGCAAAACTCTTCTGCATCCCCATCAGCAGCATTTGTCCCAGTAAAGTAGAGATCTGTTGACCTTATATTGCAAACCAGGTGAGCCTCAGCAATTCAATTACAGCTTCTTTCTCCAAACTGGTAGTAGTAGGCACTGAGTTGGATATATGTTGAGTCTCTTCACTCTGGCAATTACTGGCAATCAGGTGACAACTCTCAGAGATCTGTTACATTTTCCCTCATCTTATTAGGCAAGTTCCACTAGTGAAGTGGTTGCTGTACCATCCTCAGATACACTGAAAATATCTAAAGACAGAAGATCTACAGACTCTTTCCACCCTATACCAATTACGTGACATTGGCACTTAGTTTGCCAGAACCCAAGAAAGGGAAACACTGAGAACCACAGACTGGAGGGAGGAGCTAAGAGGGTAAATGAATTTACCTGCATATTAAATTCTGAGCTGTACATATGTAACACCATATTAAGAGAAATAAACATTCCCATGAAGATTTTAATAAGACTAGAATCCCAAAACATATTTTAAATGTTCAAAATACAATCTAAAAATACACAATAAAAATTATGCAGAAAATGTCATAAAATCAACTCATGACAATCAAGAGTATTTTGAGCATTTCAGAGTAAATGACAACAACACCAGTATATTTGGTGGAAGAAGCTCCATGGTATAAGGAGATAACACAAAAAACCAATACATTTGAAAATAAGAATTGTCCAAACTGAACAACCAAAAAATTAGAAAAAAAAATAGGCACCAAGAAACATTTAGAATAATATAAATATATCATTTCTGTTTTTTTACATTTGCTGAGGAGGACTTTACTTCCAACTATGTGGTCAGTTTTGGAATAAGTGTGATGTGGTGCTGAGAAGAATGTATATTCTGTTGATTTGGGGTGGAGAGTTCTGTAGATGTCTATTAGGTCTGCTTGGTGCAGAGCTGAATTCAATTCCTGGATATCCTTGTTAACTTTCTTTTTTTTTTTCTTTTTTTTTTTGAGACGGAGTCTCGCTCTGTCGCCCAGGCTGGAGTGCAGTGGCGGGATCTCGGCTCACTGCAAGCTCCGCCTCCCGGGTTCATGCCATTCTCCTGCCTCAGCCTCCCAAGTAGCTGGGACTACAGGCGCCCGCCACTACGCCCGGCTAATTTTTTGTATTTTTTTTTAGTAGAGACGGGGTTTCACCGTTTTAGCCGGGATGGTCTCGATCTCCTGACCTCGTGATCCGCCCGCCTCGGCCTCCCAAAGTGCTGGGATTACAGGCGTGAGCCACCGCGCCCGGCCTCCTTGTTAACTTTCTGTCTCATGGATCTGTCTGATATTGACAGTGGGGTGTGAAAGTCTCCCATTATTATTGTGTGGGAGTCTAAGTGTCTTTGTAGGTCTTTAAGGACTTGCCTTATGAATCTTGCTGCTCCTGTATTGGGTGCATATATATTTAGGATAGTTAGCTCTTCTTGTTTAATTGATCCCTTTACCATTATGTAATGGCCTTCTTTGTTTCTTCTGATCTTTGTTGGTTTAAAGTCTGTTCTGTCAGAGACTAGGATTGCAATCCCTGCTTTTTTGTTTTGTTTTGTTTTCCATTTGCTTGGTAGATCTTCCTCCATCCCTTTATTTTGAGCCTATGTGTATCTCTGCACATGAGATGGGTCTCCTGAATAAAGCACACTGATGGGTCTTGACTGTTTACAATTTGCCAGTCTGTGTATTTTAATTGGATCACTTAGCCCACTTACATTTAATGTTAATATTTTTATGTATGAATTTGATCATGTCATTATTATGTTAGCTGGTTATTTTGCTTATTAGTTGATGCAGTTTCTTCTTAGCATTGATGGTCTTTACAATTTGGCATGTTTTTGCAGTGGCTGATACTGCTTGTTCCTTTCCATGTTTAGTGCTTCCTTCAGGAGCTCTTGTAAGGCAGATCTGATGGTGACAAAATCTCTTACCATTTGCTTCTCTGTAAATGATTTTATTTCTCCTTCACTTGTGAAGCTTAGTTTGGCTGGATATGAAATTCTGGGTTGAAAATTCTTTTCTTTAAGAATGTTGAATATTGGTCCCCATTCTCTTCTGGCTTGTAGAGTTTCTGCCGAGAGATCCACTGTTAGTCTGATGGGCTTCCATTTGTGGGTAACTTGACCTTTCTCTCTGTCTTCCCTTAGTATTTTTTCCTTCATTTCAACTTTGGTGAATCTGACAATTATGTGTCTTGGAGTTGCTCTTCTGAAGGAGTATCTTTGGATAGGAAGAATCAATATCATGAAAATGGCCATACTGCCCAAGGTAATTTATAGATTCAATGCCACTCCCATCAAGCTACCAATGACTTTCTTCACAGAATTGGAAAAAAACTACCTTAAAGTTCACATGGAACCAAAAAAGAGCCCACATTGCCAAGACTATCCCAATCCAAAAGAATAAAGTTGGAGGCATCACGCTACCTGACTTCAAACTATACTACAAAGCTACAGTAACCAAAACAGCATGGTACTGGTACCAAAACAGAGATATAGACCAATGGAACAGAACAGAGCCCTTAGAAATAACACCAAATGTCTACAGCCATCTGATCTTTGACAAACCTGACAAAAACAAGAAACGGGGAAAGGATTTCCTATTAGTAAATGGTGCTGGGAAAACTGGCTAGCCATATGTAGAAAGCTGAAACTGGATCCCTTCCTTACACCTTATACAAAAATTAATTCATGATGGATTAAAGACTTAAATGTTAGACCTAAAACCATAAAAACCCTAGAAGAAAACCTAGGCATTCCCATTCAGGACATAGGCATGGGCAAGGACTTCATGTCTAAAACACAAAAAGCAATGGCAACAAAAGCCAAAATTAGCAAATGGGATCTAATTAAACTAAAGAGCTTCTGCACAGCAAAAGAAACTACCATCAAAGTGAACAGGCAATGTACAGAATGAGAGAAAAATTTTGCAACCTACCCATTTGACAAAAGGCTAATATCCAGAATCTACAAAGAATTTAAACAAATTTACAAGAAAAAAATCAAACAACCCCATCAAAAAGTGGGCAAAGGATATGAACAGACACTTCTCAAAAGAAGACATTTATGCAGCCAATAGACACATGAAAAAATGCTTATCATCACTGGTCATCAGAGCAATGCAAATCAAAACCACAATGAGATACCATCTCATGCCAGTTAGAATGGTGATCATTAAAAAGTCAGGAAACAAAAGGTGCTGGAGAGGATGGGAAGAAATAGGAACACTTTTACAGTGTTGGTGGGATTGTAAACTAGTTCAACCATTGTGGAAGACAGTGTGGCTATTCCTCAAGGATCTAGAACTAGAAATATCATTTGACCCAGCCATCCCATTAATGGGTATATACCCAAAGGATTATAAATCATACTGCTATAAAGACACACGCACACGTATGTTTATTGCAGCACTATTCACAATAGCAAAGACTTGGAACCAACCCAAATGTCCATCAAGGATAGACTGGATTAAGATACTGTGGCACATATACATTGTGGAATTCTAAGCAGCCATAAAAAAGGATGAGTTCATGTCCTTTGTAGGGACATGGATGAAGCTGGAAACCATCATTTTCAGCAAACTATCTCAAGGACAGAAAACCAAACACCTCATGTTCTCACTCATAGGTGGGAATTGAACAATGAGAACACTTGGACACTGGGTGGGGAACACCACACACTGGGGCCTGTTGTGGGGTGGGGAGAGGGGGGAGGGATAGCATTAAAAGATATACCTAATGTAAATGATGAGTTGATGGGTGCAGCACACCAACATGGCACATGTATACATATGTAACAAACCTGCATGTTGTGCACATGTACCCTAGAACTTACAGTATAATAATAGAAAAAGAATAACATAAAAATATCTATCATCCATCCAAAATATCTAATATTCCAAAAAGAAAAATTGGTTTAGAATAATATCTTAGAAAATAATGGCTTAATATTTTGAAAACTTGAATGAAATACCAAACTTACATATTAAAAAACCTCAGCAAACACCAGACTAACTCCAAAACTCCCACATTTAGACATATTGTAATATAACTACATGAAACAAAAGATAAATAATATTTGAAAGGAAAAGAGAAAATTACATATAGAGTAACAAAGGTGGAAACAACTTTGACTCTTTCATCATAAATCAGCTGGAAGACACTTGAACAACATTTAAAAATTACCAAAAGAAAAAAATTACCAAGCACAGCTCTATCTTTATTGAACATACCTTTCAGTATCAAAGACGAAATAAAGACTTGGATACAGAAAAAAAGAGAATTCATAACCACAACATAGTTTTAAAAACATATATTTAGAGAAACAAGCAGCAAGGGTAGTGAAAATAAAGAGAAACCAGGAATGCCAGAAATAAAGAGGAGGAAAATAATTTAAAAATCTGTGTAAAATAGGCTACTTTTGTCTCTTAAGCTGATCTTACCTATTAAATTTTTGAAATGTGAAAAAAATGAAAAAATTATTATAATATTGTTAATAAGATTTCCTTGTTTGAAAATGTAACAATTAAGTGAGCACATACTAAAGGAATGTGGCAATAAAACATATAGGGTTGTGAGGTTTCTATATTTTAATTGAAATGGTAAGCATTATTTCTAAGTAAATTGTATAAAGTTTGTTATGTATGTTGTATACCCAGAGGATCCACCTTAAAAAGTGTAAATTTTAATGCATGTTAAAAGTATTATACACAATTACCAGTGATCTTGTTCCTGGAATGAAAGAATGTCAATGTACAAACATCAGTTGAATGTACCACATTACTCAAATGAAGATAAAATACCACATGGCCATTGAAGTTGGTGAAGAAAAAGCATTTGACAACCTGTAATACTCTTTCATCATAAAAACACTCAACAGACTAGAAACAGAAAAATTTTCCTCACACAATAAAGACTATATACAAAAACCCACAGCTGCTAGTAGTCAATACAGGAAAACTAAATACTTTTCCTCCAAGATCAGAAAGAGAACAAGGATGTCAAGTTCTAATACTTCCACACAGTACTGGAAGAACTCTTCAGAGCAATCAAGCAGGAAAAAGAAACTAAAAGCATCCAAATTGAAAAGAAAAAAGTAAAATAGGCCCAGGAATGGTGGCTCACTCCTATAATCCCAAAACACTGGGAAGCTGAGGAGGGAGTATTAGTTGAGGCCAGGAGTTTCAGACCAAGCTGGGCAATACAGTGAAACATCATCTCTACAACAATTTTTATTTTAAAAAGAAAATTAGCCAGATGTAATGGTGTATGCCTGTAGTCCAAGCAATATGGGAGGCTGAGGTGGGAGGATAGCTTAAGTCCAGCAGTTCAAGTTTGCAGTGGCCTATAGTCAAACTGCTATACTCCAGATTGGATGACAGAGCAAGAGGCTGTCTGTTAAAAAAAAAAAAAAATCTGTGTTTGCAGACAGGATGATCTTATATGTAGAAAGTCTGAAAAGTACACACACACACATACACACACACACACACACACACACATCCTCTTGAAATTAATAAAGTCAGAAAGTTGTATTATACAAAATCAAAGAAACACAAATCAGTTGCATTTTATGGACTATTATTTAACAAACTGAAAAAACTTAAGTAAACAATTCTACTTACAGTAGCACTAAAAAGATTAAACACTTGGTGATAAATGTAGCAAATAATATAAAACAATTGTATTATTAAAACTACAAAACATTGATGTCTGGCTGGGTGACATGGCTCATGCTTGTATTTCCAGCACTTTGGGAGGTCCAGGTGAGCAAATCATCTGAGGTTAGTAATTCCAGACTAGCCTGGCCAAACCTGGTGAAACCCCAACTCTACTAAAAATACAAAAATTAGCCAGGCTTGGTGGTGGGTGCCTGTACTCCCAGGTACTCAGAAGGTTGAGGCAGGAGAATCGCTTGAACCCAGGAGGCGAACATTGCGGTGAGCTGAGATTGAGCCACTGCACTCCAGCCTGGGTGACAGAGTGAGACTCTGTCTCAAACAACAACAAAACAACAACAACAACAACAAAAACCCCCATACTAAAATGTACAACGAGTCTTCAGGCAAAACAGTCTTACACAAGAAGAACAAAGTTAGCCATCTCACACTTCTTCATTTCAATTTTTATTACAAAGCAATCAAATAGAATTTCACTGATACGAGAACAGACAAATAGAACAATAAAATACAATAGAGAGACCAGGAATAAACCTTCACACTTGGTGCAATGAACTTTGCCAAAGTTGGGAGAAAGCAAAGTCTTCAACAGTGCTTAGAAACAATAGCTATTCAGGCTAACTAGAGTAAACAGTGTAGAGAAGACCTTAAATGACCTGATGGAGCTGAAAACCACAGCATGAGAACTTTGTGATGCATGCACAAGCTTCAATAGCCAATTCAATCAAGTGGAAAAAAGGATATCAGTGATTGAAGATCAAATTAATGAAATAAAGTGAGAAGACAAGATTAGAGAAAAAAGAGTAAAAAGAAATGAACAAGTCCTCCAAGAAATATGGGACTATGTGAAAAGACCAAATCTGCGTTTGATTGGTGTACTTGGAAGTGATGGGGAGAATGGAACTAAGTTGGAAAACACTCTTCAGGATATTATCCAGGAGAACTTCCCCAGCCTAGCAAGGCAGGCCAATATTCAAATTCAGGAAATGCAGAGAACACCATAAAAATATTCCGCAAGAAGAGCAACCCCAGGAAACATAATTGTTAGATTCACCAAGGTTGAAAGGAAGGAAAAAATGTTAAGGGCAGCCAGAGAGAAAGGCTGGGTTACCCACAAAGGGAAGCCCATCAGACTAACAGTGGCTTTCTTGGCAGAAACCCTGCAGACCAGAAGAGAGTGGGGACCAATGTTCAACATTCTTAAAGAAAAGAATTTTCAACCCAGAATTTCATATCCAGCCAAACTAAGCTTCACAAGTGAAGGAGAAATAAAATCATTTACAGACAAGCAAATGGTAAGAGATTTTGTCACCATCAGATCTGCCTTACAAGAGCTCCTGAAGGAAGCACTAAACATGGAAAGGAACAAGCGGTATCAGCCACTGCAAAAACATGCCAAATTGTAAAGACCATCAATGCTAGGTAGAAACTGCATCAACTAACAAGCAAAATAACCAGCTAACATAATAATGACATGATCACATTCATACATAACAATATTAATGTTAAATGTAAATGGGCTAAATGCTCCAATTAAAATACACAGACTGGCAAATTGGGTAAAGAGTCAAGTCCCATCAGTGTGCTGTATTCAGGAGACCCATCTCATGTGCAGAGATACACATAGGCTCAAAATAAAGGGATGGAGGAAGATCTACCAAACAAATGGACAACAAAACAAAACAAAAAAGCAGGGGTTGCAGTCCTAGTCTCTGACAGAACAGACTTTAAACCAACAAAGATGAAAAGAGACAAAGAAGGCCATTACATAATGGTAAAGGGATCAATTAAACAAAAAGAGCTAACTATCCTAAATATATATGCACCCAATACAGGAGCACCCAGATTCATAAGGCAAGTCCTTAGAGACCTACAAAGAGACTTAGACTCCCACACAATAATAATCGGAGATTTTAATATCCCACTGTCAATATTAGACAGATCAACGAGACAGAAGGTTAACAAGGATATTCAGGGCTTGAACTCAGCTCTGCACCAAGCCGACCTAATAGACATCTACAGAACTCTCCACCCCAAATCAACAGAATATACATTCTTCTCAGCACCACATCAGACTTATTCCAAAATTGACCACATAATTAGAAGTATAGCACTCCTCAGCAAATGTAAAAGAACAGAAATAACAAGAAACCGTTTCTCAGACCATGGTGCAATCAAACTAGAACTCAGGATGAAGAAACTCACTCAAAACTGCACAATTACATGGAAACTGAACAACCTGCTCCTGAATGACCACTGGGTACATAACAAAATGAAGGCAGAATAAAGATGTTCTTTAAAACCAGTGAGAACAAAGACACAACATATCAGAATCTCTGGGACACATTTAAAGCAGTGTGCAGTGGGAAATTTATACACTAAATTCCCACAAGAGAAAGCAGGAAAGATCTAAATTCAACACTCTAACATCACAATTAAAAGAATTAGAGAAGCAAGAGGAAACAAATTCAAAAGCTAGCAGAAGACAACAAATAACTAAGATCAGAGCAGAAGTGAAAGAGATAGAGACACAAAAAACTCTTAAAAAAATCATTGAATCCAGGAGCTGGTTTTTTGAAAAGATCAACAAAATAGACCACTAGCAAGATTAATAAAGAAGAAAAGAGAGAAGAATCAAATAGATGCAATATAAAATGATAAAGGGGATATCACCACTGATCCCACAGAAATACAAACTACAATCAGAGAATACTATAAACACATCTACACAAATAAACTAGAAAATCCAGAAGAAATGGATAAATTCCTTGACACATACACCTCCCAAGACTAAACCAGGAAGAAGTTGAATCCCTGAGTAGACCAATAACAGACTCTGAATTGAGGCAATAATTCATATCTACCAACCAAAAAAGTCCAGGACCAGATAGATTCACAGCCAAATTCTACCAGAAGTACAAAGAGGAGCTGGTACCATTCCTTCTGAAACTATTCCAATCAATAGAAAAAGAGGGAATCCTCCCTAACTCATTTTATGAGGCCAGCATCTTCCCGGTACCAAAGCCTGGCAGACACACAACAACAACAAAAAAAGAGAATTTTAGACCAATATCCTTGATGAACATCAATGTGAAAATCCTCAAGAAAATACTGGCAAACCAAATCCAGCAGCATCAAAAAGCTTATCCACCAAGATCAAATGGGCTTCATCCCTGGCATGCAAGGCTGGTTCAACATACACAAATCAATAAACGTAATCCATTACATAAACAGAATCAAAGACAAAAACCACATGATTATCTCAATAGATACAGAAAAGGCCTTTAACCAAATTCAACAGCCTTTATGATAAAAACTCTCAATAAACTAGGTATTGATGGAATGTATCTCAAAATAATAAGAGCTATTTATGACAAACCCATAGCCAATATCATAATGAATGGGCAAAAACTGGAAGCATTCCCTTTAAAACTGGCACAAGACAGGGATGCCCTCTCACTACTCCTATTCAACATAGTGTTGGAAGTTCTGGCCAGGGCAATCAGACAGGAAAAGAAATAAAGGCTATTCAATTAGGAAGAGAGGAAATCAAATTGTCCCTGTTTGCAGATGACATGATTGTATATTTAGAAAACCCCATCATCTCAGCCCAAAATCTCCTTAAGCTGAGAAGCAACTTCAGCAAAGTCTCAGGATACAATATCAATGTGCAAAAATCACAAGCATTTTTATACACCAATAATAGACAAACAGAGACTGAAAATCATTAGTGAACTCCCATTCACAATTGCTTCAAAGAGAATAAAATACCTAGGAATCCAACTTACAAGGGATGTGAAGGAACTCTTCAAGGAGAACTACAAACCACTGCTCAATGAAATAAAAGAGGACACAAACAAACGGAAGAACATTCCATGCTCACAGATAGGAAGAATCAATATCATGAAAATGACCATACTGCCCAAGGTAATTTACTTATTCAATGCCATCCCCATCAAGCTACCAACGACTTTCTTCATAGAATTGGAAAAAACTACCTTAAAGTTCATATGGAACCAAAAAAGAGCCCGCATAGCCAAGGCAATCCTAAGCAAAAAGAACAAAGCTGGAGGCATCACGCTACCTGACTTCACACTATACTACAAGGCTACAGTAACCAAAACAGCATGGTACTGGTACCAAAACAGAGATAGACCAATGGAACAGAACAGAGTCCTCAGAAATAATACCACACATCTATAACCATCTGATCTTTGACAAACCTGACAAAAACAAGCAAATGGGAAAGGACTCTCTAAATAATAATGTTGCTGGGAAAACCGGCTAGCCATATGTAGAAAGCTGAAACTAGATCCCTTCTTTACACCTTATGCAAAAATTAACTCAAGATTGGATTAAAGACTTATGTATAATACCTAAAACCATAAAAACCCCAGAAGAAAACTTGGGGAATACCATTCAGGACCATGGGCTAACACTTCATGACTAAAACACAAAAGGCAATGGCAACAAAAGCCAAAATTAACAAATGGGATCTGATTAAACTAAAGAGCTTCTGCACAGCAAAAGAAACTACCATCAGAGTGAACATGCAACATACAGAATGGGAGAAAATTTTTGCAATCTACCCATCTGACAAAGGGCTAATATCCAGAATCTACGAAAAACTTAAACAAATTTACAAGAAAAAAACAAACCCATCAAAAAGTGGGCAAAGGATACGAACAGACACTTCTCAAAAGAAGACATTTATGCAGCCAATAGACACATGAAAAAATGCTCATCATGCAAATCAAAACCACAATGAGATACCATCTCACGCCAGTTAGAATGGTGATCATTGAAAAGTCAGGAAACAATAGATGCTGGAGAGGATGTGGAGAAATAGGAATGCTTTTACACTGTTGGTGGGACTGTAAACTAGTTCAACCACTGTGGAAGGCAGTGTGGCGATTCTTCAGGGATCTAGAACTAGAAATATCATTTGACCCAGCGATCCCATTACTGGGTATATACCCAAAGGACTGTAAAATCATGCCTCTATAAAGACATGTGCACACGTATGTTTACTGTGGCACTATTCATGATAGCAAAGACTTGGAACCAACCCAAATGTCCATCAATGATCGACTGGATTAAGAAAATGTGGCACATATATACCATGGAATACTAAGCAGCCATAAAAAAGGATGAGTTCATGCACTTTGCAGGGACACAGATGAAGCTGGAAACCATCATTCTGAGCAAACTATCACAAGGACAGAAAACCAAACACCGCATGTTCTCACTTATAGGTGGGAATTGAACAATGAGAACACATGGACACAGGGCGGGGAACATCACACGCTGGGGTCTGTCGGGGATTGGGAGCTGGGGGAGGGAGAGCATTTGGAGAAATACCTAATGTAAATGACTAACTGATGGGTGCAGCAAACCAACATGGCATATGTATACCTATGTAACAAACCTGCACGTTGGGTACATGTACGCTAGAACTTAAAGTATAATTTAAAAACAAAAAAAAGAAACAATAGCTATTCAAAAGAATGATGTTGGGCCTTTGCCTTGTATAATACACAAAAGTTAACTGAAAGTGTATTCAGGAGCTAAGTGTAAAACATAAAACTATAAAACTTTTCCAAGAAAATACAGGAGAATAGTGGCTCATGCCTATCCCAGCACTTTGGGAGGTTGAGGCTGTCAGATAACGATGTCAGGAATTTGAGGTTAGCCTGACCAATATGGTGAAACCCCATCTCTACTAAAAATGCAAAAAATTAGCTGGGTGTGCTAATGCATGCCTGTAATACCAGCTACTTGGGAGGCTGAGGCAGGAGAATTGCTTGAACCTGGGAGGTGGAGGATGCAGTGAGCCAAGATCTCACCACTGCACTTCAGCCTAGGCTACAGAGTGAGACTCTGTCTCAAAAAAAAAAAAAAAAAAAAAAAGAAAACACAGGAGAAAATAAGTTATGACAGTTGATATGGCAATGAATTCTAGGATATAGGACCAAAGCATAGGCAACAACAAAATTAGATATGTTGAAATTTATCAAAATTAAAAACTAGTTTATTCAAAAAAACTATCAATTGGGTTAAAAAGACAACCCACAAATAAGATATTTGTAGATTTCATATCTGAAAATAGATTAGTATCAAATATACATGTAAAAAACTTCAACAACTCAAAAAAAGTTTTTAAGTGGCCAAAGGGTTTAATAGACATTTCTCCAAAAAGGCTATACCAATAGCCTATTCTATATCACAAACCATTAAATAAATGTAAATCAAATCCATAACGAAATACTACCTTTTGGGATAGCTGTTATCAAAAAACAAAAAAGAAAGACTGAAAGAAATGTAAGAAAAAAACAATATGGCAAATGTTAGTGAATGCAGAGAAATGTGAATCTTTGTGCATTGATGGTAAAATATAAGATGATGTAGCCACTGTGAAAAACAGTTTGGCAGTGCTTCAAAGAGGTATAGAATTACCATATAAACCAAAAAAATCCATTTCTAGGTATTTTCCCCTACAGAAGTAAATGCAATTCTTTAAACATTATATAGTCTATTTGTGTTGCTATAAAGGAATACCTGAGGCTAGGTAACTTATAAAGAAAACAGTTTTATTTGCCTCATGGTTCTACAGACTGTATAAGCATGGCCCCAGGATCTGCTTCTGGTGGAGAGTCTCAAGGAGCTTCCACTCACGGCAGAAGATGAAGGGGAGTCAGCACGTGCAGAGATCACATGACAGGAAGAAGCAAGAGGAAGTGAGAGGAGGTGCCAGTTTCTTCTAACAACCAACTCTTAAGAGAATTCTCATGGAAACTGGTAGAGCAATAACTCACTCATTACTCATACTAAGTCATTCATGAAGGATCCACCCCATGATCAAAACTCCTCCTATCAGGGCCTATCTCTAACTTTGGGGCTCAATTTCAACATGATAAATATCAGGGTCAAAAAATCACATCCAAATGATTGCACAGATACTTGTATACCAATGTTCAGAGCAGCACTCTTCAAAATAGTCAAAAGATTAAAACAACCCAAATGTTGTCAACAGAGGAACAAATAAACATGTGTTATATACATATGAATAGAATATTATTCGGCCTTAAAGGGAATTAAAATTTGGATACATGCTATGACATGGATAAACTGTGGGGGAAAACTATGTAAAGTGAAAGAAACCAAACACAAATGGGCAAACATTTGTGTAGTGGAGGCAAACCTCCACTCATATGAGTTACCTAGATGAACAGGCAAATTTATAGAGACAGAAATTAGAGGCTATGAATGCTGGGGCAGAGTAATGAAAATTGTTGTTTTGTAAGTACAGAGTTTCTGTTTGGGATGATTTTTTAATGTTCTGGAAATTCATAGTTGTAATGTTTGCACAATATTGTACCTGTTCTGATTGCCTATGAATTGGAGAATAAAAGTTGTTTAAATAAAAACAATTGCATTAGCACACTTCAAAATACATATTTTAAAACCATAGAATTATAGTTTCTGTTTGGGTATGTAAGATGCTTGAAAGTTGTTCCTTCATCCTAGCAAGTAAAAAGCAAAACAAACTAAAAAATCAATAGTTCTTCTTAGATCTATTGGAAAACCGAGGTCACAGAACAAATTAATGCTGCCCCAAAATTAGAAAGAGACAGGAGAATATAGAGAATCACTGTTTACGGGTTATACAAGAGCAGAAATCACCACAGGAATTAGTACTCCAAAAGGAAAACCTAAACTATTGTGGATTAATTGCTGGAAACTTAGTACGGACAAGTCTGAGAACTAAAAGCCCCAGGGACACATAGGGGAGACCCAGCAATAGGAGGACCACACAAATTGTATTTTACCTCCAGAAGCTCTGCTAGTTTCTCACAGCAAAATCAGAGAAAAATCTACATATACTCCTTGTAGTGGTAGGAGGGAGATGGGAATTTGGAAGAACATCAGAATATTCGGAAGGTTGTTTAAGATGGCTGATTAGAAGCAGCTAGTAACTGCCTGTCTGATGCAGAGGAACCAAAATAGCGAGTAAATAATAAGACTCCAACTTGATTATCTAAGAGAGCATGCTGGGATTTACCAGAGAAGCAATGCGACCCATGAAAAGTAGAGGAGAGCAGAGCCAGGCAGGGAGGCTCCCTAATGTGGTAAAGGGATAAGCAAGTGAGAGACCCCCAGGATTCCACACCTCCACCACAGACCTTTACAATCCTAGTCAAAGGAAAGCCTTATACATCCCCCTGAGCCTCCAGATTTAAAAACAATGCTACCTGGGGACTGTGCAGAGGCAACACTATAGCTGACATGAATCCCATGGGTTTTTGACCCATGAGCAGCCATTACACCACCAAGGAGGGAGGCAAGGCACTTTCACATATCTCAAGACACATCCTACAGCCATGGTATGCAGGAGCAGGAGAAATGCATGACAACTTCTCACCTCCACTGCTCTTACCAAATGTGTCTTGCCTGTTTCAGGCCTCCAGCACAAGTGACTTGTACCTGCCTAAATACTACAGCTATGGCTTTGTGTTTCTCTGAGAGTCCAACTCCTAAAGACTACAAATACATGCTTCACATTTGCTGCCTCCACCTCCTCTAACACTGTCATCCCCAGTATAGGGAGGGATTGGGGAGACTCAGCACTCTTGCATGCCCCCAACAGATTGAAGATTCAAAGGATCAGCAGGTAGACTGCACACTACCTAAATCCCTGCCTTTGCTGCTTTCTACCAAACAGGACTTGCCTAATTCAGTGACATGCCTCCAGCACAGCTGCCCCAACCCCACCTGAACACTGCAGCTGCAGCTTGGTCTTCCTCTGAGAGCTCAACTCCAAGAGGCCACTGATAACACTTTCATAATTATAGCTATTGCTGCATTTGTCCTTGCTGCCCCTGGAGCCAAGGAGAAAGTAGGGAGTCCTGGCACCTTCACTTGCTCCTAACAGCTAAATCAAACACTGCTTCTGCAGGAGGGAAGTGTGAATGTGCCATGCACCCCACAATTGCCAGTCTCCATTGCTCCACCTAAGGAGACCTCCCCTGCCGAGTGAAAGGGACACAGCACAGCCCTGCTCTTGCCTGAGAGAATAATTCAGGAAAATTTTCCTAATCGTGCTAGAGAAGTGTTAAATAAATATTCCAGATACAAGAAATTCAGAGACCACCTGTGACACAAGATGACTATTACCAGACTAGTCAAGGCAAATGCTAAAGAAAAAGTCTCAAAGGCAGCTAGAGAAAAAAGTTAAATCACCCATGAAGGAAAATTGATCAGATGAACAGTGGACTTCACAATAGAAAGCCTATAAAAGAGAACACATCGAGGGTCTAGAGTTAGATCCTTAAAGAAAAGTAGCCAACCAAAATTTCCTGCCAAACTGGGCTTCCTAAATGAAAGAGAAATAAAACATTTTCCAGATAAGCAAGTGTTAAGAGAATATGTCACCATTAGACTGGTCCTACAGGAAATGCTCAAAGGAGTTGAAAACATGGAAACAAAAGAATAGTAGTTGCCATCAGAAAAGGACATATAAGTACAAAACACACAGATTTTATAAGCAATTACACAACTAAAACTCCAAAACAACTAGCTAACAACACTATGAGAGGAACAAAACCTCATATATCAATATTAATTTTGAATATAAGTGGCTATATGCTCCACTTAAAAGATACTGAGTGGCAAATTGGCTAATAATGCACCTACTTGCTAAAGACACATGTGGACACATCATAAAAAAGATACATCACACATATGAAAAACAAAAGCAAGCAGAAGTAGCCATTCTCACATGAGATAAAACAGACTAAATAAATAGCAGTAAAAAAAAAGACAAAAAAAATTGATTGTACAATGATAGATGGTTCAGTACAAGAAGATTTACCCATCCTAAATGTATATGCATTCAATAGCAGAACAACCAGATTTATAAAACAAATACTACTAGACCTAGGAAAACAGATGGATAGCAATATAATAACTGTGGGGACTTAAACATCAAACTGATATTACTAGATAGATCAAGAAGGCAGAAAATCAACACAGAAACTCTGGACTTAAACTGGAATATAGACCAAATGGATTAGACAGACATTTATAGAACATTCTACCCTACAGCCACAGAATATACATTTTTCTTGTCTGCACATGAGACATTCTCAAAAACAATGATGTGCTTGGCTAAAACATATCTCAATACATTCAAAAAATTCAACATCTTATCAAGTATCATCTCAGACTGGTGGAATAAACATAGAAATTAATACCAAGAGGAAGTCTCACATTTACACAAGTTCATGAAAACTAAAAAGTTGCTCCTGAAAGAGTCTTCTATAAACAAGAAAATTAAGACAGATACTTTTAAAATTGTTTTAAAAAAGAAAGTAGATACCATACGAAAAGCTCTAGGATAAAGTAAAACCAATGCCAAGAGGAAAGTTTACAGCATTAAATTCCTACATAAAATAGTTTTAAAATTTCAAGTTAACAACCTAACATCATACCTGAAGGAAGTAGAAAAATAAGAACAAACCAAACCTAAAGCTACCAGAAGAAAACAAATAACAAGTATTAGAATAGAACTAAATGAAGTTGAGACCAAAAAGCCAATACAAAGGATCAATGAAATGTTTGTTTTTTGAAAGAATAAACATAATTGACAGACCAATAGCTAGACTAACCACAAAAAAGACAGATGATTAAAATAAGTACAATCTGAAGTGATAAAGATAACATTATAACTGGCACTACAGAAGTATGAAAGATAATCAGACACTATAATAAACACCACTATGTGCACAAATTAGAAAACCTAGAAGAAATGATAAATTCTTGGAACATACAACCTCCCAAGATTCAATCAGGAAAAAATAGAAACTCTGACTAGACCAATAATATGCAAAGAAATCAAATTAGTAATTTTAGAAAATATCCTAGCAAAAAAAGTTCAAAACCAGACAGATTTACAGCCAAATTTTACCACATATACAAAGAAGAGCTGGTACCAATGCTACTGAAGCTATTCCCAAAAACTAAAGGGAAGGTATTCTCTCTAATTAATTTTGTGAGTAAGTATTCCAAAGTTACCAAAATAGGTAAGGACAAAAAAAAACTGACAGGTCAAAACTCTGAAGCAAAAATCCTAGAAAAAATACTAGCAAATTGAATCCAACAGCACATCAATAAAATAATTTATCAAAATCAAGTAGGCTTTATTCCAGGGATTCAAGGATACTTCAACATTCACAAATCAATAAATGTATTCAAGGATAGTTCAACATTCACAAATTAATCAATGTGATTCATCATATAAATAAATCAAACATTATATGATCATCTCAATAGAAAAAGCTTTTGATAAAATCTAACATCCCTTCATGAATAAAAACTCTCAACAAACTAGGAATATAAGGAACATATCTCAAAATAATAAAAACCATATATGACAAACCCACAGCCAACTTCATAGTGAATGGAGAATAGTTAAAGTCATTCCCCATAGCAACTGGAAGTAGACAAAGATGTCTACTTTCACGACTCCTATTCAACACAGTACTGCAAGTCCCAGCGAGAGCAATCAGGCAATATAAAGAAATAAAAAGCATCCAAATTGGAAAACAGAAAGTTAGATTATCTCTGTTTACTGATGATATGGTTGTATACCTACAAAACTTTTAAAACTCCTCTGCAAGACTCTTAGACTTGCCAATAGACTTTAGAAAAGTTTCAGGATATAAAATCAATGTACAAATAGCAGTGGCATTTCGGTACAGCAATAATGTTCAAGTTGAGAACAAAATTAAAAACTCATACATTTACAATGGTCAGACAAAAAAATAAAATAGCTAGGAATATATTTAATGAAAAAGGTGAAAGATCTCTACAAGGAGAACTATAAAATACTGATGAAATAAATCATAGATGAGATAATTGGAAAACATCCCATGTTAATGGATTGAAAAAGTCAATGCTATGAAAATGACCACATTCCGTCTGTAATCCCAGCACTTTGGGAAGCCGAGGCGGGCGGATCACGAGCTCAGGAGATCGAGACCATCCTGGCTAACACGGTGAAACCCTGTTTCTACTAAAAATACAAAAAAATCAGCCGAGCATGGTGGCGGGCGCCTGTAGTCCCAGCTACTCGGGAGGCTGAGGTAGGAGAATGGCGTGAACCCGGGAGGCGGAGCTTTCAGTGAGCCGAGATCACGCCACTGCCACTGCACTCCAGCCTCGGCGACAGAGCGAGACTCCGTCTCAAAAAAAAAAAAAAAAAAAAGACCATATTCCCCAAAGCAATTTACATATTTAATGCAATTGCTATTAAGTTACCAATACCATTGTTCAAGCAATTAGAAAAAAAATCCTAAAGTACGTATGAAATTAACAAAAAACCCCAGCTCCAATAGCCAAAGCATTCCTAAGCAAAAATAACAAGTCAGAAGCATCACAATGACTGATTCAAAATTATATTACAAGGCCATAGTAAAAAAAGCCTGCATAATATTGCCGCAAAAATAGACATAAAGATTAAGGGAAGAGAATAGGGAAGCACAAATAGAACCACAAAGCTACAGTCAACTGATCTTTGATAAAGCTGACAAAAATAACAGGGAAAAGACAACCTATTCAATAAATGGTACTGAGAAAACTGGCTAGCTATGTGCATAAGAATAAAACTAGACTCTTACCACATGCAAAAATTAATTCAAAATGGATTGAAAATCTAAATGTAAAACCTTATACTACAAAAAACCTTGGAGAAAACCTAGGAAAACCTCTTCTGGACATCAGCCTAGGCAAAGAAATTTTGAAAGATCCCAGAAGCAAATGGCTCAAAAGCAAAAATACACAAATGGGACTTCTTTAAACTAATGTGCTCCTGCATGGCAACAGATACAACTAACAGAATAAACAGACAACTACAGAACAAGAGAAAATATTTCCAAATTATGCCTCTCCAACAAACAGCTAATATCCAGAATCTACAAGTAACTCAACTCAGCAAGAAAAAAAAAAAAAAACCTTGTTAATAAATGGGCAAAGGACATAAACAGACATTTCTCACTAGAAGAAATATAAGCAGCCAACAAACATATGAAAAAAATCTTCAATATTACTAATCATTACAAAAATTAAAACCACACTGAGATATCATCTTACACACCAGAATGGCTATTATTAATAGGTCAAAAAAAAAAAAGATACTGTTGGTGTAAATGTAGAAAAAAAGGATCAGATACATTTTTGATGGGAATAAAAATTAGTTCAATGTCTGTGGAAAATAATATGAAAATAGCTCAAAGGACTACAAATAGAACTACCATTTGACCCAGGAATTCCACTACTGGGTATCTACCCAAAGGAAAAGAAATAATTATATTAAAAAGACATCTGCCCTCCTATGTCTATTGCAGCACTATTCACAATAGCAAAGTCATGGAACACACCTAAGTGTCTACCAATGCTTCACTTGAAGAAAACATGGTATATATACATAGAATATATGCAACCATAAAAAAGAATAAAATCATGCTTTTTGCAGCAACATAGATGGAACTGGAAGCTAATGTTCTAGGTGAACTAAGAAGCCAAGTTAAATGTCACATGTTCTCACTCATAAGTGGGAGCTAAACAACAGGTCCACATTGACATGAAGATGGAGATAATGGACACTGGGGACTTCATAAGATGAAAAACTGGGAAGTGGCTGAAGGTTTGAAAATTACCTATTGAGTACAATGTTCACTTTTTGGGTGATGGATACACTAGAAGCTCAATCCCTACCATTATGCAGTAAATGTACAAAAAGTCCCATGAAACAAACAAGCATATTTATCCTCTGAATCTAAAATAAAAAAATTTAAAAGAACATTTGGATCTTATCCTCAAGAAAACTTGTTTCACTAAACCTTAACCTTTCAGATCTTATAAATGACCTGGGGAAAGGGAAATACACAATTCTAGTCCCCTTTAGGCATTTTTTTTCTTGGGGACTGAGAAGCACTAGCAAAAGTCACAGCCCGGGGGCACGGGGTACTAATTGTAAGATTATAGAATACTTACCATTTTTTACACCTTACCATTTCAGTAAAGACATATTTTACCCACTATTTCATGTCTGCCTTTCAGCAATAAATTAACATATTAAAAGGCAAAATAATAGTAATAATAATTTGAAAAGACAGAGAAAGCATGAGAATAAGACTCAAATATAACAGAGATGTTGGAATATAACATTAATCAGACTTGTTTACAAATTTAAAACAAGTCTGATTAATATGCTAATAGTTCTGATGGAAAAAGTAGACAATATGCAAGAATGGATAAACAAAGTAAATAGAGATGGAGATTCTAAGAATAAAAAAAATGCTAGGGACAAAAGAGACTAACAGAAATGCAAAATGCCTTTAATGGGCTCATTAGACTGAAAACAAGCTTGAGAGAAAAAATTCTAAGCCTGGATATATGTCAGTAGTGATTGCAAAAACAAGAAAATAAAGGAAAAAACACCTTAAAAATGAAATATTACACTCAACAATAATTTATTGTACACTTAAAAATAAGTTAAAAGGTGTAATTGAATTGTTTATAACACAAAGAAGGGATAATTGCTTGAAGTAATGAATACCCCATTTACCCTTATGTGACTATTCATCATATGCCTGTATCAAAATATCTCATACACCCAATAAATATATATTTATGCTCATATACACACATATTTACATAATCTACTATGGATCACAAAAGTTAAATATAAAATAAATTTTTAAAATAAAAATAAATTGTAAAAGTGAAACGTAATATCAATGAACTGAGACAACTATGAAAAATATAACACGTTTATATACTAGAATATACCATGATGGAAGGAAAAGAAAAAGAAACAAGAAAGTATGTGAAGCAATGAAACTGAGGATTTTCAAAAATTAATGTAGGATACCACACCACAGACCCAGGAGATCAGAGAAAATCAGAGAATAAATGCCAAAAACAAAACTAAACTATATCTCAACATATTATGTTCAGACTTCTAAAATTTTAATTTAATTTTTAAAATTTTTTAAGAAGATAAAATTCTTAAAGAAACTGGGGGCAGAGGAACACCTTTCCTGTGGAGAAGCAAAGTAAGAATTACGTGACTTCTCAGAAACCATGCAAGCAAGAAGAGTGGAGTAAATTATTTAAAGAGCTGAAGGGTCAACAAATCAGAATCCTATATTCTGCAAAAATTATCTTTCAAAGTAGAAGAGAAATAAAAACTATCTGAGACAAAGAATAACTAAGAATATTTTGTACCATAAACCTATAAGAAATATTAAAAGAAGTTCTTTGGAAAGAAGAATAACATGCATGAAAGTCTCACATAAAGAAAAGAAAAGCAGGAAAAGAAGAATAAAGAATAAGGACTGGTGCCATACTTTAAGAACATGGAATGCTGTGAGCTAAGGGCTTATTTTTTTAACATTTATTCACATATTTTTAGATATTGTACCCATGACTCTATAATTTTGTCCTCCCACTTCTCTGATATAAAAAATTTGTTAAACTGTCAATTAAACAAAAAGTTTTAGGTCCTACTAAGGCTTCTAGCTATTGCCCTTGAAATCAGCCTTAAGTGCTGCTATACATGTTCCTTGCCACCTCCCTGAGTTTTCTTGAAAAAGCTCCAGGTGCAGATGAACTGAAAAAAAAAAAAAAAAAAAAAAGTAGGTTAAACGGGAAAAATCAGCAAAAGAAACTACTTTGCATAACACTTATATTTCCTATATAATATTAAGATATGGTATAAAGGGCAACAATTATAATTCTTAAGTTCTTTTATTTTTAAAGAACAAAATATGCTTGTAATAATCAGAGTAAAACTAAACTAAAATATATGTAAAAAAAGAAATATTAAAAGAAGTTCTTTGGAAAGAAGAATAATGTACATGAAAGTCTCACATCTACATAAAGAAGAGCAGGAAGAGAAGAATAAATTCTTTTAAATTCTGTCTTTGTAAGTAGAAGTAGGCTTTCAACTGCCATCTGGAATGGACTTTGTTTTGTCTAAAGAAATGTCAGTGCCTGCTATAGTTTACATGTTTGACCCTCTGCAAACTCATATGGAAATTTGATCCCCAGGGTAGTGGTGCTGGGAAGTGAAGCCTAGTGGGAGGTACTTGGGTTCAGATCCTTCATATACAGATTAATACCCTCTCTGTGTGCAGGGGATGAAAGTCCTCCCTTCTCCATTGGTTCTTCAGATAGTTGTTAAAAAAAATAGCCTGACACCTCTCTCCACTCTTCTTTGCTTCCTCTTTCACTATATGACCTGTGTACACACCAGCTCCCATTTACCTTCTGCCATGAGTGGAAGCAGCCTGAAGCCCTCAGCAGAAGTAGATGCTTGTGCCATGATACCTATACAGAGTAGAAGAAATCTCTTTTTCCTTACAAATTTTCCAGCTTCAGGTATTTCTTTATAACAACACACAATGCACTAATACAATGTTCTTTTCTGAGGTCGTTGCCTTGCACGACAATGTTAATTCTCCTTAGAAACTACCTCCACCACCTTTCTTTACTTCAAGATCTATAACTGAAATCAAGGTCTAGCACAGTCCTAAAGGTGAGGTACACTACACTTCAAAAGAACTACTTGGGTTTAAGTTATGCAAACAAAATCCCAGAAAATATGTGTAAGAATGAATATTTAGGTTGGGAAATAATGATGGAAGGAATATAAAGTTAGATGAAACTAAAATTTTTCATTTGTACCAAATAAGAGGTGATACTTTATTCAATGTTATAAGTAGGAAGGGTTTTTTAAGTCTTTAAAAGTTTTTGTTGTCCAGCTAAAACATAGGCCACAAAGGTGGCCTACTATCAGCAACTTTGAAATGCTGCATTTGCCTTGGTTTAGTGTAAAGGGAGTGAAAGTATTAGTGACATTGAAATGTTAGAGAAAAATTGACATTTAATATTATTCACTCTGAATAGACATTTCTCCAAATAAAATATACAAATAACACAAATAATCATATGAAAAGTGCTCAACATTACTAATATAATAACATAACCAGGGAAATGTAAGTCAAAACTAAAATGAAATACTACTTGACACCCAGGAAGATGGTTACTATAACAACAACAAAACAAAAACAGAGTAACAAGTGTTCACAAGGATATGAAGAAACTGGGTTGCTTGAAATCTGTTGGTGGAAATGCAAAACAGTACAATCACTATCATACTGCAGAAAACAATATGAGAGTTCCTCAGAAAATTAAACAACAGAATTACCATTAGATCATGCAGTTCTATTTCTATTTCTGGATATATAGCCATAAGAATTGAAAGCAAGATCTAAAGGAGGTATTTATTTGTATACTCGTGTTTATAGCAGTATTATTTATAATTACTAAATGTAGAAGCAGCCCCATTGCCTACTGAGGGATGAATAAATAAGCAAAATATAATAAATACATACAATGGAATATTATCCATTCTTTAAAATGAAGGAAATGCTGACATATGCTATAACAGGGATAAACTCTTTGAGACATTGTGCTAAGTGAAATCAGCCAATCACAAAAATATAAATAGTTATGAGGTTATTAGCACAGTCAAAATCATTGATACAGAAAGCAAAATGATGATTGTCAGGGACTATGGTGAGGTAGGAAAGAGGAGTTAGTGTTTAATGTGTATATAATTTTTTTTTTTTTTTGAGACAGAGTCTGGCTCTGTTGCCCAGGCTGGAGTGCAGTGGAGTGATCTCGACTCACTGCAAGCTCCGCCTCCCGGGTTCACACCATTCTCCTGCCTCAGCCTCCCGAGTAGCTGGGACTACAGGCGCCCGCCACCACGCCCGGCTAATTTTTTTGGATTTTTAGTAAAGACGGAGTTTCACCGTGTTAGCCAGGATGGTCTCGATCTCCTGACCTCGTGATGCACCCGCCTCGGCTTCCCAAAGTGCTGGGATTACAGGCGTGAGCCACCGCGCCCAGCCTAATGTGTATATAATTTTAATTATACAAAATGAAAAAAATGGAGCTATACAGGGGTGATGACTGTACATTACAAAGGTATATAATACCAATGAATTGCACACTGAATATCTAAAATCGCCATTTTTAATGTATACTTTACCACAATAAAACAAAATTGGAAGGAAAACAATGTCTACCCTGTACTGGGAGCATCTAGAAGATGTAACTTTCATCACGATCAAAAAAATGTAAGTTTGTGAAGGAGCCATAGCATCTTTAAAACTTCTGTGATTCATTTTCTTTTTAAGCCAGAACTCGAAGTGGCAACTATTGCCAGTGAATTGGGAAAATTACACACAAAAGGAATAAGTAGATCTTCAGGTGGTAAGAACCATGTGGTGAACCTCAAACAGCAGAGGCAAGGTCAGTATCATTGCCGTAATAGACAGCAGAGTCAAAGCCGCAAGCAGAATATTCTTACTTGAGCAGACTTACGTCACTGCCTACTTAATCATGATATTCCTTGAAATGAAGTAGATAGAAAGACTACTAAATTATAGTTGCTCTGTATAAAAAGAAAATTTCAAATGAACAAACTTTAATCTGAACTTCAGAAACAGAGGTTCACAGCCTCTCAGTCAATTTCTAGATTGACAAAGTTTATGCAGCAAGAATGTAGAAGAGGCTGGGTCCTCATAATGAAGACCTTGGTACATGACAAAATTTCTACTTTTAATCTTTCTTCCAGACTTCCCCAAAGGAATCTATAGCATTTTACAGGATAAGCTGTGTGCATTGTAGAAAAGAAATAAACGGGGATTACCGAACTTTTAGGGATTACTGAACTTTTAGGAATTACTGAACATTGGCTCTGAAATGACGCTAATTCCAGGGGAACCAAAATCTCCCTAAGATTGACAAGTCAGAATAGAGGATTATAAAGTCCATACAATCAACAGATTTTAGGTCAGTTTTTTCTCAGTAGGTCCATGGATCCCTGAATTCATGTTGTGATTATTTCCCCAGTTCCAATATATATATATATATATATATATTATAATACACATACACAGAACAAACTAAGGCAGAACATTACTTTGGTTTCTTGACTGGTGTAGTGAGGACTATGATGGATAAAAAGGCCAAGTGGAAGCCACTAGAACTGCCTGTATCTGGAAAACTTGTAAACAAAAAGAAGCACTAAATTACTGGGGGAACTACAAAGATTGCCATCACTATGAATGACCTAAAGATGCAGGTATGATGATGGCATGGTGATTCCTACCACATCTCCATTGAGGTCTCATATTTGACTCTCCTATTTGGCCTTTGAAGAATAAAAGCAGACTTGGCTTCAGGTGGATATTGGAGAATGACAATGGATTATCATAAACTTAAGTACCGGGTTATTCCAGTTACAGCTGTTGTACCAGATACGGTTTGATTGTTTGAACAAATTAATACCTCCCCTGAAACCCAGTATGCAGCCATCAATCTGCATCTTTTTCTTTATCCTTGTTTATAGAGGCCACCAGAAGCAATTGTCTTTCAGCCTGCAAGGTCAATGATAACATCCCCACCGTCCTAACCAACCGTCCAGTCCTATGTCATAGTTTAGTCTGCAAATATCTTGGTTACGTTTTTCTTCCACTAGGTATCACATTGATTCATTACATGGATGACGTTATGCTAATTGGACCTAGAAGTAGCAACTACTCTAGACTTGCAAGAAATTTGTGTGTTAGCAGATGGGAAATAAATCTGTCAAAAATTCAAGGCTTTTCTATTTCATGTAAATTTCTAGGGTTCCAGTGGTATAAAAAGTTCCTTCTATGGTGAAGTTGTTAAGTTATTGAATCTTGCCCATCTCAAAACTAAAAGACAGCAAAAGGCCTAGTGGGCCTCTTTGAATTTTGAAGGCAACATACTCATCACTTGATTGAGCTACTATGGCTCTTCTACTGAGTGACCTGTAAAGTTGGCAGTTGACTAACATCCAGAAAAGTAAACATTTCTACAAGTCCAGGCTGCTATGCAAGCTGCTCTGACAAAATAGTAGCATAAATGCTTACTCATGGGCCACCAAGTTACCATGCAATCAGAGCTGCCTGTCATACACTTGGTGTTATTGACTAAACCAAACCATATATTTGGGCATACACAAAAGCACTCTATTATTAAGTGGAAGTGCTATACACAAATCTGGGACCAAGCAGGTTATAAAGGTACAAGTATATTACATGAAGAAGCTGCCCAAATTCTTATGATCCTCATTCCTACCACACTGCCTTCTCTCTCTCAGCATATATTTATGGCCCTATGGGGATTTCCTCATACTCAGCTGACAAAAGAAGAGAAGACTTGGGCTTGTTTTATAAGTGGCTCTCCCATTATGCAGGCACAACCTTAAAGTAGGCAACTGTGGTACTACTGGGACATCTCTGAAGGACAGTGGTGAAGGAAAATACTTTAAGTGGAAAAATCTTTGAGTGGTGCAACTGGATGTTCATTTTTCTTGGAAAGATAAATGGTGAGATGTAAAATTATATGCTTATTCATGGGCTGTGGCCAGTGGTTTGGCAACTTGGAATTAACATAACTGCAAAATTGGTAACAAGGGGTTCTCAGGAAGATACATGTGGACAGACCTCTCCAGATAGCAAAATATGTGAAGATATTTGGGTTCCATGTGAATACTCACCAAAGGCTAACCTCAAAACAGGAGGATTTTAATAATAAACTGGATAGGATAATCCATTCTGTGGATACTGGTCAGCCTCTTTCTTCAGACAGCACACCTATCATTGCCTAATTCATTCATGAAAAAAAAGTGGTCATGAATGAAAGGGTTGGAAGGGTTGAAGATTTTGCATGGTCTTCTGAATATGGACTTCAGCCTACAAGCCTGGCTACAGACACTGCTGGATGTCCAAATTAAAACAGCAAACGTGAACACTGAGTTGGTCTCATACAGTACATTTCTCCCACGTAATCAGCCAGATTCTTATGGGAAGGGGGCTGCTTCCATCATGAAAGGTGAAACATTTTTCTTTACTAGAATAAATACATACCGTGGATATAGATCCACCTCTGTTTACACAATGCTTCTGTCAAAATTACCATCTGTGGACTTACAAGATGCTTTGCAAATTTAGTGGTATTCCACACAGTATTGTTTCTGATTAAGGAACTCCTTTCACAGCAAATGAAGTTCAGTAACAGATCTAGGATCCTAGAATTTTCTGGTCTTACCTTGTATCTCATTACTCCAAAGCAGCTGGATTGACAAAATGAGAAATGGCTTTTTGAAGACGTATACAGTGACAGCTAAGTGGCAATACCTAGCAGAACTGGGACGTGGTTTTCCAGGAGGCTGTATATGCTCCAAATCAGCATCCAGTGTATGGTGCTATTGCTCACAGAGCTAGGACTCACGGACCCAGAAATCAAGGGGTGCAAATGGTAGTAACACGAGTTACTATTATCCTTATATGACCCATTAGGAAAATACATTCTCCCTGTACCTGAACATTATTCTTTTCTGGCTTTCAGGCCTCAGTTTTAAAATTAGAAATGCTGGTCAGCAAGATGTTAGAATAGAAGGTCCTCAAAGTGTGCCACCCCCAGAAATAAACATGAAGTGGCCACCCTTGGACAAAAGTATCTAATATAAGCCTACTGATCCACATAGTAGGATGCAAAATTCCTGTGGAGCCCAAGACCAAGGAGGGATGCTCCCTGATGTAGGTCCACCACCAATGGTTCTGGTTGTGAACAAGAAGCAGCCCTATTTCTTTGTGAACTCAGCCAAACGCCACCCATTTCTTGTCCTCTGCCAAGGGACCCAGGAGAAGTCAAATTGATCTGTGCCCCTGGTAACAGGACTACCAACCTCAGACCTGATTGCATTTCCTGAAGCATCTCTGTGACCCATTTCCTCCCTGCTCTGCCACAGTCTGCAGCCAGTACTTCTCACAAAGGGATCAGTAAGGAACCCAACAGGAATGTGCTCAGGGAAACAAAAAAGCCATATCCAACTCCTAAATGTGCTCTTGATAACAGTCTTGCCAACTGCAGATCTGACTGTGAACCCAACAACATACTTAAAAATGGCACCAGCCTCATTTGACCGTAATACCAGAGGCAATCCCGTCGGTCTTCAGTGCTAGCAAGAGAAGACCTTTATTTTTTTTTCTTTTTCAACTTTTAAGTATTGTGGTACACGTGGAGGCTGTGCAGGTTATGTAGGTAAATGTGTGCCATGGTGGTTTGCTGCACAGATCATCCCATCACACAGATATTAAACCCAATGTCCATTAGCTGTTCTTCCTGATTCTCTTCTTCCCCCTCAACTGTTGACAGGCCCCAGTGTGTGTTGTTCCTCCCCATGTATCCCTGTGTTCTCATCATTCAGCTCCTATTTATAATTGAGAACATGCAGTATTTGGTTTTCTCTCCCTGTGTTAGTTTGCTGAGGATAATGGCTTCCAGCTCCGTCCATGTCTCTGCAGATGACATGATCTCATTCTTTTCTATGACTGCATAGTATTCCATGGTGTATATGGAACACATTTTCTTTATCCAGTCTATCATTGATGGGCATTTAGGTTGATATCATGTCTTTGCTATTTTAAATAGTGCTGCAAATGAACATAACATGTGTATGGACCTTTATAATAGAATGATTTCTATTCCTTTGGGTATATACTCAGTAACGGGATTGTTGGGTCAAATGGTATCTGTGCCTCTAGGTCTTTGAGGAATTGAACACTGTCTTCCACAATGGTTGAACTAATGTACATTCCCACCAACAGTGTAAAAGTGTCCCTTCTCCTCAACCTCATGAGCATCTGTTATTTTTAAATTTTTAATTATAGCCATTCTGACTTGTGTGAGATGGCATCTCATTGTGGTTTTGATTTGCATTTCTCTAACAATCAGTGATGTTGAGCTTTTTTCCATGTTTGTTGGCCACATGTATGTCTTCTTTTGAGAAGTGTTTGTTCATATTCTTTTCCCACTTTTGATGGGATTTTTTTTGTTTTTTTTCTTGTAAATTTGGTTTCAGTTCCTTGTATACTCTGGATGTTACACCTTTGTCAGATAGATAGATTGCAAAAATTTTCTCCCATTTTGTAGGTTGTCAGTTTAGTCTGATATTTTCTTTTGCTATGCAGAAGCTCTTCAGTTTGATTAGATCCCATTTGACAATGTTTGCTTTTGTTGCAGTTACTTTTGGCATTTTTGTCATGAAATCTTTGCCCATGCCTATGTCCTGAATTATATTGCCTAGATTTTCTACTAAGGTTTTTATAGTTTTGGGGTTTACATTTAAGTCTTTAATCCATCTTGACTTAATTTTTGTATATGGTATAAAGAAGGGGACCGGGCGTGGTGGCTCATATGTCTGTGATTCCAGTACTTTGGGAGGCAGAGGTGGGTGGATCACGAGGTCAGCAGTTCGAGACCAGCCTGGCCAACATGATAAAACCCCGTCTCTACTAAAAATACAAAAATTAGCTGGGCATGGTGGTGGGTGACTGTAACCTGAGCTACTCGGGAGGCAGAGGCAGGAGAATCACTTGAAACCAGAAGGCAGAGGTTGCAGTAAGTGGAATGTGCCACTGCATTCGAACCTGGGCAGCAAGAGTGAAACTCCAGCTCACACACACAGACACACACGCACACACACACACACACACACATACATACACATACACACACAAAGAAGAAGGGGTCCAGTTTCAATTTTCTGCATATGAGTAGCCAGCATTCCTATTTTATTAAACAGGGAGTCCTTTCCCTATTGCTTGTTGTTGTCAAGATTGTTGAAGATCAGAAGATTGTTGGTATGCAGTCTTATTTTTCAGTTCCTGATTCTGTTTTGTTGGTCTATGTGTCTGTTCTTGTATCAGTACCATGCTGTTTTGGTTACCGTAGCCTCATAGTATAGTTTGAAGTCAGGTAGCATGATGCCTCCAGCTTTGTTCCTTTGCTTAGGATTGTCTTGGCTATTGAGGCTCTTTTTTGGTTCTATGTGAATTTTAAAATAGTATTTTCTTATTCTGTGAAGAATGTCTGTGGTAGTTTAATGGGAATAACATTGAATCTCTAAATTACTTGGGGCTATATGGTAATTTTTACAATATTGATCCTTCATATTCATGAACATGGAATGTTTCTCCATTTGTTTTTATCCTCTCTGATTTCTTTGAACAGTGGTTTATACTTCTCCTTGAAGAGGTCCTTCATTTCCCTTGTTAGCTGTATTCCTAGGTATTTTGTTCTTTTTGTAGCAATTGGGAATGGCAATTCATTCATGATTTGTCTCTGGGTTGCATGTTGTTGGTGTATAAGAATACTAGTGATTTTTGCAATTCATTTTGTATCCTGACACTTTGCTGAAGTTGCTACTGCACGTAAGAAGTTTTTGGGCTGAGACAGTGGGGTTTCCTAAATATAGAATTATGTCACTGGCAAACAAAGATAATTTGACTTCCTCTGCTCTTATTTGAATACCCTTTATTTCTTTCTCTTGCCTGATTGTGCCGACTTCCAATTCTATGTTGAATAGAGTGGTAAGAAAGGCCATCCTTGTCTTGTGCCTTGATTTGTGCCTTTTCAAGGGGAATGCTTCCAGCTTTTGCCCATTCAGCATGAAATTGGCTGTGGGCTTGCCATATATGAGTCTTATTATTTTGAGGTATGATCCTTCAATACCTAGTTTATTGAGTGTTTTTAAAATAAAGGTATGTTGAATATTATCAAAGGCCTTTTCTGCATCTATTGAGATAATCATGTGGTTTTTGGCTTTAGTTCTGTCTACATGATGAATTACATTTATTGTTTTGCATATGTTGAACCAACATTCTGGAAATGAAGCTAGTTTGACTGTGGTAGACAATCTTTTGATGTGCTGCTGGATTCAATTTGCCATTATTTTATTGAGATTTTTTGCACCAGTGTTCATCATGAATAATGGTCTGAAGTTTTCTTTTATCTCTGCCAGGTTTTGGTATCAGGATGATGCTGGCCTTATACAGTGAGTTAGGGAGGAGTCCCTCCTTTTTAAGTTTTTGGAATAGTTTCAGTAGAAATGACACCAGCTCTTCTTTATACATCTAATAAAATTCAGCTGTGAATCTATCTGGCCCTGTTTTTTATGTTGTTTATAAGCTATTTATTACTGCCTCAATTTCAGAACTTGTTATTATCTTTTCAGAGATTCAGTTTCTTCCTGGTTTAGTCTTGGGAAGGCTTAAGTTTCCAGGAATTTATTCTTTTCTTATAGATTTTTGTTTTTAGTTTATGTGCATAGAGGTGTTAATAGCATTCTCTGATGGTTGGTTTGTATTTCTGTGGGGTCAGTGGTGATATCCCTTTTTATCATATCTGATTGTGTTTATTTGATTATTCTCTCATGTTTACTAGTCTAGCTAGAAGTCTATCTATGTTATTAATTTTTTCAAAACACCAGCTCCTGGAATAATTTATTTTTTGAAGGGTTTTTTATGTCTCTATCTTCTTCAGTTCTGCTCTGATTTTGGTTATTTGTCTTCTAGCTTTGGGATGTGTTTGCTCTTGGTCCTCTATTTCTTTTAGTTTAGATGTTTGGTTGTTAACTTGAAATCCTTCTAGCTTTTCTTTTCTTTTTTTTTTTTTTTTTTTGAGAGAGAGTTTCATTCTTGTCGTCCAGGCTGGAGTGCAGTGGCACGATCTCAACTCACTGCAACCTCTGCCTCCCAGGTTCAAGCGATTCTCCTGCCTCACCTCCCAGGTAGCTGGTATTACAGGCCCCCACAACCACACTCAGCTAATTTTTGTATTTTTAGTAGAGATGGGGTTTCGCCTTGTTGGCTAGGCTGGTCTTGAACTCCTGACTTCAGGTGATCCACCTGCCTTGGCCTCCGAAAGTGCTGGGATTACAGGTGTGAGCCACTGCACCTGGCCCCTTCTAGCTTTTTGATGTGAGCATTTAGTGCTATAAAATTTTCTCAACACTGTTTTAGCTGCATCCCAGAGATTCTGGTATATTGTCTCTTTGTTCTCATTAGTTTCAAATAATTTATTGATTTCTGCTTTAATTTCATTGTTTACCCAACAGTCACTCAGGAACAGGTCATTCAGTTTCTATGTAGTTGTGTGGTTTTGAGTGAATTTCTCAATCTTGAATTCTACTTTGACTGCACTGCAGTCTGACAGACTGTTTGTTATAATTTCAGCTCTTTTGCATTTGCTGAGGAGTGTTTTACTTCAGATTATTTGATCAATTTTAGAGTAAATGCCATACAGCAATGAGAAGAATATATATTCTGTTGAATTTGGGTAGACAGTTCTGCAGATATCTGTCAGGTTTATTTGATCCAGAGCTGAGTTCAGATCCTGAATATCTGCAAATTATCTGTCTCAAGGATCTGTGTAATATTGTTAATGAGGTGTCAAAGTCTCCCATTATTATCGTGTGGGAGCCTAAGTCTCCTTGGATATCTCTAAGCACTTGCTTTATGACTCTGTGTGCTCTTGTATTGAGTGCACATATATTTAGGATACAGTTATCTCTTCTTGTTGAGTTGAACATTTTACCATTATGTAATGCCCTTCTTTGTCTTTTTTGGTCTTTGCTGGTTTAAAGTCTGTTTTGTCAGAAACTAGGATTGCAACTCTTGCTTCTTTCTGTTTTCCATTTGCTTGGTAAATTTTCCTCCATCCCTTTATTTTGAGCCTATGCATGTCTTTGCATGTGAAATGGGTCTCTTGAAGACAGCATACAGATGGGTCCTGGCTCTTTTTTCTGCTTGCCATTATCTTTTAATTGTGGCATTTGGCCTATGTAAACTTGAGGTTAGTATTGTTATGTGTGAATTTGATTCTGTCATCATTATGCTAGTTGGTTATTTTGCAGATTTGTTTATGTAGTTGCTTTATAGTGTCACTGGTGTGTGTAATTCGGTGTGTTTTTGTAGTGGCTGGTAGCAGTTTTTCCTTTTCATATTTAGTGCTTCTCCTATAGGAGCTCTTGCACATTAGGCCTGGTGTTGATGAATTCCCTTGGCATTTGCTTGTCTGAAAAGAATCTTATTAGAATCTCCTTCACTTATGAAGCTTAGTTAGGCCAGATATAAGATTTTCAGCTGGAAATTCTTTTTCCTAAGAATGTTGAATATTGGTTCCCTATCTCTTCTGGCTTATAGAGTATCTGCTGAGAGATCTGCTGTTGGTCTTATGGGTTTCCCTTTGTATGTGACCTGGACTTTCTCTCTGGCAAAACAAAAATTAAATGAAAAAGTTTCTGCACAGCAATAATAAATGAATAATATGCAGACAACTTTTAGCATGGGAGAAAATATTACCAAATTATGATCTGAGAGCAGACTAATATCCAGAATATACGGGGAACTCAAATAAGTCAACAATAACAAAACAAATAATCAGATTTAAAAGTGAGATAAAGACATGAAAAATATTTTTCAAAAGAAGATATACTAACTGCCCACAGACATGTGAAGAAATGCTCAATATCACTAATCAGAAATAAATGCAAATTAAGCCCATAATAAGGTATCATCTTACATTAGTCAGGATTACTATTATTAAAAATACAAAAAATAAAGGATGATCGTGTGGAGACAAGGGAACTGATACATTGATTGTGGGAAGGTGAATTACCATAACCTCTTTTTGGAAAATAATATGGAGATTTCTGAAAAAATAAAAATAGAATAACCATTTGATCCAGAAATGCCACTACTGTGTGGCCAAAGGAAAAGAAAACATTATATCAAAAAGATACCTGCACTCATATATTTATCACAACACTGTTAACAATAGCAAACATATGGTATCAACGTATTTGTCCATCAGTGGATGATTAAAATATGAAGATGTGGTATATGTGCACAATGGAATACTATGCAGTGATAAAAAAAAAAAGAGAAATCAGGCTGAGTGCAGTAATCCCAGCATTTGGGGAGGCCAAGGCAGGTGGATCACCTGAGGTCAGGAGTTTGTGACCAGCCTAACATTTTGAAACTCCGTCTCTACTAAATACAAAAAAATTAGCTGACTGTGGTGGCACGTGCCTGTAATCCGAGCTACTTGGGAGGCTGAGACAGGAGAATTGCTTGTACCCAGGAGGCAGAGGTTTTAGTAAGCCAACATTATGCCATTGCACTACAGCCCAGACAACAATAGTGAAATTCCATCTCAAAAAAAAAAAAACACACCCAAAAAACAAACAAATGAAATCATGTCTTTTCCAGCAAGCAACATGAATGAATCTGGAGATCATTTTCTGAAGTGAAACAAATATCTCTGGTATATGTGAGAGCTAACTAACATATACACATGAGTATAGAGAATAAAAAGATAGACAACAAAGACTCAGAAAAGTAAGGGGATGAAGAGAGAGCATGATGAAAAATTACCTAATAAGTACAATGTATATATTTAGATTATGAATACCATAGAAGCTCTGACTATCCATACAATCCATGTGTGTAATAAAATTGCATATCTAAGTCATGCAATTATAACTTGTATAAATTTATACAAAATTAAAAGATAATAAGTGTAAACATGCTTTCTTTTTTAAAACAAAAATTTCAGTTTCTCACTCTTAATAATGAATAAAATATCAAGGCAGGAAATCAGTAAGGAAGGAGCAGACTTGAATATTATGGAGCTGGCAGATATAGAACACTCCATCAAACAGCAGAGTTGAACATTAATAAACCTGGCAAATACAGAACGTTCCATCAAACAGCAGAGAACGCATAGACTTCTCTAGTTTGTACAAAACATTCTCAAGAACAGAGCATATTAGCGCACTAAACATGTCTTCACAATTTTAAGAAGACGGAGATCATATCAAGTCTCCTTTCAAATAACAATATTATGAAACTCTAACTCAGTATGAGATAACATAAGCTTAAACAAAAAAAGAATAAAAAATATTTAAAAGTAATAAAAAATGTAAAAAAAAATTGACACAAACAAAAATGGAAATACAACCTACCAAAACTGTGGGATTCAGCAAAGGCAGTTTCAGGAGGGAAATCTGAAATAAGAACTATCTAAATATTTTGAAAAATAACCTCCAAAAAAAAAGAAAAAACAACAGCCAACTTTCACTCAACTAACTAGAAAAAGAAGACCAAAGTTAGCATAAGGAAAGAGCAGAAAAAATTAAATAGGGAATAAGATTAATAGAAAAATTTGATAAAATACAGAATTAGTTTTTGAAAAGATAAACAAAATTGAGAACCTGTGGCTGAATTATGAATAAAGAGGGAAGACTCAGATAAAATCAGAAGTGAGAAAGGAGACATCACAACTGATACCACATAAATACAGAGGATTACAAAAGACTGCTATGAACAGTTACATACCAAGAAATTGGATAAACTTGAAGAGACAGATAAGTTCCCAGAAATATACAGCCTAGGAAAACTAAATCACGAAGAAACAGAAAATCTGTATAGAACAATAATTAGTAAAGAGGTCAGATCAGGACTCAAAAACTTTCCAATAGAAAAGAGGACTTAGTGGCTTTGGTGGTAAATTTTAGTAAAGATATAAATAATAATTAATGCAAATCCTCAAACTCTAGTTTTTCTCAATTCGTTTAAGTAGGCCTGCATTACCTGATACAAAAAGCAGGCAAGGACATCACAAGAAAAGAACATTGTAGGCCAATAACCCTGACAAACAGATGCAAAAACCTTTGACAACATTCTAGCAAAGTAAATTCAAAAGCAGAGTAAAAGGACTATACATAATAATGCTGTATAATTTAACCCTGAGATACAAGGATAGTTTTAATATGTGTAAATCAATAAATGTGATATACCATAGCAACAGAATGAAGGACAAAAACTGTGTAATCATCTCAACAGATATAGAAAAGCATTTGGTAAAATTCAACATCCTTTCATGCTAAAAACTCTGACTGAATTATGTATAGAAGAAATGTACCTCAATGTAATGAAGTAAAAAGGCCATAGATAAATTATATTCATGGTGAAAACATGAAAGCTTTTTCTTATAGATCAGAAAAAAACAAAGACATTTCTCTCACCAGTTCCATTCATCATAGTTTTAGAAGATATATTCAGAGCAATTAGGCAAGAAAAAAAAAGAACATTCAAATTAGAAAAGAAGTAAAATTACAGATGACATAATTATTTACATAGAAAACCCTAAAGACTTTGCCCAAAAATTGTTAGAACTAAAAAGTAAATTCAATAAAGTTAGAGGTTACAACATGAACAATAAAAATTAATTGTGTTTCTGTATATTATCAGCAAATTATCTAGAAGAGAAATTAAGAAAACAATCCCATTTAGAGGAACATGAAAAAGAATAAACTACTTAGAAATAAATTTATCAAAGAAAGTGAGAGATTTGTACAATGAAAACTAAAAATATTGATGAGTAAATTTTATAACAAATTTTAGGCCAGGTGCAATGACTGATGCCTGTATTCCCAACGCTTTGGGAGGCTGATGTGGCCAGATCACCTGAGGTCAAGAGTTCAAGACCAGCCTGGCCAATGTGGTGAAACTATGGCAGCACAGGTCTGTAATCCCAGCTACTCAGCAGGCTGAGGCAGGAGAATGGTGTGAACCCAGGAGGCAGAGTTTGCAGTGAGCCGAGATTGCGCCACTGCACTCCAACCTGGGCTACAGGGCAAGACTCCGTCTCAAAAAAAAAAAAAAAACATTCCAGTGAAAAATTCCAGGACCAGACAAATTCACACCTGAATTCTATCAGACACTCAAAGAAGTGGTACCAATCTTATTGACACTATTCTGCAAAACACAGAAAAAGGGAATCTTCTCTAAATCATTCTATGAAGCCAGTATCACCCTAAAACCAAAACCAGGGAAGGACTTAAACAGTTCCTGATGAACATAGACGCAAAAATCCTCAACAAAACTCAAGCAAACCAAATCCAACAACATATCAAAAAGATAACCCACCAGGATCAAATGGGTTTCATACAAGGGATGCAGGGATGGTTTAACATACATAAGTCAATAAATGTGATGCACCACATAAACAGATTTAAAAGCAAAAATCACATGATTGTCTCAATAGATGCAGAAAAAGCATTTGACAAAATCCAGCATCGCTTAATGGTTAAAATTCTCCACAAAGTCAGCATAGAAGGGACATATTTAAGGTAATAAAAGTTAACTACGAGAAACCCACAGCCATCATTATACTGAACAGGGAAAAGTTGAAATCATTCCCCCGGAGAACTGAAACCAGACAAAGATGGCCACTCTCACCACTTCTATTTAACACGTACTAGATGTTCTAAACAGTGCAATCAGAAAAGAGAAAGAAGTAAAGGGCATCCAAATTGGTAAACAGGAAGTCAAACTCTTGCTGTTTTCCTGATGATATGATCATATACCTAGAAAACCCTGAAGACACATCGAAAAAGCTCCTAGAACTGGTAATGAATTCACAAAAGTTTCACATTACAAAATTAATGTAAATAAATCAGTAGCTCTGCTATACACCAAGAGCAAGCAAGCCAAGAATCAAATCAAGACCTCAATCCCTTTTACTACAGCAGCAAAAAATAAAATAAAATACTTAAGAATATACCTAACCCAGGACATGAAACACCTCAGCAAGGAAAACTGCAAAACACTGCTTAAAAAAAAATTCATAGATGACACAAACAAGTGGGAACATATCTGATGTTTATGGATGAGTAGGGTCAATATTGTGAAAATTACCATACTGCCAAAGCAATCTACAAATCCAATGTAATTCCCATCAAAACATCACCATCATTCTCATGGAACTAGAAAAAATTCTAAAATTAATATGGAACCAAAAAAATAGCCTACATAGCTAAAGCAAAACTAAACAATAACAAATCTGAAGCATCACATTACTTTACTTCAACCAATACTGTAAGGCCATACTCACCAAAACAGCACGGTACTGGTATAAAAATAGGCACATAGACCAACAGAACAGGTTAGAGAACCCAGCAATAAAGCCAAATACTTATAGCCAACTGATATTTGACAAAGCCAAGAAAAACATAGAGTGGGGAAAGGACACCCTATTGAAAAAAGCTTGCGGGAATAGTTGGTAAGCCACATGTAGAAGAATGAAACTGGATTCTTATCTCTACCTTATACAAAAATCAACTTGTGATGAATCAAAGACTTAAATCTAAGTCCTAAAACCATAAAGACTCTGGAAGACAACATCGAACAACCTTCTAGACATTGGCTTAGGCAAAGACTTTATGACCAAGAACACAAAAGCAAATGAAATAACAACAAAAATGTAAATACATAGGGCTTAATTAAACTAAAAACATTCTGCACCACAAAAAGAATAATCAGCAGACAACCCACAGAATAGGAGAAAATTTTCATAACCTATGTATTCAACAATGGACTAATATATATAATCTACAAAGAACTCAAAGAAATCCCATGAAAAAGTGGGCTAAGACATGAACAGATAATTCTCAAAAGAAGATATACAGGTGGCCAAGAAGTATATGGGGAAATGCTCAAGCATTTTATCAATTTATATTGTCCCTGATATCAATTTATCAGGGAAATGCAAATCAAAACCACCATTCGATACCACCTCACTTCTGTAAGAATGGCCATAATCAAAAAATCAAAAAATAATAGATGTTAGTGTGGATGCGGTGAAAAGGAACACATTTACACTGTTGGTGGGAATGTAAACTAGCACAGCCACTACAGAAAACAGTGTGGAGATTCCTTAAAGAAGTAAAAGTAGATCTATTGTTTGATTCAGCAATCCCACTGCTAGCTGTCTACCCAGAGGAAAGGGTGTTATTACATAAAAAAGATACTTGCACATGCATGTTTATAGCAGCAAAATTTGCAATGTAAAAATATGGAACCAGCCCAAGTGCCTGTCAATCAATGAGCAGATAAGTAAAATGCAGTATATACACAGCATGGAATATGACTCAGCCATAAAAAGAAATGAAATAATGGTATTTGCAGCAACCTGGATAAAATTGGAGACTATTATTCTAAGTGAAGTAACTCAGGAATAGGAAACCAAGCATTTATGTTCTCACTTATATGTGGGAACTAAGTGATAAGGACACAAAGGCATAAGAATGAGACATTGGGCTAGCTGTCATAGTTCATGCCTGTAATCCCAGCAATTAGGGAGGATGAGGCAGGTGGATCATCTGAGGCCAAGAGTTCGAGGCCAGCTTGGCCATCATGGTGAAACTCTATCTCTACTAAAAAAATAAAAAAATAGCCAAGTGTGGTGGCAAGTGCCTATAATCCCAGCTGCTCAGGAGGCTGAGCCAAGAGTATCACTTGAGCCCAGGAGGTGGAGGTTGCAGTGAGCTGATATCGAGCCACTGCACTCCAGCCTGGGCAACAGAGTGAGACTCCATCTCAAAAAAAAAAAAAAAAAAAAAAAAAGGATCTTGTCATTGGCTTAAGGACCATCCTACTCCACAATGACATTATTCTGAGATCCTTGTCTTAATTGTATCTGTAAAGATCTTTATTCTAAATATAGTTACATTCTGTAATTTGAGCATTAAAATAAAAGCACAATGGGGTTCCCTTAAAGCACTAACCTGCTCTTTAACAAAAAATTATAAAGGGTTAAAAAGATCCTATAAAAATCTTACCTTATGCTCAAACATTAAAATTGGGTAAATGTGTCTACAAGATTTTATTAATAATTGAGTTTAACATTAATAGCACACTAATATAAAGGTAAAATTTGGCTTATTTGGTGTAAGGTCATACAGGAAGCATTGTCAAATATAAAATGGTGTTTGGCTTTCTTTGAGCTACATTTATATAAATACATTATTGATATGTGTCCCAAAGTTATGGGAGACTCCTGTAATTCTGATATATCTTAATGTTTGTTATCAGTAATAATTATAATGTATGTTAAAATTATTGTGTGCCACAGAGGTATCAGATTTCTTTGTCAGTTGTGACTTCAACTATGGCTGCCCTAAAATTTTTGTTTTAATTTAATTAATTAATTTATTTCTAAATGAATCCATGATACAGCACAGGATGATTTTATAGAATCTAGAATATTTTACCAAAAATTCTTAAAAGTGGTCTGGGCCAGGCGCGGTGGCTCAGGCCTGTAATCCCAGCACTTTGGGAGGCCAAGGTGGGTGGATCGCAAGTTCAGGAGATCTAGACCATCTTGGCTAACACAGTGAAACCCCGTCTCTACTAAAAATACAAAAAATTAGCCGGGCACAGTGGCGTGCACCTGTAGTCCCACCTACTCAGGAGGCTGAGGCAGGAGAATGGCATGAACCCAGGAGGTGGAGCTTGCAGTGAGCCGAGATAGTGCCACTGCAGTCCGGCCTGGGTGAAAGAGCGAGACTCCGTCTCAAAAAAAAAAAAAAAGTGGTCTCTATTGTTGTGAATATAATAAGTGAGCATGTATTTTATATTCTAGTACCTTTTATGAATATAAATAAAATTAGCTACTACTACTAATAATAATTGTTATTATTATTGCTATGTTAAAATTATTATATAACACAAAGGTAACAGATATCCTTGTCAATGTAACTTTATGGCTACCCTAAAATTTTTTGTCACCCACAAACAATTGTTGTCTTGTTTTTTGTCCTCTAGAGACTGAAGTAATCTTTTTGACTTTTTGAGTATTTTTAAGTTATGGCAATATAGTAACTGATCTGTGGTAAGTAAAGAATGTCATTTCTGACAGGCCAGGAACCCCAAGTTATCTTGAAACCTGAAGAGGAAAGCACACCCAGCTCATAGGTATTTAATGGTATAATTCCATGGCTGGACTCAGCTTTAAAAAGTCTTATTTCAGATTTCTTTCGTGGAACAAAGTTCCATCATTGCCAATTTAAAAGGCCTATGTAACAAATAATTTGTCTTGCTTTACACTGCATGCAAATAATTAAACCAAGTGTAATAAAGCAAACCAGTCCCACCATGATTTGTCTTTTAATAATGGTTACTAAGAGAAAATAACACATGGGCTTTTCCAAACATGTACCTCTGCCTCTCATTAGGCAAGGAATGTTGTTTCTATCTCAACCAATCAGGCCTAATAAGAAACACTGCTAAATAACTTAAAGAAAGGGCCAGAAAGCTAAGGAAATACCAAAATGACCAAATAGATTCTTGGTTTGGGAATGAAATCATAGCATCGGTCATCCCATTTCCGGGCCCTCTCCTGATGATATGCCTATGACTAATGTTCTTACCCTGCCTAATTAACCTTTTACAAAGATTTTTGATGAAGAGGATCATGTCCATTTCACAGACAACTACCCAAAACATCTACAGATGATGTTACTCCTACAGTCAACTGAGACCAGAAAACTCTCCGTGCCCTGTCAGCAGGAAGTAGCCAGAAAGAACATGTGGCTCCTCGTCCTTTTTATAACTATAAGGTTTAGATTGACAGAGCAGGAGCATAGCCATCTTGGACAAGCACCAACATTTTAAAGCTCCCCTTGATCAAAAACTGCCTAAATCCAACCCACAGGGCCTCAGCCTAATGGTTAACATAAGCATGACCATAAACCAATAATGGTATCTCTGACCAAAAACATTCCAACCCTAAGAAAACCACCCCCCAGCCAGAGACAGTCTGGCCCCAAGATAACATTTCCTCTGGCCACAGAGATGTCAGCCCCTAGATAACCTCTACTCTGACCAGAGACATTCCAAGCCCTCAATAAAGTTCTCCTCCACACAGAAACATTCCAAGCCTCTGATAAACTCTCTCACCCTAAAACCCTAAAATACTCTTAGCCTGTAAGAGGGAGTGCTCCTGATTGAAATTGGCCAGACGCCCCCCTCAGGTTTATTCTCCAAAATAAACCTGTCTTTGACTGTTGAGCCACTTTTAATGTTTCTTTCCTCTTTCTTTAATTCTTAAAATTACAGGCCATGTGCAGTGGCTCACACTTGTAATCCCAGCACTTTGGGAGGCCAAGGTGAGTGGATCACTAGGTCAGGAATTCGAGACCATCCTGGCTAACACAGTGAAACCTCGTCTCTACTAAAAATACAAAAAAATTAGCCGGGCATGGTGGCAGATGCCTCCATGTAGTAGTCGCAGCTACTCAGGAGGCTGAGGAAGGAGAATGGTGTGAACCTGGGAGGCAGAGCTTGCAGTGAGCCAAAATTGCACCACTGCACTCCAGCCTGGGTGACAGAGCAAGACTCTGTCTCAAAAAAAAAAAATTACAATATTTTTATCTGTAAGTTATGAAAAATAAGCTTTTTACATTTTTGAATAACACATTTCCATAGTCAAAAATTCAAAAACAAAAATAACATGTAATAAAAATTTTATGCCCACACTTCCCCAATGTCTGCCATGTTGCTGTATATGTTTTACATTTTCTTTTTGCAAAACCAGGAATATAGTAATATATATGTCATTTCTCCGTCCCCATTTTTACATAATATTGTATTCAACATTCTTGTCCTTAATTTTCCCTGTAACAATATATCTTGGATATCTCTTCATATCAATACATAGGCAACATTTTGATCTTTACTTATTGAATGCATTCTGTAATTTCCAAATATTTACAGATAAATGTATCAATTGATTTATTCTTCAATTGTGCTATAGTCAGAAATTATAATTAATATTTCTAAGTCTGTTGAGATTCACTCTGTATTAAAAATTACTTTGTAAAGTAGTATGTGATCAGTATCTGTAAATGTTTAATATGCACATAAAAACATATAATCTTATTTGTTTTATTTATATATATTCTCTAAAAGTTAGATACAGGAGATTTATATATATTTATAATACCATAATGATGTGTTTCAATCTTTTTACTATTTACCACTTTTTATTAATAGTTTCATTAATAAACTATTAATAATGGGATGGTAGTTATAAAATATGTACATTTTATTTTCTCTTGCAATTCTCTAAATTATTTTGTGTGTTTTGAGTTAGACGATTACTTGCATCTAGACTTAGAATGTTGTTTTTATCCTAGTAAATTGTTTATTGGTATATAAGAAACAGTATATTTTCCCAAGTAAATTCAACAAGTATTGATTGAGTATTTCATATATGCCAGACTTGCAGACCCTGGGATAAAGCAGTAAACAAGATAGAAAAGAAATGCTAGCTGGGTGTGGTGGCTTATGCCTATAATCCCAGCACTCTAGGAGGCTAAAGTGGAAGGATCACAAGGTCATGAGATCGAGACCATCCTGGCCAACTCTACTAAATATACAAAAATTAGCTGGGTGTGGTGGCACATGCCTGTAATTCAGCTACTCAGGAGGCTGAGGCAGGACAATCACTTGAACCAGGGAGGTGGAGGTTGCAGTGAGCCGAGATCATGCCACTGCACTCCAGCCTGGTGACAAAGTGAGACTCTATCTCAAACAACAAAACAAAACATAAAAAGAAAGAAAAGAAAGGTGCATTTACAAAGCTAAATTCTATCTGCTTATTGCTTTCAAGTGTATTCAGATAATATTAATTTACTGTCTAAATGTTAGATACAGGAAATTATATCTATATTTATAATATCAAAATGATGTTGTTTAATCCACTTTTTGATATTTGTAAGATATATCTTTATCTCAATATTTCAGCCTTCTTGTTTTAAATGTTACTCTTAGGAATAAAATATAACTCAACTTGATTTTAACCAACCAGAGAGTCTCTCTTTTAACCTATGAGCTTAGCCACTTACATTAATTACAATTCCTGGTATGCTTTAGAATTATTTCCAGCAGGTTGCTATGGCTGTTCAAATATTTTGTCAAGTTGTTTTATTATTATTTTTTGCCCTGCCTTTTAATTTATTGAACCAATCTTCTTTCTTTCTTTTTCCCTTGCTAGTGATTTGGAAGTTGTAAATTCTATTTCTAACAGTTAAATGGATATCCTTAAAAGTTTAGTAGCAACACAGGAGGTCCATTCCAAGATGGCCAAATAGGAACAGCTCAAGTCAGCAGCTCCTAGTGTGATTGATGCAGAAAATGGGTGATTTCTGCATTTCCAACTCGGGTACCTGGTTCATCTCACTGATACTAGTCAGAAAATGGGTGCAGCCCATGGAGGGTGAGATGAAGCAGGGTGGGGGCATCACCTCACCCAGGAAGTGCAAAGGATCATGGGATTTCCCTTTCCTAGCCAAGGGAAGCCATGACAGACTGTACCAGGAAAATCAGGACACTGCCACCCAAACACTGTGCTTTCCCAATGGTCTTAGCAAATGGCACACCAGGAGATTATATCCTGTACCTGGCTTAGTGAGTCCCATACCCACGAAGCCTTGCTCACTGCTAGCACTGCAGTCCGAGATCAAACTGCCATGTGGCCGCCTGGCTTGGGGAGGGGCGTCCACCATTGCTAAGGCTTGAGTAGGTAAACAAAGTGGCTGGGAAGCTCAAAGTGGGGGGAGCCCACAGCAGCTCACTGAGGCCTGACTGCCTGTATAGACTCCACCTCTCGGGGCAGGGCATAGCTGAACAAAAAGTAGCAGAAACTTCTGCGACTTAAACATCTCTGACAGCTCTGAAGAGAGCAGTGGTTCTCCTAGCATGGTATTTGAGCTCTGAGAACAGACAGGTTGCCTCCTCAAGTGGGTCACTGACCCCCATGTAGCCTAATTGGGAGAAAAAAGAGTAAAAAGAACAAAGCCTCCAAGAAATATGGGACTATGTGAAAAGCCCAAATCTATGCTTGACTGGTATACCTGAAAGTGATGGGGAGAATGGAACCTCCCAGTAGGGGCTGACAGACACCTCATAGAGGTGGGTGCCCCTCTAAGACAAAGCTTCCAGAGGAAGAATCAGGCAGCAATATTTGCTGTTCTGTAATATTTGCGTTCTGCACCTCTGCTGGTGATACCCAGGCAAACAGGCTCTGGAGTGGACCTCCAGCAAACTCCAACAGACCTGCAGCTGAGGGACCTGACTGTTAGAAGGAAAACTAACAAACAGAAAGGAATAGCATCAACATCAATAAAAAGGACATCCACACCAAAACCCCATCTGTAGGTCACTGTCATCAAAGACCAAAGGTAGATAAAACCACAAAGATGGGGAGAAACCAGAGTAGAAAAGCTGAAAATTCTAAAAACCAGAGCACCTCTTCTCCTCCAAAGGATCGCAGCTCCTTGCCAGCAATGGAACAAAGCTGAATGGAGAATAACTTTGACAAGTTGACAGAAGTAGGCTTCAGAAAGTCAGTAATAACAAACTTCTCTGAGCTAAAGGAGGATGTTTGAACCCATAGCAAAGAAGCCAAAGATGTTGAGAAAAGATTAGACTAATAGGTAACTAGAATAAACAGCATAGAGAAGACCTTAAATGACCTGAGTGAGCTGAAACCATGGCACGAGAACTACATGACCCATGCAGAAGCTTCAGTAGCTGGTTTGATCAAGTGGAAGAAAGGGTATCAGTGATTGAAGATCAAATGAATGAAATGAAGCAAGAAGAGAAGTTTAGAGAAAAAAGAGTAAAAAGAACAAAGCCTCCAAGAAATATGGGACTATTTGAAAAGCCCAAATCTATGCTTGACTGGTATACCTGAAAGTGATGGGGAGAATGGAACCAAGCTGGAAAACACTATTCAGTATATTATCCAGGAAAATTTCCCCAACCTAGCAAGACAGGCCAACATTCAAATTCAGGAAATAACAGAGAACATCACAAAGATATCCCTTGAGAAGGGCAAGCCCAAAACACATAATTGTCAGATTCACCAAGGTTGAAATGAAGGAAAAAATGTTAAGGGCAGCCAGAGAGAAAGGTCTGGTTACCCACAAAGGGAAGGCCTTCAGAATAACAGTGGATCTCTCAGCAGAAACTCTACAAGCCAGAAGAGAGTGCAGGCTAATATTCAACATTCTTAAAGAAAAGAATTTTCAACCCAGAATACCATATCCAGCCAAACTAAGCTTCATACATGAAGGAGAAATAAAATTGTTTACAGACAAGCATATGCTGACAGATTTTGTCACCACCAGGCCTGCCTTACAAGAGCTCCTGAAGGAAGCACTAAACATGGAAAGAAACAACTGGTAACTGCCAATGCAAAAACATGCCAAATTGTAAAGACCATCAATGCTAGGAAGAAACTTTATCAACTAATGGGCAAAATAACCAGCTAACATCATGACGACAGGATCAAATTCACACATAACAACATTAACCTTTAATGTAAATGGGCTAAATGCCCCAATTAAAAGACACAGACTGGCAAATTGGATAAAGAGTCAAGACCCATCAGTGTGCTGTATTCAGGAGACCCATCTCATGTGCAGAGATACACATAGGCTCAAAATAAAGAGATGCAGGAAGACCTACCAAGCAAATAGAAAGCCAAAAAGAAAAAAAAAAGCAGGGGTTATAATCCTAGTATCTGAAAAAACAGACTTTAAACCAACAAAGATCAAAAGAGACAAAGAAAGCCATTACATAATGGTAAAGGGATCAATTCAACAAGAAGAGATAACTATCCTAAATATATAAGCACCCAAAAAGAGAACCCAGATTCATAAGGCAAGTCCTTGGAGACCTACAGAGAGACTTAGACTCCCACACAATAATAATGGGAGACTTTAATACCCCACTGTTATTATGAGACAGATAAACGAGAAGAGAAGAAGAAGGTTAACAAGGATATCCAGGACTTGAACTCAGCTCTGCTCCAAGCAGACCTAATAGACATCTACATAACTCTCCACCCCAAATCAACAGATTATACATTCTTCTCAGCAACACATCACATTTATTTCAATACTGACCACATAGTTGGAAGTAAAGCACCCATCAGCGAATGTAAAAGAACAGAAATCACAACAAACTGTCTCTCAGACCACAGTGCAATCAAACTAGAACTCACGATTAAGAAACTCACTCAAAACCTCACAACTACATGGAAACTGAACAACCTGCTCCTGAATGACTACTGGGTACATAACAAAATGAAGACAGAAATAAAGAGGTTCTTCGAAACCAAAAAAAAAAAAAAGACACAACGTACCAGAATCTCTGCAATGCATCTAAAGCAGTGTGTAGAGGGAAATTTATACCACTAAATGCCCAAAAGAGAAAGCAGAAAAGATCTAAAATCAACACCCTAACGACACAATTAAAAGAACTAGAGAAGCAAGAGCAAATGAATTCAAAAGCTAACAGAAGGCGAGAAATAACTAAGATCAAAGCAGAGCTCAATGATACAGAGACACAAAAAACCTTCAAAAGATCGATGAATCCAGGAGCTGTTTTTTTTAAAAGATCAACAAAATAAATAGATTGCTAGCAAGAATAATAAAGAAGACAAGAGAGAAGAATCAAATAGATGCAATAAAAAATGATAAAGGGGATATCACCACTGATCCCATATCACCACTGATCCCACAGAAATACAAACTACCATCAGAGAATACTATAAACACATCTACGCAAATAAACTAGAAAATCTAGAAGAAATGGATAAATTCCTCGACACATACACCCTCCCAAGACTAAACCAGGAAGAAGTTGAATCCCTGAATAGACCAATAACAGGCTCTGAAATTGAAGCAATAATTAATAGCTGACCAACCAAAAAAAGTCCAGGACCAGATGGAATCACAGCTGAATTCAACCAGCAGTATAAAGAGGAGCTGATGTCATTACTTCTGAAACTATTCCAATCAATAGAAAGAGAGGGAATCCTCCCTAACTCATTTTATGAGGCCAGCATCATCCTGACACCAAAGTCTGGCAGAAACGCAACAAAAAAAGAGAATTTTGGACCAATGTCCCTGATGAACATTGATGCAAAAATCCTCAATAAAATACTGGCAAACCAAATCCAGCAGCACATCCAAAAGCTTATCCACCAAGATCAACTTGGCTTCATCCCTGGGATACAAGGCTGGTTCAACATACACAAATCAATAAACATAATCCATCATGTAAACAGAACCAAAGACAAAAACCACATGATTATCTCAATAGATGCAAAAAAGGCCTTCAACAAAGTTCAACAGCCATTTATACTAAAAAACTCTCAATAAACTAGATATTGATGGGACATATCTCAAAATAATAACTACTTATGACAAACCCATAGCCAATATCATACTGAATGATAAAACCTGGAAACATTCCCTTTGAAAAGTGGCACAAGACAGGGATGCCCTCTCACCACTCCTATTCAACGTAGTGTTGGAAGTTCTGGCCAGGGCAATCAGGCAAGAGAAAGAAATAAAAGGTATTCAGTTAGGAAAAGAAGTCAAATTGTTCCTGTTTGCAGGTGACATGATTGTATATTTAGAAAACCCCATTGTCTCAGCCCCAAATCTCCTTAAGCTGATAAGCAACTTCAGCAAAGTCTCAGGATACAAAATCAATGTACAAAAATCACAAGCATTCCTATACACCAACAACAGACAAACAGAGAGCCAAATCATGAGTGAACTCCCATTGACAATTGCTACAAGGAGAATAAAATACCTAGAAATCCAACTTACAAGGGACTTGAAGGCCCTCTTCTAGGAGAACTACAAACCACTGCTCAAGGAAATAAAAGAGGATACAAACAAATGGAAGAACATTCCATGCTCATGGGTAGGAAGAATCAATATTGTGAAAATGGCCATACTGCCCAAGGTAATTTATAGATTCAATGCCATCCTCATTAAGCTACCAATGACTTTCTTCACAGAATTGGAAAAAACTACCTTAAAGTTCATATGGAGCCAAAAAAGAGCCTGCATTGCCAACACAATCCTAAGCAAAAACAACAAAGCTGGAGGCATCACGCTACCTGACTTCAAACTGTACTACAAGGATATGGTAACCAAAATAGCATGGTACTGGTACCAAAACTGAGATATAGACCAATGGAACAGAACAGAGGATTCAGAAATACCACCACACATCTATAACCATCTGATCTTTGACAAACCTGACAAAAACAAGCAATGGGGAAAGGATTCCCTATTTAATAAATGGTGCTGGGAAAACTGGCTAGCCATATGTAGAAAGCTGAAACTGGATCCCGTCCTCATATCTTATAAAAAATTAATCCAAGATAGATTAAAGACTTAAATGTTAGACCTAAAACCATAAAAACTCTAGAAGAAAGCCTAGACAATACCGTTCAGGACATAGGCATGGGCAAGGACTTCATGACTAAAACACCAAAAGCAATGGCAACAAAAGCCAAAATAAGGCAAATGAGACCTAATTAAACTAAAGATCTTCTGCACAGCAAAGAAACTACCATCAGAGTGAACAGGCAACTTACAGAATGGGAGAAAATTTTTGCAATCTAACCATCTGACAAAGGGCTAATATCCAGAATCTACAAAGAATTTAAACAAATTTACAAGAAAAATCAAACAACCCCATCAAAAAGTGGGCAAAGGATATGAACACACACTTTTCAAAAGAAGACTGTTACGCAGCCAAGAGACACATGAAAAAATGCTCATCATCACTGGTCATCAGAGAATGCAAATCAAAACCACAATGAGATACCATCTCACACCAGTTAGAATGGCGATCATTAAAAAGTCAGGAAACAACAGGTGCTGGAGAGGATGTGGAGAAACAGGAACACTTTTACAGTGTTGGTGGGAGTGTAAACTAGTTCAACCATTATGGAAGACAGTGTGGCAATTCCTCAAGGACCTAGAACTAGAAATACCATTTGACCCAGCAGTCCCATTACTGGGTATATACTCAAATGATTATAAATCATGGTACTATAAAGACACATGCACACACATGTTTACTGCGGCCCTATTCACAATAGCAAAGACTTGGAACCAACCCAAATGTCCATCAATGGTAGACTGGATTAAGAAAATGTGGCACATATATACCATGGAATACTATGCAGCCCTAAAAAAGGATGAGTTCATGTCCTTTGCAGGGTCATGGATGAAGCTGGAAACCATAATTCTCAACAAACTACTCCAAGGACAGAAAACTAAACACCGCATGTTCTCTCACTCATAGGTAGGAATTGAACAATGAGAACATTTGGACACAGGGTGGGGAACATCACACACTGGGGCTTGTTGTGGGGTAGGGCGATGGGGGAGGGATAGCATTAGGAGAAATACCTAATGTAAATGATGAGTTAATGGGTGCAGCAAACCAACATGGCACATGTATATATATGCAGCAAACCTGCACATTGTGCACATGTACCCTAGAATGTAAAGTATAATAATAATAATAAAAAGTTTAGTAACAACACAAAACTTAGCAAAGTGTAAAACAAATAAATATCTCTACATTATAACCAAATTATGAGAGACTTAGGATGTTCTAACTTCAGTACCTTCTCTTACTTTTTATGTTGCTGTTACTTAATATTTTGTACACTTTACTTAATATGTTTCAACTTCATTATAACTATCAGTATACTTTTCTTTGTGAAACAAGTTTTTTATTGGTTTTAGTAATTTTTTTTTTTTTTTGAGACAGAGTCTCAGTCTTGTTGCCCAGGCTGGAGTGCGGTATCACAGTCTTGACTCACTGCAACCTCTGCCTCCCTGGTTCAAGGGGTTCTCCTGCCTCAGCCTCCCAAGAAGCTGTGATTACAGGCATGTGCCACCATGCCTGGCTAATTTTTATATTTTTAGTAGAGACAGGTTTTACCATTTTGGCCAGGCTGGTCTTGAACTCCTGACCTCAAGTGATCTGCCCATCTCAGCCTCCCAAACTGTTGGGATTACAGGTGTAAGCCACCATGCTCAGCCGATTTTGGTAATTGTTTATTATTGTAAATTATATATAACATAAATTTTTACCATTTTAACCATTTTTAAGTGTTAAATTCAGTGGCATTGTTTATACATGGTATAGTACAAACACTCCATTTTCTTGAACTTTTTCATCATCTCAAACTCTGTACCTATAAACCAGTAGCTCCTCATAACTCTGCCCAATCCCCTGGTAAACTCTATGCCTGTCACTCTGAATTTGCCTATTCTGTATACATATGTTACATACATAGAATCATACAATATTTTGTGTCTGGGTTACTTCTCTTAGCAAAATTTTTTCTAGGTTGACACACTTTGAAATATGTATCAGAATTTCATTTTTTAAGGTTGAATTATATCTTACTGCATGTATAGACCACATTTTGTTGTTTATCCATTCATCTGTTGTTGAACATTTTGATTGTCTTCACCTTCTATCTTGAATAATGCTGCTCAGTGTACAAGAATGTGTTTGAGTTCTTGCTTTTAATTATTTGGGGTTTATATCTACAAGTGTAAGAGCTGGATTATGTGGTCATTTTATGTTTAACTTATTGAAAAACCTTCAAACTGAACAAGTTGGTTCCTGCAGTCTTTTACGTTCCCATCAGCAATGTGTGTGATCCAATTATTCCACATTCTGGTCAACACTTGTTACTTCCTGTTTTGTTTAGTTTTTATTATAGTCATTTAAATATGTGATGATTGTGGCTTTGATTTGCATTTTCTTGATAAATGATGTTGAGCACATTTTCACATGCTTATTGGGCATTTATATGTCTTCTTTGAAAAAGTGTCTATTCAAGTTTTTTGCCCTTTTTAAAAATTGGATTGTTGTTTAATTGTAGCAGTTCTTTATATATGGTAGGTATTAATTTGTTACCAGATATAAAACTTGTAAATGTTTTCTTTCATTTACAGACTATCTTTTCACTCTCTTGATAGTGTTCTTTGTTGCAATATCAATTTTGATAAAGTCCAATTTAGCTATTCATTTTTGTTTGATGCCTCTCTTTTTGGTGTCATATCCAAGAAGGCACTGACAAATTGATGGTCATGAAGATTTTACCTGATGTTTTATTCTAAAAGTTTTTTAAAAATAGTTTTAATTCCTACATTTAAACTTTTGAAACATTTGAGTTAATTTATATTATTATGTTTTTACATAACAAAATTTATTTAGATTTGTATATACATTAATTTTGTCTTCTTACCTTTCCCTTTGCATCTCAAATGTTGCTGGGCTTAACTTTCTCCGTTATTAAGTATTTTACAAGTTCTCTCAGTAAATTTTGATTAGTGTTAAATTTTTTTCAAGCTATGAAGTATCTTTTTTTTTCCCAAAGCCTCAATTTAGAATGAAAGCTTAACAATATATAGACATATGCTCATTCCTTATTTTCTCTCAACTCCTTGAAGATATTTGAATATCTTCTACTTTTAAACGATTAATATTGAGAAATCTCTTGTTAAGTATAATGGTATTGCTTTGCGGATAAACTGACTTTTTTAACCCAGCTGGAGTTATCCCGTTTCTCTTTGCTGACTGCAATTTCAGTATAATAGGGGAATTGTGAAAAGCTTTTTTCCTAAATCTGAGAAAAATATTCTTTATTCATTCTGCCAAATTCTGAGAAATTATCCTTTCAAATGCAACCTCTCTCCAATTCTATTTTCCTTTTCTATTAAATATAACTACTGTTAATGTATATCATATTTTCTACCTTTCATTCTCTTACTATGCTTTCATAATTTCATTTTTTCTTTCTGAGCTGCATACTTGTAAATACTACATATGTATTATTTCTAAATTAACCTTTTATTTTAAAATAGTTTTAAATTTACAAATAAAGTTACAAAATAGTACTTTTTATTGAATATTTAGTCTCTTTAATTATTAACAATTATCATAATTTGTGATCCACTGTAGTCCCCAGCACCCATGACACACCTACTGAGGGCTCTTGTAACCTCTGACTGGGCCCCTAGCCATGCAGGCTACTGCCGGCCAAGAGAGCAGATACCCTTTGGAATAACATAATTTCCACATATCTCATGTCCCCACAAAACACTGAATCAAGTCAATGAGCCTGAATTAGCCAGACCTGTTTGTGAAATAAATAACAAATATTGTTAAATAAATAAATAAAAATAAAATATCATCATGAAACCTGAAGTTACATAGACCTCTTTCTATAATTTTCCATTTTAATTTTACATTAATAATTCTTGTGATTTATTTTTGCAAAAGGCATAGAGTCTACTATTATTCTCAAACTTATTTTTTAGTTAATTAACCTTTTCTTAATTCAAACCTTATTTATAATTTCTCCATATAATTTCTTAAATTTAATGACTATAATTTTCTTTTGGTAAAATTTTCATTAGTATAAAAAAACTCACTATTTTTAAAAGTCATACCTTATTTCTTTTCCATGTTTAAAATTTTTACATTGTATAAATGTTTTTACATTAAATCTACTTCTATTGGAATGTAGAAATGTTTCCAAATTTACTGCTGTGAAATTTTCTTCAGAAATTTCTATTATTTAAAATTCTAACAGGCACAATATTTGGAGTTTCAGCAGTGAGTAAGACAAAGAACAAGATAGGCGAGACAGTGAAGTAGGATTGAAACCTGAAAGTCACCAAGGACAAGAGAAAAAGGTTCTAGGCAAGAGGGTTGTGAGGTGGAAATATGCACAGATGACTGACTAAAGGCATTACAAGCATACATTATCCACTTAAGAGAACAAAAATCATGTGTAGATAATCAAACTTTAAATACATTATCCAAGACAGTATACATGAATTTAACAGAAAAACAATAGAAAAAACCAGAAACTAGGAAGGGGAGGAAAGAGGCAGCCTGCTTGGCTTGAACTGGCTGAGACCTGGGAGTGACTTCCTAATGTGGAGGGAGGGTGAGCTAGAACGGTGTTTTTGTTTGTTTTGAGACGAAGTCTCGCTCTTTTCCCCCAGGCTGTAGTGCTAGGCTCACTGCAACCTCCACCTCCCGGGTTCAAGCGATTCTCCTGCCTCAGCCTGGGATTACAGGCGCCTGCCACCATGCCCGGCTATTTTTTTTGTTTTTGAGACGGAGTCTCGCTCCCTCGCCCGGGCTGGAGTGCAGTGGTGTGATCTCGGCTCACTGCAAGCTCCGCCTCCCGGGTTCACGCCTTCACGCCATTCTTCTGCCTCAGACTCTGGAGTAGCTGGGACTACAGGCACCCGCCACCATATCCGGCTAATTTTTTGTATCTTTTTTCTTTCTTTTTCTTTTTTAGTAGAAACGGGGTTTCACCGTGTTACCGAGGATGGTCTCGATTTCCTGACTTCGTGATCCGCCCGCCTCGGCCTCTCGAATTGCTGGGATTACAGGTGAGCCACCGTGTCATGCCAGTTTTGTATTTTTAGTAGAGATGGGGTTTTGCCATGTTGGCCAGGCTAGTCTGGAACTCCTGACCTCAGGTGATCCGCCCGCCGCGGCCTGCCAGAGTGCTGGGTTTACAGGCGTGAGCCACCACGTTTTGTGGTTCATTTTACCACTGAGAAATTATACAATTCAGGCTACTGGAGAGCACCTTGACCCTCTCAAACCCTGAATATAATTTGGGGAGTGGCAAGAAGACTGTGAAAAGAAACTGTCCCGGGAAGGGAGCTCACCCTGGATCCCCCGACCCTTTCTGAGACCTAAGCAGCTACAGCAAGGTGCCATTTTTTATCTGTCATTTTAACAGACTGTGCATTGTACTATGCTGGACCTACACGTTAGGGAAACTCAGGTTGTTGCTTTTGGCACTTGATCATGGGGAGGGAGTTTTCTCCCACAACCAAGACTAGAAAGCGAGTGTGCTGTGGGCTACCAGTGACAGTACTGAGACACAGAATTGCCCCACATATGGGGTCCTGCCCCACATTCCCTGTGGCAGGACCTCAATAGTAAGGTGGCTGTCTCCCACACAAGCATTAAAACCTGCCCTACCCCTTCCATTCATGGCTACAGAGGCTTGGGGCTGGGCAGGAACTTCCATGGTTTGGGGCTGATGTAGGATAGGCTCAAATTGCCGAATCTGACCCTGATGGGTCAGTGAGGTCAGCTGTGACAGATGGGTCTGAGGGGTAAGACACTCTAGGACTGGAGGATTTGAATGATGTGAGTCCCTCCCCTGCTGGGCAAGGCTGTGGCCTCTGAGGCTGTCTCACATTCCCCGTAGCAGGACCTCAGTGGGGAGGTGGCTGCCTCCTACACAAGCATTACACCAGAGGCCTGCCCCACCCTTCCCATCATGGCTAGTAAATACACTCCACATTGGAGCACCTGAGCAAAAAACCCACTCACCCCAGCTCCACCAGGCTTTGCTGACTCCTCTCAGACAGAAGGCATTGTCCAGGGTCCTGGGTGTTGCACCCAGTCCACCAGCTGGGTCACCAAAGTACTCCTCCTAGAGGTCTGACTTTGGGCCTAAACACACTTCTATTATCACCTCAGCAGGCTCCTACCTGCAAGTGCCACCTACTGACCCACACAGCCCATTGCAACCACTGCCAACACAAATGCAGAGTGCTTAGGGCCCAGAAGAGCATCTAACCAGTGCTAGTCCTATTAACAATACCCTGCCAGCCACCCTAGGGGTCAATAGCCCATTCACTTGCCCTGTCCTCTGCTTCTGGCATCCACAGAAGCCACCCAGAGACCCAAGAATTGGTGCAGGCATACACCCTCCTGGGGCACAAGGTTAGAGATTAGCAAACCACTGAGACTACCAAAACCTAAATACAGTTTTTCTGGCATTCCAGTGCCCAGAAAAATATCACCACAGACTTAACTAATAACTGCACCTGACACATCACACAAACCACAGATTAAAATAATGCAATTTATAGTCAAAGAAACCATGCAAAGTGTGTGTACCCAGCACAAAGCCAAAGGACCCTACCCAACCAACATAATAGAAACATCTTTAGGGAAAATTCTCTATGCAAAAGAATAAATTCAAAAATTGGAAGTAGTGACTGTTACTCTTGATGCACACTTGTCAATATAAAAACATTAGAAACTTCAAAAAGCAAAGAAAGTCCAGGCATGGTGGCTTATACCTGTGATCTCAACACTTTGGGATACCAAGGCAGGGTAACTTGAGCTCAGGAGTTTGACAGCAGCCAGACTGAAAGTTTAAAATGAGAAAATTGTATGTCATGTAAACAAAAACCAAAAGCAAGCAGGAACAGCTGTACTTAGAACAAAGAGACACTGACCAGTGTCATTCACCAGTTTTTGTGAAGCAAAGTGACCTCCACATTCCCTGAGCATCTTCTTCACTTCTGCCTCAACAACTCCTTGACCACAGACATGTCGCTGTGTTTCCATACTCACAGTAGTGGCTGTGGTGGCTTCCATAAACACAGAGGAGATGGTGTCATGACAGCCTGAATGATTTCTGCTCCTTCTCATCCAGCATGGGTCTCAATTACAACTATAGCCTTACGGTTCCAGCTCAGGCTAGGACAGCTCCAAGCTTCCAATCTCACGACCACTTTGCATCAACAGTAGCAGCCACCACCACTGCAGAACTCTTCCAAGCCTGTTATTGTTCAGGGTCTGCTTCTAGAGTACTACCATGCTGTCAGCCTCTGGCTCACCTGCTAACCACTTCCCTGACCTCCAGGGATCCATCAGGGCCAGGGTAAGGCCCAACCCCAACCCTGCCAGCCACCATCACTTTAACCCCCCTAGGGCACTTTTACCTGCTTCATCAAGCAGCAGGGTCCCAACCAGTACCCTTTAGGCCAGAGGTCTACCTCCTCTGCTGGTAGGGGGCACAGTTGTGGGGCCTTGGCAGTGCCTGATGGTGCCAAAGGTGGCAAAACACCTGTCAGGCCAAAATCAGATGGTGGCCTGGGTCTAAGTGTTACTGGTGGAGGGTGTCCGAGTTCTTGGCATTTAGAACAAAGAACCGGTGAAAACACAAAAAGAAAGTACAGAAAGAATCGAGCAACAAAAGCAGATATTTATTGAAAACAAAAGTACAGTTCACAGGGTGAGAGTGGGCACAGGCATAGGGGCTCAAGAACCCCATTACAAAATTTTCTGTGGTTTAAGTACCCTCTACAGGTTTCTATTGCTTACTTGGTATACACCCTATGTAAATGAAAATGATGAAATAAAGTTACAAAGTCATCTACTCATTGTACGCCCTATGTAAATGGTAGAGTATATTTCCTGTGATAGCAAAAGTGTTTCCATTTGATTTAGTTCTAGGAAGTCAGTGTGAATTGGTTTGATGTTTCCTGCCTCTAGACCCTGTTTTTCTGCCTCATTTCTTCCTGAGAGATGTGATCCCCATAAATCATTACGGGAGGCAGTGAGACCAATGGTCTTTTTTTTTTTTTTTTGTAACTACTTCATGCTGGCTTGGGGTATAGTCCTTACCTACTGGGCATCATGGAACTCTTGCCCTGCTCTGTCTAGTGGAGGCAGGGTAGCTCCCTGATAGGCAGGGGTGTTGTCTTGACCTGGAACTGGCTGAAACCCTTGTTGCATGACCTTCTGAAGTTTAATGGTCTCCAGGTGAGAGGAAATGAACTTGGTTAAAAGATTTAATGGAAGCTTTAGGGGTGGATATCTGTACTATTAAAAATGGTTGTTATAGAGATTTGCAGGAGAAAAACAAAACCTGGTCTGTGGTTTGTCCTAGGATCTATGTGTTTCCTTAAAGCCTTAGCATGAGTGATTCCATTTTAGTTTTGTTTGGTCTGTTGAATTCTAGTGCATAAGTTCAATCCAAAACAATAGCTTTCCATAACTTTGTTTTTAAAAAATCCTCATTTGGTCAGGTTCTCACTTAGGTGAGAGTGTGGCCAAAACTCCACTCTCAGTTACCATCATTTTGGGTTACTGGTCTCAGCACATCATTCATAAGTTACATTATCCTCAGGGTTGCATATTTCTTTCAGCTCTTGTCATTCCACTTGAAAAGTGACCATTTGACATTCTAGAGATGGCTGCCAGAAAGCACTTAAAACCTTTGAGAGAATACAGCACACTAGGGATACTATTATTTTGACTATTGGGAGGATAATACCAAGAGTTTGGAGGATGCTCTTTACCCAGAGTCCTCATAAACCAAACCCCTAAAATTGAATAGATCAAAGAATGCACTGGATAGAGTCTATTTATTAACTAAGCAATCTCTTTATCAGTCCCCTACCACTGAATCTCTATAATCTTCATTTGGTGTATTTCTCCATAGGCCACAAGTGTCAGCAACTGCACAGATACTTCTCTGTTCAGCCAATTCTATCATAACTTTCACAAGAGAATTTAGTCTGTTGTGTATCTATAGTCTTTACAGTAAAATCTGCTATAGAGCCTATTATGAGGGATACATTCCTTTTTTTTTTAACTCTAAACTATGGAAAAAGGACTTACCAAATCATGCCCTTCTAGAAGAGTGAAGTCTTCCTTGCAATGTTTTTTTCTTTAACCCATGATGTGGTTTAAGATGAGTGAACCAATGTTCTGTTTCTGATTTTGAGGCAATGTATGTACCACTAAAGCTTTTCACTTACATTAGGCCTTCATATTTTATCGAAGTGTGTTATCCATATACAAGGCTGACTGCAAACTCCTTCACAAATGAAAGTATACCTTGTAAGTGCACATATCAGACCACTTTTCCACTTCTATTGTTCATGGAGGCATAAGCAAGAAAAAATATTAAAAGATAAGAGTCTCATGACAGTAGAAGTCTTAATCTGTGAACTTAGGAAAAGCTGTTCACATCAAGGATGCCATCTTCTTGGGAAAAACTTCCCTGGTTAGTTTTACCTTAACAGTTCATATGAGAGTACTGTTTCAAGAGTGTGGAGGGGTCCTTCTCTGTTGTGAGATGATGAATCCAAAGTTCAAGTTTCCAAAGCTTTACTGCAATGTGGATGGCAAGGACAATCTTTGTCTGATGTTCTCAGAAGATTCAATCTTAGGGTTCTGTGTTGTGAAAAGGTTGTCCTCAGTGAACCATAAAATGCTTTCTTCACCTGGTGAAAATACACTAAATAATAACTTAGTGTAATAATGTCAGCCCTTTTGCATGGGACAGCTTTTATACAACAAGAAAACATGCATTGAAAATAACATTTGAGGCTGGGTGTGATGGCTCATGCCTGTAATCCCAGCACTTTGGGAGGCCGAGGCAGATGAATCACTTTAGGTCAGGAGTTCGAGACTAGCCTGGCCAACATGGTGAAACACCATCTCTACTGAAAATACAAGAATTAACCAGCTATGGTGGCATGTGCCTACAATCCCAGCTATGTGGGAGGCCGAGGCAGAAGAATTGCTGGAACCCAGGAGACGGAGGTTTCAGTGAACTCAGATTGCACCATTGCACTCCAGCCTGGGTGAAAAGACTGAGACTCTGTCCCCTGCAAAAAAGAAAACATTTGAATTAAATCCCTTTATAAAATTTTTAAATGGCCCATCAGGTGACCAAATGTACCTGAAGCTTTGATTGTTTTCCAGGAATATGGAACCAAACATTGGTTATAAACTGTTTTAGTAATATAAAAGTCATCACATGAATATACTCAATTTGGATCATTTTATATTTTCCATCATGAGTCATGGTATACATATCTTTTAATAGTAAAAACTTTAAAAACTCAGGAAGGACAAAGTGGCCTCTCTGGTTCTCCATAAGTCCATGCTTACTTAACTTTAGACTTATATCCTCTTGAATACCAGCTGCTTCTTCAAATTAGGTGCATAGCATTGATAATTGGAGTTAGTATAGGTAATTTGACTTAGACCATGGAGTCCATTGAAATTGTACATCTAAACAATTTCAGTAGCAGCTGGCTTAACATGGAAACTTGATAAGATATTTTCTTGGTATTTAATTAATTGTTTTGTTCTACTTGGGTTAGAACAAGGAAATTTGGTTATTTCTTTTGTCTACAATAAGTTAACATAATAATCATAATTGTAATTGATAGCATATACTCAGACATATTAGAATTTTAGGAATCTCATATAATTTTGGAACATCTATTAATATTATTCACTATAATATAATCTAAAGCTGACTAATTTTTTTTTTATTTTGGCAATGCTTGCCATGTAACTAAACATGTCAAAGAATAAAAGACAATTTTAAAGCTGAAATTTTATTTTGGGAAGTCTATTAAATATGCTAAAGGTTTAAAAAATTTACATTCTCATGACTTCTTATAATCTTTTACCAAAAACACATTCTATTGTTCTTACATACCTTGCATGTAAAACTGTTTCTAGTAGTCTGAATTACATGTTATAAGGGTGACTTTTAGCAATTTTAATTTTAATGTCAACCCTCGTAAATTATATTGATTATGTCCTAGGTGCTAAGGCTATTTCTAGCGTAGCTGGGTGTGTGGCCAACTCCATATGACCCTAGGCCTTACCTAGCTGTACAGCAGGCAAGTTAAACAATTTTCAAAACAACATAATTTAGACTACATGTTTACATTTCGAAGACATTTATATTTTACCAGTAAACTTTAAAACTGTTTTTTATTTTCCAAGGATATCTCAAGTCACATGATCTAAATAAAAGGCATGTTACACTTAACAGAGCAGGAGCATCACCACCTTGGACAAGCTCCTAATTCTAAAGTTCACTTTAATAAAAAACCACCTAAATCCAAAGGGCATCAGTCTAATGGCTAAGGTCAGCATAACCATAAACCACAAATAATATCTCCAACCAGAAACATTCCAAACTCTTCTCTGACCAGAGACATGCTAGACCCAAGATAAGCCTCCTCCAGCTGGGAAGATGCCAGCCTCGATTTAACCCCCTCCGGGCCGGTAAGATGTCTGCCCCAAGATAACCTCCCCTCCTCCCAGAGAGATTCCAACCCTGCCATAAACTTCTCCACACACATAAACATTCCAAGCTTCTAAGTTCCCTCACCCTGAAACCAATATACACCCTTAGTCTGTAAGAGAAAGGGCTCCTGACTGAAATTGGCCAGGGGTGCGTCTCAGGTTTTAACTAAAGAAAACCTGTCTTTAACTGACAGACATGTTTCATGTTGCTTTCCTCTTTCTGTAGCTCTTACAACACTTTTTACTTTCTTGACAAAATATTTGATTTAAGCTTATTATTATTAAAACAATTAATTAAAGCTCCTTTATATTACACACACAACACATATAAACACACATACAGACAGAAGATAAAGGACTAATTCCCTAAGCAAGACCCTAAACCTGGGCCACCACTCTGAAAACAGAAAGCATGGCCACATGATTACAAGGTCAAGCTCCCAGGACATGACTGACCAGTCTGCTGGGCCATCTTGAATAGTGGACCTACAGGGTCCTAGGCACACATTTTATTCTAAGGTACCCCTTTTTATGATAGACCAATATGGAAAGACAGACACACAAAGCACATCAGATTCACTACAGCTTAAGACCAGCCTTGGGATTTTTTTGTATTAATTAAAACTTTACAGAGGAGATAAGCGGTGACTTTTAGTATTTATTTAACGAGTTTTCACAGAGAGAGAGGGCCAGAGTCTGACTGGTAAGAAATTCTTACCCTTTTCCCAGCATGCCACGTTTCTGGGTTATCTCCCTAACAGCCCTACCAACTCTGCTTAACTGTAAACACCTTGCCATGAATTAAGAATATTCACAAATAGTTTATAAATTTTGGAGAAATCAGGCAGAGAAAGAAATATGACTAAAATTCTACTTATGAGTGTATTCTTAACACACTTAAAGTATCAGGAAGCCTAAAATCCAAAAATGTTAGTTTAAAGTTGAAAAGCTTGTGTGCTCCATTAATTTCTGAGGGCCTGAAAAAAGTAGCCTAGGAATTCTAGATAAATGGAACAAATGATGACTTGCTAGAAATGCATAGGAAACAAAATAACCATTCACAAAACCAAATAAAAGCCTTCTACTAGAAACTTTTTTAAAAAATTATGGGTTTATATATGCATCCCCAAGCAAAGCCAGAGGAGAATAAACAGCGAACAAATGAAAATTAGAAGCTAAACAAATAAACAGGAAATCAACCCTAACTTTTTCTAACTCAATTTACCCTAAAGGATACAGTGTTACCCAGGGCCCCAAAAAACCCACATAATGAGTATTTTATTCCTGATTCACAATTCAATATCCTTAAGTTTACCAATATCATAATACATTCTGTGCAATCAAGAAGTTCACTTTGGGCCAGACGTGGTGGCTTGTGCCTGTAATCACTGGACTGTGGGAAGCTAGAGCAGGCAAATCCTTTGAGGTCAGGAGTTCAAGATCAGACTAGCCAACATGGTGAAAACCCATCTCTACTAAAAATACTACAGGTAGCCAGGCATGGTGGCACACACCTGCAATCCTGGCTACTCAGCAGGCTGAAGCAGGAGAATCACTTGAACCTGGGAGGCAGAGGTTGCAGTGAGCTGAGATCAAGCCACTGCACTCCAGCCTAGGCAACAGAGAAAGACTCCATTTCAAAACAAAAAAGTTTACTTTAGGCACATGACCAATAAGTATTCCAGTACCAGCACAACCCATGCAAAACAGTGAACAGTATGAAGCATTGCAAGCACAGATGTAAAATTTGGCTCCACACTAAATTTGGCTTCATGCTTAACTACATTAAAAAAAAGAATTGCCAAACTGTAGATATGATACTTCTTATTTTGCTTTAATCAGGATTGAGAGCTTTATGAAAATGTTATTAGCTAAATGTCTCCAATTCTGTATCAGGTCCTAAAGAATATTTTATTATCTAAACTTTTTCCATATCTTTCTCCTCTACTTAGTGGTTCCTTACTACATTGTTTCATAAATAACATTTTAAAATCTGTAATTTGAACTAATATTTAGATAACTTCTGAGTTAGACAAAATTATTATTTTTCTCACTAATAACATAATGCTTGTTGGCACATTTTGTATACAGAATTATGTGTTAACTAGAATTTTTTTTTTCTTTCCTTTTCTTTTTGAGACAGTTTTCCTCTTGTCACCCAGGCTGGAGTGCAGTGGTGCAATCTCAGCTCACTGCAACCTCTGCCTCCTAGTTTCAAGCAATTCTCTAGCCTCAGCCTCCTGAGTAGCTGGGATTACAAGTGCCTGCCACCACACCTGGCCAAATTTTGTATTTTTAGTAGAGATGGGGTTTTGCCATGTTGGCCAGGCTGGTCTCAAACTCCTGACCTCAGGTGATCCATCCACCTTGGCCTCCCAAAGTGCTGCGATTACAGGTGTGAGCCACCGTGCCCGGCTGTGTTAACTAGAATTCTTATCCTTACTAACCTAAAGCTTTAGTGAAACCTTAAAAAGCAAGAAATCCTGAACTATCAGATATGGACATTTATAGATCAGAATAATTCCACAATTTTTAGAAACATATTTCCCCCTATCATAACCTGTTCTTAGTCAGAAATTACCCAGATATTGAGTGAACATCAAAAATAATTTGAAGATTTTAATTTACACAAAAAGTTTACCTAAAACATTATCCTTCATTACACTCACTTCTTTCACTTTTAATGGTTTATCTAGATTACTCTGTAAACTGAGATATTAGTATCATTTAAAGTTAGTTATTTCCTTGTTAACCATATTTTTAGTAGTCTGTGAATATCAGGTGCTCACCTAAACCTAAATAAGAGCCTCAAAGTTAAAAACCTAGGTATTTTTGCCAATAACGCAAAAAGTTTAGCCAACATTTAATTGCTCAAAAAAGGGTGGGGACACACGCAAACAAAGATCATTTTATTTTGGCTGGCTTTACAGTTTTATAACCTTCTACAACAAACACTGACATCTCAAAATTATCTAGCAAAGACAAACATAAAATCCAGACAAAAATGTATGCAGCCAATTCTGAAGGCATTTGTGTTTTTATTTTACCAACAACTTTAAAGCCAGCTTGTTTAGGAAAGTTATATCGAGTCATGTGAACTTGAAAATTGCTTACACTTATTTACTTAATTTCTTGGCACTCTTTCACTTAGGCCAATTTGGTAGACACAACATATAACAATAAGTGTACATACAAATAAACACATCTAGATATGGATACACATACACAAATGAAGATCTAATTGCTTAAAATCCTAGCCATGAGATAACAGTATGTGGAATACAGTAAGAAATTCTTCTTCAAAGGTCCAGCTTGTTTAAGTTTCCTCATCCTTTGTTCCCTGCTTTCAAGGCCATACTTCTTTACTTTTTGTGTCCCCCCGCCCTGGTAAACAACTTTCCCACCAGTCCTTATCTATAGAGCCTACATTCCACATCTGCTACCCACTCTGTGAGTTAGCCCTCCCCATCAGGAAACGGCTACTCCCAGCCAAAACTGACTTTCCCACCTTCCCACCGGTATAACTGCATTCCTGCACTTTTCAAGTTAGCCAACCAGGTTCAGGTTAAATTGTGCAATCCAACTTCAGCCAATGGAAGCAGGACACAGTAAAAGGGACGAGCTGCGTTAGAGGTGATAAAACAACAACAACAACAACAACAACAACAACAACAACCCTGCTTTCCTTTTTGTGTGTGCTCTCCTGGCGACCAGACCTACGAGGGGCACCCTCCTGCAGGAGTAAATTTGCCTTGCTGTGCAAATTTATATTCAAGTGCTATTCTTTTTTATTTTGTGGCACCGAAAAATCTGCTTCTAACACAATACAAGGTCACCAGTTTGTTTGCCCCAATAGATAATCCAATGAACGCTGTGAAACAAATTATCAGGTAAAGCTGTTTTTATGGCTGTTTGATATTTAAAGGCCAAACTTCCCCAGACCTCAAAAACACTGGGCAAAACAGCATCAAAGGAGAGCCTCAGTTGTTAACCAGGCCCCCTGCTTAGAACAGCAGCACACAATCCTGGATACATGTAATGCCATCCCTTTTTCCCATTCAACAGTGAACTACAGATTCCAAAGAATATAGTGGCCAAACAGTATTGTAACTGCAAGAGAAAATTCTAAGGAGGGCTTTGTACTAGACCTCAGAACCTCTGCCAAGGGCTTCTCTTTGGGCGGGTTGAGGTCCAGAGGATGCCCAGGACATCTCCCTGTGGGGTCCAGTCTTAGATTATAAGACGTCTCTGACCTTAGGTGGGCAATAGTGCTGCTTTGCCTGCATTCACTTCAGAGGTGATGGTCTACTATGAGCTTTCCTTTGATACCTGGGTGTAATCCCCAACTTTTGGCATCTTTATAAGGTAACAGTCCAAGGAGTTCAGCTTGCCCACTGCCTAGACAGAGTCAATTTATCAAGTCAGGGGAAATTGCAGTGGAGAAAAAGTAATTTACTCAGAACTGGCTGTGCAGGAGACCAGAGTCTTATTATTCAAATCAGTGTCCTCAGACATTTGGGAATCAGTGTTTTTAAAGATACTTTGGCAGGTAAGAGCTTGGGAAGAGGGGACTGCTGATTGGTCAGGTTGAAGATTTCCATCTTCTAGAGGGACGAAGTGAGTTTTTCTTGCTGTCTTCTATTCCTGGGTGGAATGACAGAACTGGTTGGGCCAGATTACCAGTCTGGGTGGTGTCAGCTGATGCATTAAGTACAGGGTCTGCAAAATATCTCAAGCACTGATCTTAGGTTTTACAATAGTGATGTTATCCCCAGTAGCAATGTGGGGAGGTTCAAATTCTTAGAGCCCGAGGCTGCATGACCTCAAAGCTGTAATTTCTAATCTTGTAGCTATTTTTTTTCAGTCCTGCAAAAGCAAATTGGTTCCTAGAACAGGAAGAGGTTTTTTTGCAGGGGAAATGGGCAGTTATCAATTTCATTTCAGAGTTCAAGCATCAACTGAATTCCTTGCCAAAGTTAGTGCAGCCTATGCCCAGGAATAAACAAAGACAGCTTAAATGTTACAAGCAAGACGGAGTCAGTTAGGTCTGATTTTTTTTTGACTGTCATGATTTCCTCAGTTATAATTTTGCAAAGGCAGTTTCAATAATTTGATAAGACCACACTTTCCCATGCTTCTGGTTCCATTAGAGTGATAGCCATATAATAATAGAAATTGTATTAATAGAAATAATAGAAACTGTAACATAGAAAGTGGAGGCTGGGTAGGCTTCTTTTGTCCTTAGCCAGTTGAGTACGGAAGGGAAGAATTTAGCATTAGAAAAGGTTTAAATCACCTGAAACACATGCAAATTTGCTCTGAGCTGTGTCACATGTAGCAATCAGGCACCACAACCAGAAAAGATAGAAAATAGTCGTTTAGAGTGGCCTGAGCAGAAACCTGCAGTTGCCACGTCTTTAGCTGCTGCCCACCAAGGGTTCCAGTTGAAAAAAAAAAAGAGAGAGTGAGAGACAGATTCCCTTGTATTGACCACAAAGGAAAAGGAGAAAAATAAATGCCAAACTCTGGGCTTAACTTCTGGCTGGCTTGCCAAAATATGCTACGAATGGAGTGTGTCCAAGTTCTTGGCATTTTGAGCAAAGAAGTGGTGAAAATGCACAAATAAAGCAAGGAAAAGATCAACAAAAGCAGAGAGTTATTAAAAACAAAAGTACATGGCTGGGCATGGTGGCTCACACCTGTAGTCCCAGTACTTTGGGAGGCTGAGGTGGGTGGGCAACCTGAGGTCAGGAGTTCAGGACCAGCCTGGACAACATGGCGAAACTCCATCTCTACTAAAAAATACAAAAATTAGCCGGGCATGGTGGCAGGTGCCTGTAATCCCAGCTATTCGGGAGGCTGAGACAGGAGAATAACTTGAACCTGGGAGGTGGAGGTCACAGTGAGCTGAGATCATACCGCTCTACTCCAGCCTGGGCGAGAAGAGCAAAACTCCATCTTAAAAAAAAAAAAAAGTACACTTCACAGCGTGGGAGTGGACCCAAGCATAGGGGTTCAAGAGGCCAATTACAAAATTTTCTGGGGCTTAAATGCCCTCTTGAGGTTTCCATTGGTTACTTGGTGTATGCCCTATGGAAATGAACAGATGAGGTAAAGTTACGAAGTCATTTACTCAGTGTATACCCTATGTAAATGAAGAGGATATTTCCTGTGATAGCTGAACTGTTGCCATTTGATTAGTTATAGGAAGTCAGTGTGACTTGGTTTGATGTTTCCTGCCTCCAGACCCTATTCTCTTGCCTCACAAGCACTCCTGGTGGCCACCACAAGCCACCACATTAAAGTTGTGGGGAGCCCTTAGAAGCCACCAGCACCACCTGCCCTACCACCAGCAGTATGAGTAAAGGCCCCTGCCTGGCAGGCTCTGTGGCCACAATAAGACCTCAGTTTAGAAGAAGTTTAAAGCCAATTTCTATCTCCTAAAGCATGGAGAGAAAAGTTACATACAGTGCTTTTGGTTGTTTGTTAAACATTGGAGGTGGTCAACTTCAAGTCTGCTTAGCCACATATGTTGCTGTACTTTTTTGTTGTTGTTCACCATAAATATTATGTTTCCAAAGAACTATTGGAAGAAACTTTTAACCAGCTTGGTGCTATTGAAAGGACCATTTAATAATGGATGAACATGGAATATCTATAGGAAAAAGCATTGTTGAATTTATTCTAGATTAGTAGTAGCAAGAAAGGCATTTGAATGATGCAGTAAAGATGTTTTCTTACTGACAACTCCTCATCTAGTCATTGTGAAACCACTCGAACAACTAAATGGTGATGACAGTATTCTTGAAAAAATTTCACAGAAGGGTCCAGTGTATCAAAAGAGAGATAAATCGCTCCTCATTTTGCCCTATATGACATTTAATTCTGAATATTCTTAGTGATGGAAGTCCTTGGATGAAACAAAACAGCAAAGGAATCATGTTGAAAAAACATGAATCATGTAAAATACTAATTTGGAAAGTGAAATAGGAGATGCACTCAAGGAACATCAAGGAAATCTTTTGCACCAAGATCTGATAAGGCAGGAGGAAGAATTATGATGCATGCAAAAACTTCACAATCAAGGAATGCAGAAACATAAAGAAATGCAATTGAGGCAAGAGGAGAAACGACAGAGGAGGAAAAGATGATGATTCATTGATATGGGATGGAAGAACAGATGAGGCACCAAATTACAGGAAAATTACAGTCAGATGGGCTACATGGATCCAAGAGAAAGAGATATGAGAATGGGTGGCACAGGAGATCCCTATGGTTCAGGAGGCCAGAAATGTCCACCTCTAGATGATAATGATGGCATAGGTTATGACACTAATTTTAGAATTCCATTAGAAACCACGAGTGGATCCATGAAGGAAAGTGTCATGTGTATGGAGTGATTTGGGCAAGAAGACACAGGACTTGTGGGGGGAAGGGTCCTAGATGAATGGAGCCCAGAATTCCACAGGGATATTGTAGAGGGAGAGAAGAGTATAAAGTCTCAAAGAACACCAATTTGATATGTAATATCTAGAGTTTCATTCCAATTACTTACTGTCTTTTCTTGTTTAGATACCAATCATTTACATTATTGCATTTTAGTAAGAAAACTACCTTTTTATGGATGTTAGCAGGTTATTGATTTAATACTTTTAAATGTTTTGTGCAGATAAAATTATGTAATATAGTGTTAGAAATAAAATAAAGATTTTCCCTTTTTATTTCACCTCCTCATTTTTTTTCAACAGTATAATGCCCAAGTAATGTCAGTGTACCTCGTGGTACCATGTTTTTGTTGGTTTGTTTTGTTTTCCTGAAATGGAGTCTCACTCTGCTGCCCAGGCTGGAGTGCAATGGCATCATCTCTGGTCACTGCAACCTCTGCCTCCCAGAGGTTGCCTCAAGTAATTCTCCTGCCTTAGCCTACCAAGTAGCTGGGATTACAGGCACCCACCACCACACCTGGCTAATTTTTGTACTTTTAGTAGAGATGGTGTTTCACCATGTTTGCCTGGCTAGTTTTAAACTCCTGACCTTAAATGATCCCCCTGCCTCAGTCTCCTGAAGTGCTGGGATTACTGGTGTGAGCCACTGTGCCCAGCCTGTGCTACCATTTTTGTACTTTGCTTCAAATAAATACCTAAATAGTTATAATGTTGATCTTCAACTTTGCCATTCATGCATATATGTATATTAGACTAGGTATCCCACTTTGAAACATGAAAGTGTCAAGGCCTTTGAATGGCATTTGCCATTTCTGGAAAATGTATCTGGAGGCTAAATACTGCTTTCTACAAATAACTGCCCCCCTTGTTTTAGAAAGAAGGAATCAGCCGGGCGCAGTTGCTAACACCTGTAATCCCAGCACTTTGGGAGGCCGAGGTGTGCAGATCACGAGGTCAGGAGTTTGAGACCAGCCTGGCCAACATAGCAAAGCCGCATCTCTACTAAAAATACAAAAAATTAGCCAGGCATGGTGGGCGCCTGTAATCCCCACTACTCAGGAGACTGAGGCAGGAGAATCGTTTAAACCTGGGAGGCGGATGTTGCAGTGAGCCGAGATCACGCCACTGCTCTCCAGCCTGGGCCACACTAGCCCAGGAGATAGTATGAGACTCTGTCTCAAAAAAAAAAAAAAAAAAAAAAAGGGAAGAAGAAATGCAATTGAAGTAGATTTCCTTATTTATTTGGCATTATAGGAAACAAACCAGTGCTATGTATATTTAAATGGTCATGTAAGTGAAGCTGAAATGTAAATCTTGATTCAAGAAAATATATTAAGATTGTGTAATGGGTGTAGGACAATTGGTAGGGGGTGAAAATGGGTTTGGTTAATGTGAGGTCTCTGAGCCCAAGCTAAGCCATCATATCCCCTGTGACCTGCATGTACACATCCAGATGGCTGGTTCCTGCCTTAACTGATGACATTCCACCACAAAAGAAGTGAAAATGGCCTGTTCCTGCCTTAACTGATGATATTACCTTCTGAAATTCCTTCTCTGGGCTCATCCTGGCTCAAAAGCTTCCCAGCTGAGCACCGTGTGACCCCCACCCCTGCCAGCCAGAGAACAACCCCTGCTTTTCCTTTACCTACCCAAATCTTATAAAATGGCCCCACCCCTATCTCCTTCCACTGACTCTCTTTTCCGACTCAGCCCGCCTGTACCCAGGTGAAATAAACAGCCTTGTTGCTCACACAAAGACTGTTTGGTGGTCTCTTCACACAGACATGAGTGAAAGTTAAATGGATCTTTTATGGCCCTATGATCTACACTTTCCTTGGAAGCTTTTGAAAAGTGTAAAAAAAAATTTTTTTTTTTTTTTTGCATTTCCCCATTTAAAACAGCAAGAAATCCCAATCCCTTCTAATGGCTTGTATTGAACTTTTATATTTGAATTAAAGATTGTTAAACACCAAAAAAGCAGATGTTTTTTGTTAAAGACAGTAAGAAAAAGTTAAAGACAGTAAGAAAAGACAAAGAAAGTCATTATTTAATGATAAAGGGATCAACTTAGCAAGAGACTAAAACAATTCTAAATGTATAGGCACCCTACACTGATGCACCCAGATACATAAAATAAGTATTACTAAACAGAAAGAGAGATATATCCCAATACAATAATAGTGGGGATGTCAACACTCAACTCACAGCATTAAACAGATCATTTAGATTTTAAAAAATCAACTGTGAAAGGAAGATAAATCTTGGAGCCCCAAAATTACTAAGCTAAAGGGGAAAGTCAAACTGGAAACTGCTTAGGGCAAACCTGCCTCCCATTCTATTCAAAGTTATCGCTCTTCTCACTGAGATAGATGCATATCTGATTGCCTCCTTTGGAAAGGCTTATCAGAAACTCAAAAGAATGCAACCATTTGTCTTTCACCTACCTGTGACCTGGAAGCCCCCTCCCTGCTTGAGTTGTCCCACCTTTCTCAGTGGAAACAATGTGTATCTGACATATTGACAAGTCTTATGTCTCTATAAAGTGTACAAAATCAAGCTGTCCCCTGACCACCTTGGGCACATGTCAGGACCTCCTGGCACACATCCTTGACCTTGGCAAAATAAACTTTTTAAATTAACAGAGACCTAGTTCAGATATTTTGGGTTCACACAGTAAAGAAAGACTGGACTTAAATTAGACTTTACACGAAATGAACCTAAAAAGCATTTACAGTATATCTACCCAAGAACTGCAGGTAATTCATTTTGATACGGCTCCAATGAGTGGAGAAACACCAGGGTTCTTCATCTTGAGTAGAATTGGATAAAACTACACAAACACACATGGAATGGTTTTAAGGAGCAGAGAGTTTAATAGGCAAGGAAGAAGGAAGAAGCTCCCCCATACAGAGACAGAGGGAGAGGGATTCCAAGTCATGAGAGGAAACTGTGAGTGTGACAGAAACCAGCCACTTTTATGAGGAGGCTGGAGGAGGTAGTGTCTAATTTGCATAGGGGTGACGGGATTGGTTTGACCAGGCATGTCATTCACATAGCCCGTGAAAAATCTGGCCCTCTCACCCTAGCTTTTTAATTGCAAATGCAGGATGCCATGATGTTCTACACATGTGGGGATATGTTGGGGAGGCCATGTTGCCAGGCACATGTTAGGGCAAGGGCAAGAAGAAGGCAGTGGGAATCACCATGTTTGGGTGTGTAAGAGTTAAAGAAAGAGGAAAGAAACATGAAACACAGCTTGGCAGTCAAAGACAGGTTTTCTTTAGTTAAAACCTAAGAGGCGCCCCTGGCCAATTTCGGTCAGGAGCCCTTTCTCTTACAGACTAAGGGTATATATTGGTTTTAGGGTGGGGGGAGCTTAGAAGCTTGGAATGTTTATGTGTGTGGAGAAGTTTATGGTGGGGTTGGAATCTCTCTGGGAGGAGGGGAGGTTATCTTGGGGCAGACATCTTACCAGCCCAGAAGGGGTTATCTCGAGGCTGGCATCTTCCTGGATGGAGAAGGCTTATCTTGGGGCTAACATGTCTCTGGACAAGGAGGAGTCTGAAATGTTTCTCGTTGGAGATGTTATTTGTGGTTTATGGTCATGCCAACCTTAGCCATTAAGCTGATGCCCTTTGGATTTAGGTGGTTTTTATTAAAGTGAACTTTAGAATTAGGGGCTTGTCCAAGATGGCAGTGCTCCTGCTCTGTCAATCCAGACCTTATCATTGAAAAAAGGAGGAGAGATGGTGTTTTCATTCTGGTTACTTCCTGCTGACAAGGGGATGAACGGTTTTCTGGTCTTGGGTTGACTGCAGAAGCAATGCTGTCTGTAGATGGTTTTGGGTAGTTGTTTGTGAAAAGGCCATGATCCTGTGAGTTAAAAATCTTTGAAAAAGGTAAATTAGGTAGGGTAAGAACATTAGTCCCAAGCATATTGTTAGAAGAGGGGCCAGGAACATGCTACAATTTTGTTCCCAAACCAAGAATTTATTTGGTTGTTTTGATATTCTTTTAGCTTTTTAGCCCTTTCCTTAAGTTTTTCAGCAGTAATTTTTACTAGGCCTGATTGGTTGATACAGAAACAACATACCTTACCTAATGAGAGGCAGAGGTGTGTGTTTAGAAAGGCCTGTGTGTTATTTTCTGTTAGTAACCATTATTCCTGCTATAAGGATAATAATTAAGCAAAATGCTACGGTAATTGAGATTTTTTGTCTGATATGCCACCCTGAGGGTGCCACAATATATATTCTATGGCAAATAGTAAATTAAACATCTTTTCATAAGAAAAATCTTCAACAAACTAGGTATAGAAGAAATATCTCAAAATAATAGAGGCTATTTATATGACAAACCCACAGCAAACATCACACTAGATCTACAGAAGCTGAAAACATTACTTCTAAGAATTAGAAGTGGACAATATTATCCACCTTCACCACTCCTACTCAACATAGTATGGAAATTCCAGCCAGAACAATCAAGCAAGAGAAAGAGATAAAATGCTTCCAAGTTGGAAAAGAAGTCCTTTTCCTCTTTGCTCATTATATGATCTTATATCTAGAAATAACTACAGGTTCACCTAAAAAAAATCAGTAGCATTTCTTTAAATTAAAAATGATCTAGCTGAGAAGGAAATCAAGAGGGAAATCCCATATTCAATAGGAACAAAAAAAAACCCTAGGGAAATATATTTAACTAAGAAGATTAATTAATTAATTTTAACGAAGAAAAACTTAAAAAAAGATTGATAAAACAAATTGAGGATGACACAAATAAACTATCCAATGCTCATGGATAGAAAAAATTAATATTTTTAAAATAACCATACTGCCTGAAGCAATTTATAGGTTCAATGCAATTATATTAACATACAACTGTCATTTTTCACAGAATTAGCAAAAATAATTCTAAAATGTAGATGGAACAAAAAAGGAGCCAGAGTAGCTAAAAGAATCATGAGCAATAGAAACAAAGCTGGAAGCATCACATTACCTGATGTCAAAATATTATATTATAAGGATCAACAAAATTGATAGACCACTAACAAGACTAATAAAGAAAAAAAGAGAGAAGAATCAAATAGACACAATAAAAAATGATAAAGGGGATATCACCACCGATCCCACAGAAATACAAACTACCATCAGAGAATACTACAAACACCTCTATGCAAGTAAACTAGAAAACCTAGAAGAAATGGATAAATTCCTCGACACATACACTCTCCCAAGACTAAACCAGGAAGAAGTTGAATCTCTGAATAGACCAATAACAGGATCTGAAATTGTGGCAATAATCAATAGCTTACCAACCAAAAAGAGTCCAGAACCAGATGGATTCACAGCCAAATTCTACCAGAGGTACAAGGAGGAATTGGTACCATTCCTTCTGAAACTATTCCAATCAATAGAAAAACAGGGAATCCTCCCTAACTCATTTTATGAGGCCAGCATCATCCTGATACCAAAGCCTGGCAGAGACACAACCAAAAAAGAGAATTTTAGACCAATATCCTTGATGAACATTGATGCAAAAATCCTCAATAAAATACTGGCAAACCGAATACAGCAGCACATCATAAAGCTTATCTACCATGATCAAGTGGGCCTCATCCCTGGGATGCAAGGCTGGTTCAATATACACAAATCAATAAATGTAATCCAGCATATAAACAGAACCAAAGACAAAAACCACATGATTATCTCAATAGATGCAGAAAAGGCCTTTGACAAAATTCAACAGCCCTTCATGCTAAAAACTCTCAATAAATTAGGTATTGATGGGACGTATTTCAAAATAATAAGAGCTATCTATGACAAACCCACAGCCAATATCATACTGAATGGGAAAAAACTGGAAGCATTCCCTTTGAAAACTGGCACAAGATAGGGATGCCCTCTCTCACCACTCCTATTCAACATAGTGTTGGAAGTTCTGGCCAGGGCAATTAGGCAGGAGAAGGAAATAAAGGGTATTCGATTAGGAAAAGAGGAAGTCAAATTGTCCCTCTTTGCAGATGACATGATTGTATATCTAGAAAACCCCATTGTCTCAGCCCAAAATCTCCTTAAGCTGATAAGCAACTTCAGCAAAGTCTCAGGATACAAAATCAATGTATAAAAATCACTAGCATTCTTATACACCAACAACAGACAAACAGAGAGCCAAATCATGAGTGAACTCCCATTCACAAATTGCTTCAAAGAGAATAAAATACCTAGGAATCCAACTTACAAGGGATGTGAAGGACCTCCTCGAGGAGAACTACAAACCACTGCTCAAGGAAATAAAAGAGGATACAAACAAATGGAAGAACATTCCATGCTCATGGGTAGGAAGAATCAATATCATGAAAATGGCCGTAGTGCCCAAGGTAATTTACAGATTCAATGCCATCCCCATCAAGCTACCAATGACTTTCTTCACAGAATTGGAAAAAACTACTTTAAAGTTCATATGGAACCAAAAAAGAGCCCACATCGCCAAGTCCGTCCTAAGCCAAAAGAACAAAGCTGGAGGCATCACACTACCTGACTTCAAACTATACTACAAGGCTACAGTAACAAAAACAGCATGGTACTGGTACCAAAACAGAGATACAGATCAATGGAACAGAACAGAGCCCTCAGAAATAACACCACATATCTACAACAATCTGATCTTTGACAAACCTGAGAAAAACAAGCAATGGGGAAAGGATTCCCTATTTAATAAATGGTGCTGGGAAAACTGGCTAGCCATATGTAGAAAGCTGAAACTGGATCCATTCCTTACACCTTATACAAAAATCAATTCAAGATGGATTAAAGACTTAAATGTTAGACCTAAAACCATAAAAACCCTAGAAGAAAACCTAGGCATTACCATTCAGGACATAGGCATGGGCAAGGACTACATGTCTAAAACACCAAAAGCAATGGCAACAAAAGCCGAAATTGACAAATGGGATCTAATTAAACTAAAGAGCTTCTGCACAGCAAAAGAAGCTACCATCAGAGTGAACAGGCAACCTACAAAATGGGAGAAAATTTTCGCAACCTACTCCTCTGTCAAAAGGCTAATATCCAGAATCTACATTGAACTCAAATTTACAAGAAAAAAACAAACAACCCCATCAAAAAGTGGGCGAAGGACATGAACAGACACTTCTCAAAAGAAGACATTTTTGAAGCCAAAAAACACATGAAAAAATGCTCACCATCACTGGCCATCAGAGAAATGCAAATCAAAACCACAGTGAGATACCATCTCACACCAGTTAGAATGGCGAACATTAAAATGTCAGGAAACAACAGGTGCTGGAGAGGATGTGGAGAAATAGGAACACTTTTACACTGTTGGTGGGACTGTAAACTAGTTCAACCATTGTGGAAGTCAGTGTGGCGATTCCTCAGGGATCTAGAACTAGAAATACCATTTGACCCAGCCATCCCACTACTGGGTATATACGTAAAGGATTATAAATCATGCTGCTATAAAGACACATGCACACGTATGGTTATTGCGGCTCTATTCACAATAGCAAAGACTTGGAACCAACCCAAATGTCCAACAATGATAGACTGGATTAAGAAAATGTGGCACATATACATCATGGAATACTATGCAGCCATAAAAAATGATGAGTTCATGTCCTTTGTAGGGACACGGATGAAATTGGAAATCATCATTCTCAGTAAACTATCGCAAGAACAAAAAACCAAACACCGCATATTCTCACTCATAGGTGGGAATTGAACAATAAGAACACACGGACACAGGAAGGGGAACATCACACTCTGGGGACTGTTGTGGGGTGGGGGGAGGGGGGAGGGATAGCATTGGGAGATATACCTAATGCTAGATGATGAGTTAGTGGGTGCAGTGCACCAGCATGGCACATGTATACATATGTAACTAACCTGCACATTGTGCACATGTACCCTAAAACTTAAAGTATAATAATAATAAAAAAATTATATTATAATGTTATCATAACAAAAAGCATGGTAGTCACATAAAAATAGACATATAGATCAAAGAAGCAAAATACTGAACCCCAATGTAATGCCACAGATTTACTGCTGTAGGGGTGTGTTGCCCCTCCACACCTGTGGGTGTTTCTCGTAAGGTGGGACGAGAGACTTAGGAAAGAAAAAGACACAGAGACAAAGTACAGAGAAAGAAATAAGGGGACCCAGGGAACCAGCGTTCAGCATATGGAGGATCCCCCCAGCCTTTGAGTTCCCTTAGTATTTATTCATCATTCGTGGGTGTTTCTTGAAGAGGGGGATGTGTCAGGGTCACAAGACCATTGTGGGGAGAGGGTCAGCAGACAAACACGGGAACAAAGGTCTTTGCATCATAGACAATGTAAAGGATTAAGTGCTGTGCTTTTAGATATGCATACACATAAACATCTCAATGCTTTACAAAGCAGATTGCTGCCCGCATGTCCCACCTCCAGCCCTAAGGCGATTTTTCCCTATCTCAGTAGATGGAACATACAATCGGGTTTTATACCGAGACATTCCATTGCCCAGGGACGGGCAGGAGACAGATGCCTTCCTCTTGTCTCAACTGCAAGAGGCATGCCTTCCGCTTATACTAATCCTCCTCAGCACAGACCCTTTACGGGTGTCGGGCTGGGGGACGGTCAAGTCTTTCCCTTCCCACGAGGCCATATTTCAGACTATCACATGGGGAGAAACCTTGGACAATACCTGGCTTTCCTAGGCAGAGGTCCCTGCGGCCTTCCGCAGTTTTTGTGTCCCTGGGTACTTGAGATTAGGGAGTGGTGATGACTCTTAAGGAGCGTGCTGCCTTCAAGCATCTGTTTAACAAAGCACATCTTGCACCGCCCTTAATCCATTTAACTCTGAGTTGACACAGCACATGTTTCAGAGAGCACGGGGTTGGGGGTAACGTTATAGATTAACAGAATCTCAAGGCAGAAGAATTTTTCTTAGTACAGAACAAAATGGAGTCTCCTATGTCTACTTCTTTCTACACAGACACAGTAACAATCTGATCTCTCTTGCTTTTCTCCACAACTGCCTGCTGATATTTGACAAAAGTGGATAATAACACACATGAGCAGTGTAAGGTCAGCTGAGAGAAAGGAAAACTAGACCCAAAGTCAGGCTAGAGAGTTTTTATTGACCTGCCAGTTGCCCCTCTTAACAGTCAAGGAAAGCAGCCCCAAACTTACAGAATGAGGGGTTTATACTGGGGAGCGGAGTTTGAGGAAGTTCTTTGATATGGCCGCATCCCAGGGTTGTTTGCTGGTTAATTTTGCCACATATCACCTTGTGATATTTATTACAGGAGGGTATAGGTAAAGTTTGTTTATGCTTCCCATGACCTCCCCCTTTGTGGTCTGGATGTTTTGTAATTAGGGTTTGATTATCGCAGCAAGGTCTAATAAGTGAAGTCTGCTGGCTTCATTATGGTGCCCAGATAAGGGCTTAGAAATGTAAAGAGGCTTGGGGGAAGGGTGGGCAGCACAGAGAAGTGTTGCAGAGCATTAGTGGAGGGGTGGGCAGCACAGAAAGTTTTGTGAGGAGTGTTGGCAGTACCAAGAAGCTTTCTGGGGCAATTTGTCCTCAACAGGTAGAGGGCACCCTTTTCAATAAATGATGCTCAGAAAAGTGAATAGCCACATGCAGAAGAATGAAACTGGATCCATATCTCACACCATATGCAAAAATCGTACAAGACTAAAATAAAAGACCAAAGATAATAAAATAGTAGAAGAAAACTTATAAAAAACTCTTCTGGACATCAGTTGAGGTAAATAACACAGGATTAAATCTTCAAAAGTAGAAATAACAGAAACAAAATAGACAAATAAGATTTAATTAAAAGCTAAAAAGCTGCACAGCAAAATAATCAATAGAATGAAGAGACAGCCTATTGAATGGGACAAAATATTTGCAAACTATTCCTCTGACAGGGGACTAATATCTAGCACAAAAGAAACTGAAACATTTCAACAAGAACAAGCAGCAACAGAAAACAAATAATGACTTTAAAAAGTTGGCAAAGAACATGAATTGACTTTTCAAAAAAATCATAAAATGCTCAATGGGTATATAAAAATGTGCAACATAACTAATTATCAGGTAAATGAAAATCAAAACTAAAATGAGATATCATCTCATTTTAGTCATAAATATTAATATTAATAGAATGTGATTACTAAAAAGACAAAAAATAATAGATGCTGATGAAGATGTGCAGAAGAGGGAACTTTAATACACAGGAGGAAATATAAATTAGGATAGTCTCTATTGAAAGTGGAATGAAGGTTTTGTAAAGAACTAAAATTAGAACTGCCATTCAATGCAGCAGTTCCAAGACTGGATATCTCCATAAAGGAATGAAATTGATATATCAAAAAAGATACCTGCACTTGTAAATTTATTACAGCACTCATTATAGTAGCAAAACTATGGGATGAATCTGAGTGTTTATCAATGAATTAACGGATTTTTAAAAATTGGCATAGATACACAATAGAATAGTATTCAGCCATAGACAAGAACAAAATCACGTCTTTTTCAGCAACAAGGATAAAACTGGAGGTCATTGTTGTAGGTTAAGTGAAATAGGTCAGTCACAGAAAGACAAATATCTCATGTTCTCATTCACAAGTTATTCTTAGAGAAAGTTGTTCACATAGACATAAAGAGTAAAATGATACATTATGTAGACTCAGAAGTGTGAAGATATGAGATGAAAAGGATGATGATAAATTGGTTAATGTGTAAAATGTACATTATTTAGGCAATGGATACCCTAAAGGACTTAGAACCAACCCAAATGCCCATCAATGACAGACTGGATAAAGAAAATGTGGAATACTATGCAGCCATAAAAAAGAATGAGTTCATGACCTTTGCAGAGACATGCATGGAGCTGAAAACCATCATTCTTAGCAAACTAACACGGGAACAGAAAGGTAAACATCTTATGTTCTCACTAATAAGTGGGAGTTGAACAATGAGAACACAAGCACACAGGGAGGGGAGCATCACACACTGGGGCTTATTGGAGTATGGGGCAAAAGGGAAGGGAGAGCATTAGGACAAATGCCTAATGCATGCGGGGCTTAAAACCTAGATGATGCAGCTGGGCACGGTGGCTCACACCTGTAATCCCAGCAGTTTGGGAGGCCAAGGCAGACAGATGACCAGGTCAGGATATTGAGACCAGCCTGGCCAACATGTTGAAACCCTGTCTCTACTAAAAATACAAAAAAATTAGCTGGGCATGGTGGAGCACCCCTATAGTCCCAGCTGCTTGGGAGGCTGAGGCAGGAGAATCGCTTGAACCCGGGAGGCAGAGGTTGCAGTAAGCCGAGATCACGCCACTGCATTCCAGCCTGGGTGACAGAGCGAGACTCTGTCTCAAAACAAACAGACAAACAAAAACCTAGATGACAGGTTGATGGGTTCTGCAAACTACCATGGCACCTATGTAACAAACCTGCGTGTTCTGCACATGTATCCCAGAATTTAAAGTAAAATAAATTTTTTTAAAAGCCTCAACTTTAACATTCTGCAATCTATGCATGTAACAAAATTCCACATGTAGCCCATAAATAGTAAACAAAAATAAAACAAAATTCTACACCATTCCATTTAATTTTACTATTTGCTGGATTTCTTGAATTCTTTCCTTGTAAACAATAGACTTTTGCATTGTGAATTCATTTTCAGTGAAAATTTAACTCTAGGAAACCTGTGTGTATCTCACTGCAATATATCTTTAATTTTTTATAGTTATTCCACTCATCACATAGTTAAGAGTAAGTTTTGAATTTTTTAATTAGAAATTCAAATATTATGTAGGAAGAGTAAATAGAAAACCAAACCTTGTGATAACAAACTTAGGCAGCAACTTTTCATGGAAGAGAGATTTTTCCCATCCAAAATTGAAGTTGTAATAAAATTTCTTATCAGCTCCTTGTCTAAAGTCTTTCTTCTCTTCATTGTTATCTACTGAATATGTTTGCTAAGGACAGAACTTTTAAGGACCTAAATTATCCAGGAATTTTTGTTGCAGTTCTTCACCTTTTTTTTTCAATATCCTGATGTTGTCTATTATTAAAATATGAGCCTGCTTAGTCTTTCAGGTAACAACTCTCACTCTTTCTCTCTTTATGTAGCAGAGCCTAGTATGCAGTTAAATTATGATGTTCAATATCCTTCTTTTTTATTCACCAGAATTGCCCTCATATTATTGTGAGCCAAATCAACTGGGGAAAGGGACATTATAAAAGTTATATGCAGTATTTCTATTCTTTTTTTATAAATTAGTAGAAAAAAAAAGAAAATGAAAGCTGTAAAAAGCACTGATGGCCTTTAGTATCTTTTCTTAATAAAAAATATTTGCAAATGTCAGCAAATAAAATGTCTAATTTTATATTATTCAAGCTATTAAAGGCAGCTTTTAAAAATTGATATATAATATTTTTATATATTTATGTGGTACATATCATATTTTGTCATATGCATAGAAGGTGTAAGAATCCAGTCTCTATATCTGGGGTGTCTATCACCTCAAGGACTTGCATGTCAGAAATACCCCAAGTCCTCTCATCTAGTTATTTTGAAATATGCAGTTCTTTGTTTTTAACAAAGTTACATTACTCTGCCATTAAACATTAGAGCTTATTTCTCCTATCTTACTGTATATTTGTATCCATTAGCCAACGACCTTTTTATCCCTCCACATTTTACCCATCCTATATACAATGGAAATGTGTATATATACACACAATGATATATACATATATATAATTCAAGATCATATTTTCTTTTTTCATTCATACACCAGTAAACACTTAGGATGATTCCATATTTTGCTGTTTGAATAGTGCTGCAATAAACATGAGAGTGCATGTATCCCTTCAATATACTGAATTAGTTTACTTGGGGCATATACCCAAAGTAGGATTGTTCAATCATATGACAGTTCTATCTTTTGTTTTTTGTGATTTTTTTTTGAGAAATCACTATACTGTTTCCAATGTGGTTTGTAGTAATTTACATTTTCACCAGCAGTGTTTGAGTCCCCTTTTCTCAATATCCTTGCCAGTAATTGTTATTTTTCAACTTTTTAATAATAATCATTTTAACTGGGGTAAGATGATATCATATTTTTGTTTTGATTTTTATTTCTCTGATGATTAGTGATGTTGACAATTTGAAAAGTATACCTTTTGGCCATTTGCATGTCTTGAGACAATTCTGTTGACATACTATGCCCACTATTTTTTTGAGACAGGATCTTGCTGTATTGCTCAGGCTAGAGTGCAGTGATATTCTAGCTCACAGCAACCTCCACCTCCCAGGTCCAAGAGATTTTTGTGCCTCAGCCTCTTGAGTAGCTGGGATCACAGTCATGTGCCACTACAAACAGTTAATTTTTTTTTTTTTTTTTTGAGATGGAGTCTTGCTCTGTCGCCCAGGCTGGAGTGCAGTGGCACTATCTCACCTCACTGCAACCTCAGCCTCCTGGGTTCATGCCATTCTCCTACCTCGGCCTGCCAAGTAGCTGGGACTGTAAGCGCTTGCCACCATGCCCAGCTAATTTTTTTGTGTTTTTAGTAGAGACGGGGTTTCACCATGTTAGCCAGGATTGTCTTGATCTCTTGACCTCACGATCCACCTGCCTCAGACTCCCAAAGTGCTGGGATTACAGGCATGAGCCACCATGCCTGGCCAAGTTTTGTATTTTTAGTAGAGAAGGGGTTTTGTCATATTGGCCTGCCTGGTCTCAAACTTCTGGCCTCATGTGATCTGCCTGCCTTGGGCTCCCAAAGTGTGGGGATTACAAATGTGAGCCACTATACCTGGCATGTGTTCATTATTTAATGTAAAAAAATTTTTTTTTGAGACAGAGTCTTACTTTGTTGCCCAGGCTGGAGTGCAGTGGTGAGATCTTGGCTCACTGCAACCTCTGCCCTCCGGGTTCAAGCAATTCTTCCTGCCTCAGCCTCCTGGGTAGCTGGAATTACAGGTGACTGCTACTATGCCCAGCTAATTTTTTGTATTTTTTTTTAGTAGAGACACAGTTTCACCATGTTGACCAGGCTGGTCTCTAACTCCTGACGTTGTGATTTTCGTGCTTTGGACTCCCAAAGTGCTGGAATTACAAGCATGAGCCACCATGCCTGGCCAATATAAATCTTTTTAACTGCTGAATTGTTTGAGTTTCATATATATTCTGAATACTAGTCCCTTGTTGATGAACAGCTTACAAATATTTTCTTTCATTCAATAGATTGTTTCTTCACTCTGTTGTTTCCTTTCCTGTACAGAAGTTTTTTAGTTTAATACTATCCAATTTGTCTATTTTTGGTTTTGTTTCCCATGCTTTTTGATGTTTTAGCCATAAAATATTTGCCGAGGTCAATGTCCTGAAGTATTTTTCCTATGTTTTCTTTTAGTAGTTTTATAGTATGAGTCTTACATTTAAGTCTGTTATCTACCTTTAGTTGATTTTTGTACATGGTAAAGATAGCCATGCAGTTTTATTCTTCTTTATGTGGATATCCAGTTTTTCCAGCACCATTTATTGAAGAGGTGTTCTTTCTCCAATGCATGTTCTTGGATTCTTTGTTAAAAAACACTCTTGGCAGTAAATACACAGATCTACATTTGGGTTCTGAATTCTCTTTCATTGGTCTGTCTGTTTTTACACAATACAATTCCATTTAGGTCAATGTATCCTTGTAATACATTTTGAAGTCAGGTACTGTGATGCCGTTAGTTTTGTTTGTTTTGCTCAGAGTTGCTTTGGCTCTTTGGTCTCTATCAGTTTCATACAAATTTTAGTATTTTTTTTTCTATTTCTATTGAAAATAACATTGATATTTTGATACAGACTGCATTGAATCTGTAGATGGCTTCTAGTAGTATGGTCATTTTAATGATGTCAATTCTTTTGATCAATGACATGCAATGTTTTTCCCTTTGTGTCCTCTTCAATTTCTTTCATCAGTGTTTTATAAGTTTCTTTCTAGAGGTCATTCACTTCTAGACTTCTAGAGGCCCTGTCTTTAAGGTGGTCACCGAAGTTGGGGTTTGTTTCTTTTAGTAGCTACTGTAAATAGGATTTTCTTCTTAATGTTTTTCTCAGCTGGATCATTATTAGGATACAGAAATGCTACTGATTTCTCTCTGTTGACTTTGTATCCTGCAACTTTATTGAATTTATATATAAGATCTAAGAGTTTTTTGGTTAGGTATTTAGGTTTTAATAGTTACAAAAAAATCATCTGCATTGAAGGACAATATATTTCTATTGGAACAGGAATTAAAAGAAATTAAAGAATGCGTAAGCAAAAACTCAGTTGTATATAAGAAAACCCAATTTCCCCTGAGGAAGAGAAAGAGCTGGAGTCCTTTCAAATTAACTGCCTGTTTTTCTCTCTGTGGCTAGTGAGCCTTCTCTCTCCCTTTCCAGGCATTGTGAAGACCCTGCTTCTCTAGCTGAGCAGCTGCAAGGTCACTAGACAGATAATCTCAAGTCACAAAACATGTTTTTCCTTGAAAAGTAAGAAATGATGAATGCATGTCTTCACTGAGTAACTGTCTTTGTTTCTCGCTTTTGTAATATGATTCTTGCTGCACAGATCTCCTCCTGCCCCACAAAATGTTTAAAGGTAGCTTGACTCTTTGTTCAGGGCTCAGTCCTTTGGATGTTAATCTGACTGGGTCAGTGCACCTAAATAATTTAATAATTCCTCCTCAACCACTTGGTCTCTCTGATTCCTTAATCATCCAGCAGCATTTCTAGTGGCTCAGATGGGGATTGGAGATGACAGATTTACTGTCTCCTTTGCCTGCAGGACTAGAGCCCTGGGGCCAGGGTAGACCCAGCATCCACGGTGCACCACAGGGGAGCTTCATCTGGATGGAGACCAGCTCTCCCTGCATCCTGGTGCTCTGCCTGGCAGTGCAGTGGAACCAGGGATGGAGCTGCAGGATGATACCAGAACTTCAGGAACTGCGGTAAGGAGAAAGGGCCCAAGGCAGGAAAGCCCATCCCATAGGGACGAAGGGGAGCTTGATAACCTCCCAGGGACCGACCACTAATCCAACCCAGAGTGGCTGGGGGTGGCAGGAGTGGTCTGCCAATTTGGATGAACCTCATGTCCCCCTAACAAGTAAAAGTGGTTCACTGGTGGAGAAAATGGGCTGATAGAGCGGCAAGTCCAGTAAGGAAGAGCTTGCTGGCAGAGTGGCAAGAATGGCTTCATCCCAACTGAGAGTGTGTGGGTGTTTGTGGGTGTGTGTGGACCTACCCAGGACATGAGAGAGGATTGTTTTATCTGATGAGGAGTCCTGGGGTAGGACTGGTGTGTATGTGTGTGAATGTGGGAGCCTAACTAGACTACCCAGAACATGGGAGAGGCCTGTTTCATCTAATGAGAAGTCCTGGGGCAGAGAAAGTGTATGAAAGTGTGTGAAAGAGACAGTCTCAGGAGAGGCCAATGCAGGGAGTGATGTGTGGAGGCACAGATCGTTTAGCATGGGTTGTGTGCTCCGAGGTGAGTGTGGGGGAAATCAGACCTAGGACATTGCTTATGGCTGATAGGACCAGGTCCATGGCTGCAGCAGGCTGTGAGAGGGAAAGGCATGTTCCTGGCTAAGCAATGTCTGAAACTCCCATAATAAGACCCAGTCTGGTAGACCTGAGAGTGAAAGTGCATCACAAGGGAAGAAATGGGAGGAAAAGCATTGAAACCAACTCCTTTGGAGTGCATGATAAAGAATTTTAAAACAGGATTTAGAGGTCATTATGGGATGAAACTGTCCTTAACAGTATATCAAAAGTTAAGGACATACTGTGAGATAGATTGGCCTGCTTTTAATGTGGGGTGGTCCCCTGAAGGTACAATAGACTGGAAATTAATTGGCCATGCGTTTAAGGTGGTCGCTGGAGTTGGAGGACAACCAGAATAATCAGACCAGTTTCCCTATAAAGACTCTTGGCTCATTGTGTCACAACCTCACCCCAAGTGGCTACAGCCCTGCCTAGAGGGATACTGCAAGGTATTAGTGGCTTGGGCAGACCAACCAAAGGAAGCAGAGGAACCTAAAGCCCCTAGAGTCTCTCACAAAAAGGAATCCTCAAAGCCTCACCTGAAACCATTCTTCAGGCTCCATCTGAGGAAAGGGAATGTCCACCCCCTATATGTGCCCGTCTACCTGTCTTTGGCCAGAATAAGGCAGGAGGCAGAGTCAGGAGCATCCACAGAGTCAGGCTGAGAGGAAAGTGAGGCCCAGTCTCCCCTCACCCCAGAGGAACAAAAGCCTCCCTTAGAAAAAAACCAGGAAGATGGACAGAGCAAGGCAGCTGGGTGCCTCCGCTCAGGCTGACCACAGGCTTTGCAGATGCCACTTCGAGAGAACAGGACACAAGTTTATGATGACCAAGGGCAGATACAAGGAGGCTCTAGGCTTTATGTTTATCAGCCTTTCTCCACTACTGATCTCTTAAATTGGAAACAGCATGCCCCCTTGTATGCAGAAAAGCCTCAGGCTGTCATTGATTTGGTGAATTCTATTATTATAACACAAAACCCAACCTGGCCAGATTGTCAACTACTTTTGCTAACTTTAATACAGAGGAGCATAGGAGAGTTAATCAGGCAGCTCTCAGCTGGTTAGAAGGGGAAGCCCCAGAGGCCACCCGTAACCCATGCCAGTTCTCCGTGGAGCGATACCCAAATGAGGACCCTAACTGGGACCCAAATGAGGCTGGGGACATGGAACAGCTGCATTATATAGAAGGGCACTCCTGAACAGGATAAAAGCAGGAGGAAGGAAGGCATTGAATATCCATAACATATCAGAAGTGGGCCAAAAGCCTGATGAAAGCCGCAGTGCATTCTATGAAAGGCTTTGTGAGGCATAGAGGCTGTACACTCCAATTATTCCAGAGGCTCCTGAAAACCAAAATATGATAAATATGACCTTTGTCAGGCAAGCTCAGGGAGACATAATATGAAAGCTTCAGAAGTTGGAAGGCTTTTCAGGGAAAAATATTAGTAAACTCCTGGAAATAGCAAACAAAGTATTAAAAAACTGGGAAGAAGAGGCAGAGAAAAAGGAAGAAAGAAAAACGAGAAATAGAAACAAAGAGACAGCTCAATTTCTGCTGCACTAGCAGAAAGTAACCCTGGACTTGTTAGAGGGTGAGGCCGAGGCAGAGGCCAAGGAACAGGGCAGACAAGACCCAGAGATGAAAGCCAGTCCCAGTTGGACAGGAATCAATGTGAAAGGTGCAGGCAAATGGGCCACTGGAAAGATGAGTGCCCTGAAAAGGAAAAGGATGATGATGGTCAGTGGTCTAACACCCAAGTGCGGTGTTAGGTTGCTAGCAGTGGTACTTCCAAGGCAGATCCCGATCTGATCGGCTTGGCAGGGGCTGAGAATTTAGAGGACTCAGACAGACCAGGCTCCATCCTTTTAGGCCTTGTGGAGCCTATGGTCTCTATGGAAGTAGGGGGCCGATTAATGAATGGATTTTTTGGTCAATACTGGTGCTGATTTCTCTGTGGTAACTCACCCAATTAGCGCCCCCCTCAAAGAACTGTGCTACTATCGTAGGGGCCACAGAGGCCAAAGAAAAGAGACCTTTTCGCAATTCCAGGAGATACATTACTGGGGGAAAAGAAGTGCAGCATGAGTTTCTATATATGCCAAGTTGTCCAGTGCCCTTGTTAGGGAGAGACTTACTCCAGAAACTGCAGGCACAAATTTCCTTTACACCTGAAGGGAATACGACACCGGAATTTGGAAAGTCTAAGGCAATGGTATTGATTCTAACTGTCCCAGAGGCTGAGGAATGGCAGCTCTCTGAACTGTGTGCCAGAAAGATACCGGAGCTGGACCTACACAGTATGTAGGGAATGCTTTTCAAGGTTCCAGGTGTATGGGCTGAGGACAATCCTCCTGGACTTGCTGTAAACAGACACCCAGTGGTAATAGAGCTTAACACTCATGCTGCCCTGGTATGAGTCTGTCAATACCCACTACCCAAAGAGGTAATTGAAGGCATAACACAACATCTAAATCGGCTCTATGAACAAGGGATTACAGTAAAATGCAAGTCCTCTTGGAATACTCCTCTGCAGCCTGTGCACAAGCCAAATGGTGAATACAGGCCAGTGCAGGACTTCTGGTGGGCAAAGAAGGCTACTGTCACTATCTATGCCATAGTACCCAACCCATACACCATGTTAGGACAGATTCCTGCTGAGGCCATGTGGTTCATGTGTCTAGACTTAAAGGATGTTTTCTTTGCTTGAGACTTGCTCCCCAAAGTCAGCCTATATTTGCCTTCCAGTGGGGGCAATTGTAATATACCTGGACAAGACTGCCACAAGGATTTAAGAATTCTCCCATTATCTTTGAGGACGCTTTGGCTACCAACCTTGAAGCTTTTGCACCATTTAGTGACAATTCTGTGGTATTACAATACATTCATGATTTGCTATTCGCTGCCCCCAGGAGGGAGGAATATCTCCGAGGAATAGAGAGGCTTCTTCACCTGCTGGGTGAAGCTGGTTACAGTGTCCAAGGACAAGGCAAAATTCTGTTTTCTGGAGGTTGGATATCTAGGATTCATGGTATCCCAAAGCCTGCACAGGCTTGGAAGTGCATGCAAGGAGGCTTTATGTGCATTGCCCACCTCAGTTACAAGGCAGCAGGTCAGGGAATTTCTGGGTGCAGTGGGATTGTGCCGAATCTGGATTCCAAACTTCTCCCTTATAGCAAGGCCCTTATTTGAGGCTAGCAAAGGAAAGGAAAGAGAGCCCCTCCTATGGGAAAAAGAAGAGGAAAAGGCCTTCAAGGATATAAAGGAAGCTCTCATCCAGGCCCCAGCACTAGGGTTGCCAGATGTTAAAAAACCCTTCTTTTTGTAGGTGGATGAATGAAAGAGAATGGTATTTGGAGTCTTAACTCAGTTGTTAGGCTCTTGGCATCAGCCAGTAGCATACTTTTATCCAAGAGACTGGACTTGGTGGCCTTAGGTTGGCCCCATTGCCTCAGGGCACTGGCAGCTACCGCGATCCTTATAGAAGATGCCAACAAGCTAGCCCTAGGTCAGAAGATAATATTCTGGGTGCCACACACTGTAGTCACCTTAATGGAGCAAAGAGGACGCCATTGGCTCTCCCACTCTAGAATGCTAAAGTATCAAGGGCTTCTGTGTGAGAATCTGTGGGTAACACTACAGACTAAATACCTTGAACCCAGCTACCCTGCTGCCTGTGGAGGAACCTGATTGGAAGCATGGTGGGTTGCCTCAATGCTGGCAGGACCTTCCCCACTGTTGTATAAATATGGTGGATGAAGTGTTCTTGAGCTGGGAAGATCTCAGAGATACCCCCTTGGAAAGCCCAGATGTTGAATACTTCACTGATGGTAGCAGTTTCATAACAGATGGGGTGTGATATGCAGGGTATGCAGTAGTAACACAACACTCAGTAGTTGAGGCTCAAGCCTTACCTTCTGGGACTTCTGCTCCGAAGGCTGAATTAATAGCATTAACCAGAGCACTGTTATTGGCGAAGAGGAAGAAAGTAAATATATATACTGACTCAAGATATGCTTTTGCAACCCTGCATGCCCATGGGGCAATATAAAAAGACAGAGGACTATTGACTACTGAAGGAAAAGATATAAAAAATAAAGAAGAAATTTGGCAATTATTAGAAGACATATTGGCTCCAGAGAATGTGGCTGTCATTCATTGCAAAGAACACCAAACCGGGAAAAGCTATGAGGCACAGGGCAACAGAAAGGCAGACCGAGGGGCTCAGCAGGCAGCAATGAGCAAGGTTTTACCTGAAGAAAGAACTCCAGCAATGCCTCTCCTTATAGAGCCCCCTTTACTTGAGGTACCCAATTACTCTTTAAGTGAACAAGCTTGTTTTCATCAGGAAACAGGAAATATATATTAAAGATAGTTGGTGGCTGTTCTCTGACAGGAGGCTAGCCATCCCAGAAACAGTAGCCCCACGGTTTGTGAAGCAGATCCATCAAGGAACACACATTGGAAGGACAGCCCTACAGACTTTGATAGGTCAGCATTTCTATGTGCCATGGCTGTCTGCCATCACCCGTGCTGTTTGTGAACAATGTCTATCCTGTGTACGGAATAATCCAAAATAAGGACATACTCAACCCCAGGAATACAGGAAATGGGAGCTGTGCCTTGTGAGAACCTGCCTGTAGACTTTACTGAATTACCTCAAGCAGGAGGTTACTGGTATATGCTAGTGTTTGTTTGCACCTTCTCGGGGTGGGTTGAGGCCTTACCCACCAGGACTGAAAAGGCATGAGAGGTGACAAAGGTGCTACTGAAAGACATCATATTAAGATTTGGGTTGCCCTTAACCTTAGGATCAGACAATGGTCCTGCATTTGTGGCAGAAGTAGTACAACAGCTGACTCAGCTTTTAAAGACCAAATGGAAACTGGACACAGCCTATTGACCACAGAGTTCAGGGAAGATAGAACAGATGAACTGGACACTCAAACAGCTACTAAAAAAGTTTTGCCAGGAAACTCACTTACAATGGGATCAGGTCTTGCCCATGGTCCTCCTCCAGGTCAGGTGGACACCTACAAAACAAACTACCTAGTTTTGTAGTATTTGTCCCATGAAATATTGTTTGGAAGGGCACCCCCAATCATTAATCAAATTAGAGGGGATTTAAAGGAGTTAGGAGAGTTAACCCTTAAGAGACAGATGCAGGCTTTAGGAGTGGCAATGCAGGATGTGCAAAGCTGGGGAAGAGAAAGGATACCTATAAGTCTAACAGACCAAGTGCATCCACATAAGCCGGGGGACTCTGTGTTAAAAGGTGGAATCCAACAACCTTGGGGCCCTTAAGGGATGGGCCCCATGTTGTAATCATGTCTACTCCCACTGCTCTTAAAGTTGCAGGTGTCACACCTTGGATTCACCATAGCTGGCTGAAAGCAGCGGCAGCAGTGACTCCGATGACAACCAGTGGATTAGCCAACAAGACCCAGATCACCCCACCTGAATGGTCCTACAATGAAATCCAACCACTGGTAAGAAGGATGACTGCCCTACTCTGCCCACACCAGAGCTTGGTCAGTCTACACATGGCTGAAGCTTGAGGATCCTGCAAGCTCTGCTCTAGTCACATACCAGAAGCTGACTAGTCAATGCACAGCTGAAGCTAAGAGGACAATCTCAGGATGAATAAATGTGGATATAATTCATAACCCTAGTTATAATTCTGTTAATACTGATTGTTCTATTGTTATGTTACCACTGCAAATGCTGCTAATGTCTATGCCCAGAGGGAGTTTGCCATGCCCATGTGTAGTGTAAGCATGTTTCTATTACATACACTGATGTTACCATTTCTGCCTCTACTAAAAGGGGAGGAATCTCTAGAAAGATGCCCACACTGTGTACATACTACCTGGGTAAGGAATACCACAGTTAAAACTCTACTGTACCATACCTACAGTACAGGAACCAAGTTAGGAACCTGCGCATACAACCAGAACACCTCTTCAGTCTGTGACCCAGGAAATAATCAGCTATATGCATGTTATGACCTGAAGTGCTTACTGTATGAATTCTGGTTTGAGGTATATATTAAATCAGAGAGAGAAAAAGAAAAAGAGCTTACAACTTGAACCAAAGAAGCCCCTACCTCTTATAAAGGGCATTTTTCCTTGTACTTTGATGCCTGACATGCCACATATGTTCATAATCCTAAAAAACCAAAAGCAGTCTGCAATGGTTTAACACAAGAGAGGCTTAGCAGGAGCAGCCCTAAACATCTGTACTGAGAACCACAAATTGGATGCCCAGACTGTAACATTCCTTGGTCTATGCTACCACAGCTCCAACATTTATATTCAGGAAGGACTGCTCTGCTAAGTAGTATGTGAACCAAACCAAATTGTAAGACAAGGACATGCAATCCTTTAAATTTTACTACTTAAAGCCAGAGCTACCTTTTTGGTCTGCAGGACAGACAGCACTATTACGAGTTGATGGACAAGGAGCAGGACTTGGAGCTCCAGTACTAATTGTCAAAAAGAATAGAAGGACTCAAGTGTGTCCAACCCTGCAATTCCGGGTCCATAAGTCATTCTGTAAGCATTTTTTTTCCTTTTTTTTTTTTTATTATTACACTTTAAGTTTTAGAGTACATGTGCACAACGTGCAGGTTTGTTACATATGTATACATGTGCCATGTTGCTGTGCTGCACCCATTAACTCGTCGTTTAGCAGTAGGTATATCTCCTAATGCTATCCCTCCCCCCTCCCCCCTTCCCCCACCCCACAACAGTCCCTGGTGTGTGATGTTCCCCTTCCTGTGTCCATCTGTTCTCTTTGTTCAATTCCCACCTATGAGTGAGAGCATGCAGTGTTTGGTTTTTTGTCCTTGCAATAGACTGCTGAGAATGATGGTTTCCAGCTTCATCCATATCCCTACAAAGGACATGAACTCATCCTTTTTTATGGCTGCATAGTATTCCATGGTGTATATTTGCCACATTTTCTTAATCCAGTCTATCATTGTTGGACATTTGGGTTGGTTCCAAGTCTTTGCTATTGTGAATAGTGCTGCAATAAACATTCGTGTGCACATCTCTTTATAGCAGCATGATTTATAATCCTTTCGGTATATACCCAGTAATGGGATGGCTGGGTCAAATGGTATTTCCAGTTCTAGATCCCTGAGGACTCGCCACACTGACTTCCACAATGGTTGAACTAGTTTACAGTCCCACCAACAGTGTAAAAGTGTTCCTATTTCTCCACATCCTCTCCAGCACCTGTTGTTTCCGACATTTTATTGTTCGCGATTCTAACTGGTGTGAGATGGTATCTCATTGTGGTTTTGATTTGCATTTCTCTGATGGCCAGTGATGGTGAGCATTTTTTCATGTGTGTTTTGGCTGCATAAATGTCTTCTTTTGAGAAGTGTTTGTTCATATCCTTCACCCACTTTTTGTTGGAGTTGTTTGTTTTTTCTTGTAAATTTGTTTGAGTTCATTGTAGATTCTGGATATTAGCCCTTTGTCAGATAAGTAGGTTGCAAAAATTTTCTCCCATTCTGTAAGTTGCCTGTTCACTCTGATGGTGGCTTCTTTTGCTGTGCAGAAGCTCTTTAGTTTAATTAGATCTCATTTGTCAATTTTGGCTTTTGTTGCCATTGCTTTTGGTGTTTTTGACATGAAGTCCTTGCCCATGCCTATGTCCTGAATGGTATTGCCTAGGTTTTCTTCTAGAATTTCTTCACAGAATTGGAAAAAACTACTTTAAAGTTCATATGGGAGCAAAAAAGAGCCCACATTGCCAAGTCAATCCTAAGCCAAAAGAACAAAGCTGGAGGCATCACGCTACCTGACTTCAAACTATACTACAAGGCTACAGTAACAAAAACAGCATGGTACTGGTACCAACACAGAGATATAGACCAATGGAACAGAGCAGAGCCCTCAAAAATAATGCCGCATATCTACAACTATCTGATCTTTGACAAACCTGACAAAAACAAGCATTCCCTATTTAATAAATGGTGCTGGGAAAACTGGCTAGCCATATGTAGAAAGCTGAAACTGGATCCCTTCCTTACACCTTATACAAAAATTAATTTGAGATGGATTAAAGACTTACATGTTAGATCTGTAAGCATTTTGATCAGTCAGTGCCTGAGCTTCCCCTATCAACCAAAAACTTATTTGCTCAACTAGCTGAAAACATAGCTGGCAGCTTAGGAATTTCCTCATGCTATGTAAGTGAAGGAACTCATATGGGGGACCAGCGGCAATGGGAGGCAAAGGAATTAATGCCACAACATAAATTCACTTTGCCTAATCCTGCCAGTGAACCAACAGCCTCAGCTAGTGTTTGGTTGTTAAAAACCTCCATAATTGGAAAGTACTGTATCGCCTGTTGGGGAAAGGCTTTCACAGAGGCAATGGGAAAAACAATAAGCCTAGGGCAACAGTATTATGATGAGAGTAAAAACAAAACTCTACGGAGAAACTCCCAGAACGACTCCTAGTTACCAGATCCAAATGCTTTCTCTTGATTCTCTACCCTAAGCCACTCTTGGCATCAGCTAAAGACTCCAAATGCTTGGAAAGCACCCTCTGGCCTATATTGGGTCTGTGGAGCATGGGCATATCGGCAACTGCTGGCTAAATGGACAGGGGCATGTGTGTTAGAAACAATCAAGCCATCCCTCTTTTTAATTCCTCTAAAGCAAGGGGAACTCTTAGGGTATCCAGTTTATGATGAAAATAAAAGAACTAGAAAAAGCATAATGACAAAAATAGACACAAATGTCAAAAAGGATGCAGACATAGGAGACTGGAAGGATAATGAATGGCCTCCTGAAAGAATCATTAAATAGTATGGGCCCGCTATCTGAGCGCAAGTTGGGTCATGGGAATACCGCACCCCAATCTATATGCTCAACCGCATCATAAGGTTGCAGGCAGTCCTTGAAATAATAACCAATGAAATGTCAAGGAAACTAGATTTATTGATAACACAAGCAACACAAATGAGAAATGCTACATATCAGAATAGATTGGCTTTAGATTACCTCTTAGCCTCAGAAGGAGGAGTATGTGGAAAATTTAATTTAACCAGTTGTTGCCTAGAAATGGATGATAATGGCCAAGCTCTAATGGAAACCACAGCTAGAATGTCCAAGTTGGCCCATGTTCCAGTTCAGACTTGGTCTGGATGGTCCCTGGATTCCTTGTTTGGAGGATGGTTCTCAATGTTTGGGGGATTCAAAACCCTCATTGGTGGGTTTTTGTTTATTCTTGGCATCTGCCTCATCCTCCCTTGCCTTTTACCCCTGTATATTAGGAGTATTTGTCAACTATAGAGGCAGTAGTAACCCGAAACACTACCATGCTATTGACGGCATTAACCAAATATCAGCCACTGCCAATAAAAGAAACAGCTCAGCTCCGGGAAGAGATGGCAAATAGTGGTGCTTTCTATTAACATCTTTGTTTTAAAAAGCACCAAATGGGGGAAATGGAAGAGGAATTGAAAGAAATTAAAGAACGTGTAAGCAAAAACTCAGTCGTATATAAGAAAACCCAGTTCCCCCTGAGGAAGAGAAAGAGCTGGAGTCCTTTAAAATTAACTGCCTGTTTTTCTGTGGCTAGTGAGCCTTATCTCTCCCTTTCCCAGGTATTGTGAAGACCCTGTTTCTCTAGCTGTGCAGCTGCAAGGTCACTAGGCAGATAATCTCAAGTCGTAAAACATGTTGTTTCTTGAAAAGTAAGAACTGATGTAATGCATATCTCAATTGAATAACTGTCTTTGTTTCTCTCTTCTGTAATATGCTTCACCCTGCACAGATCTCCTCCAACCCCACAAAATGCCTAAAAGGTAGCTTGACTCTGTTCACAGCTCAGTTCTTTGGGTGTTAATCTGACTGGGTCGGTGCACCTAAATAATTAAATAATTCCTCCTCAACCCCTAGGTCTCTCTGATTCCTTAATTATCCTGCTGCATTTCCTCATCCAACATGGACATATTTCATTTCTATCTCTTGCCTGGTTGTTTTGATTAGGAGAACCAGTTCTGTGTTGAATAGGAGTGGTGAAAGTCAGCATTTTGTCTTGCTTCATTTCTTAAAAGAGAATTTCACTGTTCCCCATTCATTATACTGTTAGCAGGTTTATCTTTATGGTGTTTATTACATTTAGATATGACACATCCATGCCTAGTTTACTGAGTTTTATTATAAAGGCTGTTAAATTTATCAACTGCTTCTTATTGTACCTATTCAGATGATCATATAGGTCCATTCCTCTTTCTTTTTATGTTAAGTACCATATTATTAATTTGTATATGTTATACAATTCTTACATCTTTAGAGTAAATCCCACTTGATAGTGATGTATTATCTTTCTGGAGTGCAGTTGGAGTCAGTTACAAGTATTTTGTTGAGGAGTTTTGCATTTATGTTCCTCAGGGATATTGCCTATAGATGATTTTTTATTTTTTGTTGTCTTTTGTTGGTATTTGATGTTAGGATAATCATGGCCTCATAGAATGAGTTAGGAAGGGAGAATTTGCTCCCTTTCAATTATTAAAAATGGTTTGAGGAGAGTTCTTGTTACTTCTTCTTTGAATGTTTGGTAGCATGCAGTAGTGAAGCCAGGCCTGTCCTAGACTCTTTTTTGTTGGAATACTTTTATTCATGATTCAAAATCATTTGTTGTTATTTGTCTGTTTAGGTTTTCTATTTCTTCATAATTCAATCTTAGTAGATTGCATGAGTCTAGGAATTCATCTATTTCTTCCAGGTTTTCTAGTTTCTTAGTATGTGGTTGTCCATAAAAGTCTCTGATAATCTTTTGTATGTCTGCAGTGTCAGTTATAATGTTTGTTTGTTTTCATTTCTGATTTTGTTTTGATCTTCTGTCTTTTGTTGTTGTTAGTCTGGCTGGCAGTTTAGGAGAAATGGGGTTTTACCATGTTGGCCAGGCTGGTCTCAAACTCCTGATCTCAGGAGATCCTCTCGCCTCAGCATCCCCAAATGCTGGGATTACAGGTGGGAACCACCATGCCCAGTCCCTTTTTCTTTATTTTTCTTTTTTTTTTTTTAGATGGATTCTTGCTCTGCCACCCAGGCCGGAATGCAGTTGTGCAATCTTGGCTCACTGCAACCTCTGCCTCCCAGGTTCAAATGATTCCCCTGCCTCAGCCTCTCGAGTAGCTGGCATTACAGGCATGCACCACCACACCCAGCTAATTTTTTGTATTTTTTTTTTTTTCAGTAGAGATGGGGTTTCACCATGTTGGCCAGGCTGGTCTTGAACTCCTGACCTCAGGTGATCCACCTGCCTTGGCCTCCCAAAGTGTTGGGATTACAGTCATGAGCCACTGAACTCAGCCTCTTTTTCTTTATTTTTTAAAAATCAATTTCTTATTTAAATGAAACATTGTGTTATTCCTTTAGTCTCTATTTTGTTTAATTCTGCTCGATTTTCATGAATTATTTTCTTCTACCAATTTTGAGTTTGATTTCTTATTGCTTTTCTAGTGCTACTGGTGCAGTGTTATATAGATTATTTGAAGTCTCTCAAGTGTTTTGATATGAGTTTATTACTATAAACCTCCCTGTTAGCACTCTTTTTGCTATATACCTTAGGTTTGATTGTTTAGTTTAGATATTTTTGTATTTCAAGGAATTTTAAAGTTTCATCCATAATTTCTTCCTTGACCCAAGGTTCACTCCAGAGCATCTTGTTTAATATTTAAGTATTTGTACAGTTTCTAATATTTGTTTTTAAGTTTATTTCTAGTTTTATTCCATAGTAGTCTGAGAAGAAATTTGATAGTTTTGGTTTTTAAAAATCTGTTGAACTTTTTTTTTTTTGAGATGGAGTCTCACTCTGTTGCCAGGCTGGAGTGCAGTGGCACGATCTCGGCTCACTGCAACCTCCGCCTCCCAGGTTCAAGCGATTCTCTTGCCTCAGCCTCCCAAGTAGCTGGGACTACAGGCACATGCCACCATGCCCAGCTAATTTTTGTATTTTTAGTAGAGACAGGGTTTCACTGCATTTGCCAGGGTTGTCTCAATCTCTTGACCTTGTGATCCATCCACCTTGGCCTCCCAAAGTGCTGTGATACAGATGTGAGCCATGCCCAACCTTGTTGAATCATTTTTTGTGCCCTGGTAGATGGTCTATCCTGGCAAATAGTCCATGTGCTGATTAGAAGAACGTATATTCTGTGCCTGCTGGATGAAGTGTTTCGTAGGCATCTGTTAGGTCCATTTTGTAATGCATAGGAATTTTTTTTTTTTATGGAGTCTTTCTCAGTCACCCAGGATGGAGTGCAATGGCATGGTCTCTGCTCACTGCAATCTCTGCATCTCGGGTTCAAGTGATTCTCCTCCCTCAGCCTCCCAAGTAGCTGGGATTATGGTTAAGTAAAGCTCAGTTTAAATCCAATGTATCTTTGTTAATATTCTATCATCTAGATTATCTATCTAATGATGAGAGTGAGGGGTTGAAGTCTTCAATTACTATTGTATATGAGTCTCTCTTTTCCTTTAATAGTATTCACTTTATATTTCTGGCAGTTATAATGTTGGTCGCATATATATTTAGAATTGGCATATCCTCTTGCTGAATTGATCCCTTTATCATTATATAAAGACCTTATTGGACTCTTTTTACTTTTTTGAACGCATTTCTTTTATGTAAATATAGCTACTTTTATAGTAGCTACATTTACAATTGGTTAATAATACTTTTTGGCACCCTGCCACCATACCTCAGGGCTGGTTATTCTTGATTTCTGTTTGCCTGGAATATTTTTTTCCATCCATTTACTTTTACTCTGTATTTGTCCTAATGCATGATATGAGTTCTTGCAGGCACAGTGTAGTTCAGCCATTCATGAAAATCCATTTAGCCAGTATATATATTTCAAGTGGACAATTTAATCTATTTACATTCAAGGTTATTTGCTGAGATCAGCTCGATCATGGAGACCCCATCCCAGCCGCACTAGAGGAATTGAAGACACAGACACAGAAATAGAAGAATCAGGAGGCTAACAGCCTTCAGAGCTGAGAGCCACAAACGGAGTTTGACCCATATATTTATTGACAGCAAGACAATGGTAAGCATTGTTTCTACAGGTTATAGATTAGGTAAAAGCATTTCTTATGGGAAACAAAGCATTCTTAGCAAAGAGGAGAGAAACAGGCTCTGGCTGATTATCTGCAGCAAAAACATGTTAAGGCATAGGCCACTCCTGCTATTGTTTGAGGTTTGAGCAGTTTTCCATTCCAGGTGGGCCAAGTGTTCCTTGCCCTACTCCAGTTAGCCAGCAACTTCTAGCAGTGTGTGTTATAGCATCATGAGCATCTTGAACCTGGGAGGTGGAGGTTGCAGTGAGCCGAGATCGTGCCACTGCACTCCATGATGCTATAACATGTAGTCACATTGCTGCAGAAATCCTGTTTATGGCCAATTTCTTTAAGGCCCATTTATGACAAGCTTATGGCCTGTTCCCAGCAGTTATTAATATCTGAGGGCTAATTTCTATAATTTTATGAATTGAATTCTGGTGGTTTTGTTTAGCCCTTTGCTTTTCTTTCTCTTTGTTTATCATTGCAGTTTGGTGATTTTCTGTAGTAGTTACATTTGTAGTCATTCTCTTCATTATTTGTGTGTTTGCATTACCAGTGGGTTTTATAGTAGTGCGTGATTTCATCATGATAGACACTGTTGTTTCACTTCTAGATATATAATTCCCTTAAGCCTTTCTTATAGGGCAATTGGTGATAAATTTTTTCAGCTCTTGCTTATCTGGGAAATAATTTATTTCTCCTTCATTTATGAAGGATACCTTTACTGAACATATTATCCTTGAGTAGCAGTTTTTTTCTTTTAGCACTTTAAATATATCATCACATTCTCTCCTGGCCTGTAAAGTATCTACTGAAAAAAAATTCTTAGTCTGATGAGGATTTCTAAGTGGCCAGAAACTTTTCTTCTGCTGTTTCTAGAATTCTCTTTATTTTTAAATGTTGACAGTTTGAATACAATGTACCATGGAGAATACTTTTTGAACTGTGTGCACTTGGGGATCTCTTTCTGTATCTGGACATTTAAATTGCATGCTAGGCTAGAAAATTTTCCCCTAGTCTTTCATCATATAGGTTCCCTAACCATCCTCCCCCGTGTGTGCTGTTGCTGGAGAGGTGTTGTGATTACTTGGAGGAGAAGCAGCATTCTGGCTTTTGGAATTTTCAGCATTGTTGCACTGGTTTTTCCTCATCTTTGTGGATTTATGTACCTTTGACCAATGAGGCTGATGACCTTTGGATGGGGTTTTTGTCAGGGGGGAGTCTTTTTGTTGATGTTGTTGCTTTCTGTGTGTTAGTTTTTCTTCTAACACGCCCCTGTTTTGCAGGTTTGTTTCAGTATGCTGGGCGTCCACTCTAAACCCTGTTCTTCTATCACCAGTGGAAGATGCAGAACAGCAAAGACTGCTGCCTGTTCCTTTTTCAGGAAGCTTCATCCCAGGGGGGCACTGATTTGATACCACTGGGAGCTCTCCTGTATGAGGTACCTGTTGACCCCTGTTACATGGTCTCTCCCAGTCAGGAGGCATGGGGTTAGGAGCCCGCTTAAGGAGGCAGTCTGTCCCTTAGCAGAGCTAATGCTCTGTGCTGGGAGAAACCCCCTTATCAGCATCAGCCACTCTCTTCAGAGCTGGAAGGTGGGAGAGATTAAGTCTTCCAAACCTGAGACTGCTGCTGCCCCTCCCCTGACATGCTCTGTCCCAAGGATCTGAGAGTCTTCTCTGTAAGCCCCTGACTGGAGCTGCTGGATTTTCTGCAGAGATAGGCTGCCCAGTGAGGAGAAATCTAGAGAACCAGTCTGGCCGCAGCCACTTAGCTGCACTGTGGTGAATTCTGCCCACTTCCCTTAGCACTGTTACGGGAAAACCGCCTACTAAAGCCACAGTAATGGAGGTCACCTCTCCCCCCACCAAACTCAATCATCCCAGGCAGACTCCAGACTGCTGAGCTGGCAGTGAGAATTTCAAGCCAGGGTCCTGGTAGTGTAGGCTGACAAGGGAATCTCCTGATACGCAGATTGCAAAAACCCATGGGAAAAGCATAGTAGCCCAGGTGGGTAGCATAGTCCCTTACCACTTCCCTTGGCTGGGGGAGGGAGGTCCCCAGCTCCTTGCACTTCCCAGGTGAAGCACACCACACCCTGCTTCTTCTTGCTGTCTGTGCTGTACCCACTGCCTAGCCAGTCCCAGTGAGATGAACAGGGTACCTCAGCTGGAAATGTAGAAGTCACCTGCCTTCTGCATTGCTCTCACTGGGAGCTACAGACTGGGGCTGTTTCTATTCAGCCAACTTGAACCCTCCCCTTCATTGTGGTTTCTGATTTGCATTTCTCTAGTGATCAGTGATGTTGAGGGTTTTTTTCATATATTTGTTGGCTACATGTATGCCTTCTTTTGAAAAGTGTCTGTTCATGTCTTTTGCTCAATTGTTAATAGGATTACTTTTCCTTACACATATTTTGAGTTCCTTATAGACACTGGATATGGAAATTAGGCCTTTGTCAGATGCAGAGACTGCAAAAATTTTCTCCCATTCTATGGTTGTCTGTTTACTCTGTTGGTAGTTTATTTTGCTTTGCAGAAGCTCTTAAGTTTAATTAGATCCCACTTGTCAACTTTTGCTTTGGTTTTTTCATTTTCTGAAGGAGAAAAAAACTCAGTTTGCAGGTGGGAAAGTTATGTGATCCATGTCAAACTGAATGTGGGACAGGCACCCACTGAGAAAAAACACCTGTTATGGAAAAGTCCAAGGCAATAGAGCATATCATGGATATAACAATAAAAATATGTACTTTTCCACTTATGACTACAAGCATTAGTCATTAGGTGATACATTTCACTTTATTCTTAAACTAGTGGTAATATAATTGTTAATCAAGCCACTAAAATGGGTTTTTATATTAACTTCCAAGACAAAAAGTTTTTTCTTAGTCAGAATTCCACTTCTCCAGCCAATATAAAACTCCTTGGCTAGTGAGAAAATTCTATTCATTTTACCTATTAAAAGCATAAAAATTTAGTCCCAAATTTTGTCTTTCCATGTGCACTCAAGAAACAATCTCCCTCTTCACCATCCCTTGTCTCCCCACCTTGCAAAGTCTGCAGACTCTGACTCTATTTCACTGTCACAACTACTTATTTTTTTCCACATTCCCCAAATCCGTATTTCCTCTTCAGGCTTCTTTTCAGTGTGTGGTCACTTCAGGTTGCTAGTTCAAATTAGTATAGACTGTGTACCTTAAACAGCAGAAATTTTCTCATAGTTCTGGAGGCTGAAGTCTAAGATCAAAAGTGCCAGCAGACCCAATGTCCGGATATCAAATGACCAGGTGTCCAGAACCAAATGGTGAATGCCCATTTCTCAGTTTGCAGACAGCCCTCTTTTTACTGTATTCCTCTATGGCAGAGAAGACAAAAAAAAAAAAAAAGTAAGAAAGAAGAAGCTCTCAAATCTTTTATAATGGCACTAGTGTCATTCAGGAGGGATCTGTCTTTATTACCTAGTTAAATTCCCGAAGACCCCAGCTCCTAATTCCATTACATTGTGGTTTAGGATCTCAACATCTAAATTTGGGGAAACTAAAACATTTAGTGCATAGTACAAGATAAAGGCAGGATGGGGGATTTCTGCAAGAAGAGATGGGGCTTGGGAACAGTAAAACTTCCTCAGTGGACAAGTCTGTTTTACAACAAGAAAAGCTGGAAGAACTCCTGTTTTCAACCAAGAGACAAAAGTTTTTAGCTGCTGCTTCTCATCTCTCTGTTTCCCCTTCTCACCATAATATTTCCGTCTCATCTTATTTCTGAGAGTTGTCCAGTGACATAAATAATAACGGAAGGGAAAACCAACCTTTCTTTTCCACAATAATATCCTTTCTATTTAAACTCTTCAGCGTAGCCTCTTTAACCCTCTGCATTTCCCATCATATGGGATCCAAATCAGTTTCTTCCTCCTTAGTCCTGTGTTCCCCCATTTCCTAATAAGACAATTTCAAGAAATCTTTGGAATAACTTATGAATTGAAGAAACACAGGTATTTCTAGGCATGGTCAGTGCTCCAACACTTCTGTATGAAAAAAGAGCTGGTCAATACCTAAAGAGAAATCATGTTAAATACAGAGAGATTACAAGGGCATTTCTAATATATGTCTCTCTGTAAATAAGATCTAGCACTATTACAGCAGCAATAAAATTTTGAAGTAAACTGCTCTTACAAAATAAAGCAGAAACCAAAAACTGAAGTTAGCACTCCCTGAAGGCAATCCCTCCCCCAAAATACTAAAATGCTTGGCAAAAACTCTTAGAATCAGCCTTATCAGAACTCCAAAAATAGTCAAAAGTGTACCAAAACCAAAAACCTTAACAAAACCAAACCAAAACAAACCAAAAATCAAAAATCTTAGTAAATAAAAAAGCCACTACAGCACATTCGCGTTGCATTGTATTTTAACTTAACCTAGTTCCACCTCTTTCCCTAGCATGCCAGAAAACTTGAAGATGACAGCCCACATACATGGTGCATGTAGTCAGTTTCATAAGCAGCAAAATTAATCTTGCTCCAAGGAAATGAATGGTTTTTGTTTGACTTTAATGGAAATTATTTTATGGACTTTCACAAGGTATGTTCCTTTGCTTTACCTAGCTTGGAGTTCATGTGGTCCTCAAGAAAAGCCAAATGAATAAGCCACTATTGTTGGCAGTAAAACGGCAACAAGAAACTACAATGTTGAGGACCACAGTAGACACCATGATAGCCTAAAAGGACATAGAGTAAAATTTTAGGAGAAAATAGGGTCTTTGAAAGACTGCTACCTATCAGGGACACCTACAAAGCCACACACATGCTTGGGAAACAACTGTAAAGACAATAAGGCAAAAGCTTTAGTGTTTTTTGTGTCTTTACACTCAGGCAAAAAAGAAGGCTAAGACAATGTTGTAAATTGGTCATGCGAAGCGTTGAAGAAGTGTCTCAACATACAGTCAATCAACAAAGACATAGAGAAACATTTCCTTTTTCTCCTCTTCCTCTTTTCTTTCTTATTTGTACATGTAATAATGTTCAAAATATCCACTTTTCTTTTTTTTTTCTTTTTTTTCTTTTATTATTATACTTTAAGTTTTAGGGTACATGTGCAGATTGCACAGGTTAGTTACATAGGTATACATGTGCCATTCTGGTGCGCTGCACCCACTAACTCGTCATCTAGCATTAGGTATATCTCCCAGTGCTATCCCTCCCCGCTCCCCCCACCCCACAGCAGTCCCCAGATTGTGATGTTACCCTTCCTGTGTCCATGTGATCTCATTGTTCAATTCCCACCTATGAGTGAGAATATGCGGTGTTTGGTTTTTTGTTCTTGCAATAGGTTACTGAGAATGATGATTTCCAATTTCATCCATGTCCCTACAAGGGACATGAACTCATCATTTTTTATGGCTGCATAGTATTCCATGATGTATATGTGCCACATTTTCTTAATCCAGTCTATCATTGTTGGACATTTGGGTTGGTTCCAAGTCTTTGCTATTGTGGATAGTGCCGCAATAAACATACTTGTGCATGTGTCTTTATAGCAGCATGATTTATAGTCCTTTGGGTATATACCCAGTAATGGGATGGCTGGGTCAAATGGTATTTCTAGTTCTAGATCCCTGAGGAATCGCCACACTGACTTCCACAATGGTTGAACTAGTTTACAGTCCCACCAACAGTGTAAAAGTGTTCCTATTTCTCCACATCCTCTCCAGCACCTGTTGTTTCCTGACTTTTTAATGATTGCCATTCTAACTGGTGTGAGATGGTATCTCATTGTGGTTTTGATTTGCATTTCTCTGATGGCCAGTGATGATGAACATTTTTTCATGTGTTTTTTGTCTGCATAAATATCTTCTTTTGAGAAGTGTCTGTTCATGTCCTTTGCCCACTTTTTGATGGGGTTGTTTGTTTTTTTCTTGTAAATTTGTTTGAGTTCATTGTAGATTCTGGATATTAGCCCTTTGTCAGATGAGTAGGTTGCGAAAATTTTCTCCCATTTTGTAGGTTGCCTGTTCACTCTGATGGTAGTTTCTTTTGCTGTACAGAAGCTCTTTAGTTTAATTAGATCCCATTTGTCAATTTTGTCTTCTGTTGCCATTGCTTTTGGTGTTTTAGACATGAAGTCCTTGCCCATGCCTATGTCCTGAATGGTATTGCTTAGGTTTTCTTCTAGGGTTTTTATGATTTTAGGTCTAACGTTTAAGTCTTTAATCCATCTTGAATTGATTTTTGTATAAGGTGTAAGGAATGGATCCAGTTTCAGCTTTCTACATATGGCTAGCCAGTTTTCCCAGCACCATTTATTAAATAGGGAATCCTTTCCCCATTGCTTGTTTTTCTCAGGTTTGTCAAAGATCAGATAGTTGTAGGTATGTGGCGTTATTTCTGAGGGCTCTGTTGTGTTCCATTGATCTATATCTCTGTTTTGGTACCAGTACCATGCTCTTTTGGTTACTGTAGCCTTGTAGTATAGTTTGAAGTCAGGTAGTGTGATGCCTCCAGCTTTGTTCTTTTGGCTTAGGATTGACTTGGCGATGTGGGCTCTTTTTTGGTTCCATATGAACTTTAAAGTAGTTTTTTCCAATTCTGTGAAGAAAGTCATTGGTAGCTTGATGGGGATGGCATTGAATCTGTAAATTACCTTGGGCACTACGGCCATTTTCACGATATTGATTCTTCCTACCCATGAGCATGGAATGTTTTTCCATTTGTTTGTATCCTCTTTTATTTCCTTGAGCAGTGGTTTGTAGTTCTCCTTGAAGAGGTCCTTCACATCCCTTGTAAGTTGGATTCCTAGGTATTTTATTCTCTTTGAAGCAATTGTGAATGGGAGTTCACTCATGATTTGGCTCTCTGTCTGTTGTTGGTGTATAGGAATGCTTGTGATTTTTGTACATTGATTTTGTATCCTGAGACTTTGCTGAAGTTGCTTATCAGCTTAAGGAGATTTTGGGCTGAGACAATGGGGTTTTCTAGATATACAATCATGTCGTCTGCAAAGAGGGACAATTTGACTTCCTCTTTTCCTAATTGAATACCCTTTATTTCCTTCTCCTGCCTAATTGCCCTGGCCAGAACTTCCAACACTATGTTGAATAGGAGTGGTGAGAGAGGGCATCCCTATCTTGTGCCAGTTTTCAAAGGGAATGCTTCCAGTTTTTTCCCATTCAGTAATGCTATTGGCTGTGGGTTTGTCATAGATAGCTCTTATTATTTTGAAATATGTCCCACCAATACCTAATTTATTGAGAGTTTTTAGCATGAAGTGTTGTTGAATTTTGTCAAAGGCCTTTTCTGCATCTATTGAGATAATCATGTGGTTTTTGTCTTTGGCTCGGTTTATATGCTGGATTACATTTATTGATTTGTGTATATTGAACCAGCCTTGCATGCCAGGGATGAAGCCCACTTGATCATGGTGGGTAAGCTTTTTGATGTGCTGCTGGATTCATTTTGCCAGTATTTTATTGAGGATTTTTGCATCAATGTTCATCAAGGATATTGGTCTAAAATTCTCTTTTTTGGTTGTGTCTCTGCCAGGCTTTGGTATCAGGATGATGCTGGCCTCATAAAATGAGTTAGGGAGGATTCCCTGTTTTTCTATTGATTGGAATAGTTTCAGAAGGAATGGTACCAGTTCCTCCTTGTACCTCTGGTAGAATTCGGCTGTGAATCCATCTGGTCCTGGACTCTTTTTGGTTGGTAAGCTATTGATTATTGCCACAATTTCAGATCCTGTTATTGGTCTATTCAGAGATTCAACTTCTTCCTGTTTTAGTCTTGGGAGAGTGTATGTGTCGAGGAATTTATCCATTTCTTCTAGATTTCCTAGTTTATTTGCGTAGAGGTGTTTGTAGCATTCTCTGATGGTAGTTTGTGTTTCTGTGGGATCGGTGGTGATATCCCCTTTATCATTTTTTATTGCATCTATTTGATTCCTCTCTCTTTTTTCTTTATTAGTCTTGCTAGCAGTCTATCAATTTTGTTGATCCTTTCAATAAACCAGCTCCTGGATTCATTAATTTCTTGAAGGGTTTTTTGTGTCTCTATTTTCTTCAGTTCTGCTCTGATTTTAGTTATTTCTTGCCTTCTGCTAGCTTTTGAATGTGTTTGCTCTTGCTTTCTAGTTCTTTTAATTGTGATGTTAGGGTGTCAATTTTGGATCTTTCCTGCTTTCTCTTGTGGGCATTTAGTGCTATAAATTTCCCTCTACACACTACTTTGAATGCGTCCCAGAGATTCTTGTATGTTGTGTCTTTGTTCTCGTTGGTTTCAAAGAACATCTTTATTTCTGCCTTCATTTCGTTATGTACCCAGTAGTCATTCAGGAGCAGGTTGTTCAGTTTCCATGTAGTTGAGCGGTTTTGAGTGAGATTCTTAATCCTGAATTCTAGTTTGATTGCACTGTGGTCTGAGAGATAGTTTGTTATAATTTGTGTTCTTTTACATTTGCTGAGGAGAGCTTTACTTCCAACTATGTGGTCAATTTTGGAATAGGTGTGGTGTGGTGCTGAAAAAAATGTATATTCTGTTGATTTGGGGTGGGGAGTTCTGTAAATGTCTATTAGGTCTGCTTGGTGCAGAGCTGAGTTCAATTCCTGGGTATCCTTGTTGACTTTCTGTCTCGTTGATCTGTCTAATGTTGACAGTGGGGTGTTAAAGTCTCCCATTATTAATGTGTGGGAGTCTAAGTCTCTTTGTAGGTCACTCAGGACTTGCTTTATGAATCTGGGTGCTCCTATATTGGGTGCATATATATTTAGGATAGTTAGCTCTTCTTGTTGAATTGATCCCTTTACCATTATGTAATGGCCTTCTTTGTCTCTTTTGGTCTTTGTTGTTTTAAAGTCTGTTTTATCAGAGACTAGGATTGCAACCCCTGCCTTTTTTTGTTTTCCATTTGCTTGGTAGATCTTCCTCCATCCTTTTATTTTGAGCCTATGTGTGTCTCTGCACATGAGATGGGTTTCCTGAATACAGCACACTGATGGGTCTTGACTCTTTATCCAATTTGTCAGTCTGTGTCTTTTAATTGGAGCATTTAGTCCATTTACATTTAAAGTTAATATTGTTATGTGTGAATTTGATCCTGTCATTATGATGTTAGCTGGTTATTTTGCTCATTAGTTGATGCAGTTTCTTCCTAGTCTTGATGGTCTTTACATTTTGGCATGATTTTGCAGCGGCTGGTACTGGTTGTTCATTGCCATGTTTAGCGCTTCCTTCAGGAGCTCTTTTAGGACAAGCCTGGTGGTGACAAAATCTCTCAGCATTTGCTTGTCTGTAAAGTATTTTATTTCTCCTTCACTTATGAAGCTTAGTTTGGCTGGATATGAAATTCTGGGTTGAAAATACTTTTCTTTAAGAATGTTGAATATTGACCCCCACTCTCTTCTGGCTTGTAGGGTTTCTGCCGAGAGATCCGCTGTTAGTCTGATGGGCTTCCCTTTGAGGGTAACCCGACCTTTCTCTCTGGCTGCCCTTAACATTTTTTCCTTCATTTCAACTTTGGTGAATCTGACAATTATGTGTCTTGGAGTTGCTCTTCTCGTGGAGTATCTTTGTGGCGTTCTCTGTATTTCCTGAATCTGAACGTTGGCCTGCCTTGTTAGATTGGGGAAGTTCTCCTGGATAATATCCTGCAGAGTGTTTTCCAACTTGGTTCCATTCTCCCCATCACTTTCAGGTACACCAATCAGACGTAGATTTGGTCTTTTCACAGAGTCCCATATTTCTTGGAGGCTTTGCTCATTTCTTTTTATTCTTTTTTCTCTAAACTTCCCTTCTCTCTTCATTTCATTCATTTCATCTTCGATTGCTGATACCCTTTCTTCCAGTTGATCGCATCAGCTCCTGAGGCTTCTGCATTCTTCATGTAGTTCTCGAGTCTTGGTTTTCAGCTCCATCAGCTCCTTTAAGCACTTCTCTGTATTGGTTATTCTAGTTATACATTCTTCTAAATTTTTTTCAAAGTTTTCAGCTTCTTTGCCTTTGGTTTGAATGTCCTCCCGTAGCTCAGAGTAATTTGATCATCTGAAGCCTCCTTCTCTCAGCTCGTCAAAGTCGTTCTCCGTCCAGCTTTGTTTCATTGCCGGTGAGGAACTGCGTTCCTTTGGAAGAGGAGAGTCACTGCGTTTTAGAGTTTCCAGCTTTTCTGTTCTGTTTTTTCCCCATCTTTGTGGTTTTATCTACTTTTGGTCTTTGATGATGGTGATGTACAGATGGGTTTTTGGTGTGGATGTCCTTTCAGTTTGTTAGTTTTCCTTCTAACAGACAGGACCCTCAGCTGCAGGTCTGTTGGAGTACGCTGCCGTGTGAGGTGTCAGTGTGCCCCTGCTGGGGGGTGCCTCCCAGTTAGGCTGCTCGGGGGTCAGGGGTCAGGGACCCACTTGAGGAGGCAGTCTGCCCGTTCTCAGATCTCCAGCTGCGTACTGGGAGAACCACTGCTCTCTTCAAAGCTGTCTGACAGGGACATTTAAGTCTGCAGAGGTTACTGCTGTCTTTTTGTTTGTCTGTGCCCCGCCCCCAGAGGTGGAGCCTACAGAGGCACGCAAGCCTCCTTGAGCTGTGGTGGGCTCCACCCAGTTGGAGCTTCCCGGCTGCTTTGTTTACCTAATCAAGCCTGGGCAATGGCGGGCGCCCCTCCCCCAGCCTCGCTGCCGCCTTGCAGTTTGATCTCAGACTGCTGTGCTAGCAATCAGCGAGACTCCGTGGGCGTAGGACCCTCCGAGCCAGGTGCGGGTTATAATCTCGTGCTGCACCGTTTTTTAAGCCCATCGGAAAAGCGCAGTATTTGGGTGGGAGTGACCCGATTTTCCAGGTGCCATCCGTCACCCCTTTCTTTGACTAGGAAAGGGAACTCCCTGACCCCTTGTGCTTCCCAAGTGAGGCAATGCCTCGCCGTGCTTCGGCTGGTGCATGGTGCGCGCACCCACTGACCTGCGCCCACTCTCTGGCACTCCCTAGTGAGATGAACCTGGTACCTCAGATGGAAATGCAGAAATCACCCTCTTCTGCTTCGCTCACGCTGGGAGCTGTAGACCGGAGCTGTTCCTATTTGGCCATCTTGGCTTCTTCCAAAATATCCACTTTTCAACAAAACAGATGAAGAATGCAAAGAGACAAGAAAGCACACTCATTCACAGGAAAAAAAGTTAACAAAAACTATTTTTGGGGAACCAAAATGTTGGGTTTAGACAAACTTTAAATCAACTGTTCTATATGCTTAAACAACTAATAGAAATTGAAGACAAAGAACTAAAGATAATCAAGAAAAATATATAAGAATAGAAATGTAGGTAAGACGTAATTATTTTAAAAGATTACAAATAGTAATTTTAGAGTTGAAAATACATTATGTGAAATAAAAAATCCACTAGGGAGGTTCAGAAGCATATTGAAGCTAAGAAAAAAAAAAAAGAGTCTGGGCATGGTGGCTCATGCCGCTAATCCTAGCACTTTGGGAGGCTGAGAAAGGCACATCATGATGTCAAGAGTTTGAGACCATCCTGGCCAACATGGTGAAACCGTGTCTCTACTACAATACAAAAAATTCGCCAGTTGTGGTGGTGCACCCCTGTAGTCCCAGCTACTCAGTAGGCTGAGGCAGGGGAATTGCTTGAACCCAGGAGGTGGAGGTTGGAGTGAGCTGAGATCATGCCACTGCACTTCAGCCTGGCAACAGAGCAAGACTCTGCCTCAAGAAAAAAGAAAAAGAAAAAAAAATAAGAATAAGTGATCTTGCAGATAAGTACATTGTAATCCTCTAGTCTGAGTAGAAAAGAAAAAGATTAAAAAAAAAAAATCATACTCTTAGAGACTTGTGGGACATGACCAAATGACTACTATATGCCTTTTGTGAGTCCAAAGTTGGAAATAAGATGAAAAGACAGATAATATTTGAAGAAATAACAGGTAAAATCTCCCAAATTTGATAAAATACATGAATCTAAAAACTTAAGAAGATTCATGAACTCTAAGCAGAATCAACTAATAAAAGAGATTCACACTGAGACACAATATAATCAAACTGGAAAAAGACAAAAAACGGAGAACTTTGAAAGCAGCTAGAGAGAAGCAAAGTGTGAAAATGGGATCCTTGATAACATTAAAAGCCCATTAAACACCATAAATCCAGGCCTTAGAATGGCATATTCAAAGCACTAAAAGAAACCACATTAACCATGAATTTTATTGCAGCAACAATTCTCAATGAAAAATAAAGGTGAAACTAAGTCATTTCCAGACAAACAAATTGATTATTTTGCTATCTGCCCTATAGCAATAAAATAAAAAGGCACAGGACAGAAAATTGATACTACATGAAGAAATAAAAACACTGGCAAAGGCAAATATACAGCTAAATACAAAAGCCATTATTATTAAAATTTTGGTTGTGTAACTCCTTTTTCTATACAATTTTAAAGAAAAATGCATAAAACAATAGTTTTCAATCTATCTCAAGGGACACACAACTTACAAAGATATAATCTGTGACACTACAATATAAAGGTGGTGAGATGTGCCTGCAGCTTCCTAATCTAGAGTTTTTATATACTATTAAATTTAAATTGGTATTAATCCAATAGGTTTTGATAAAGTTAAAGGTTAAAATGATCATTTTAATCCCCAGGCTAACAGTTAAGAAAACGATTTTAAAAATACCGAATAGTAAATAAAAGGGAATTCAAAATGACATTACAGACAACCAGTTAAACAAAATAGAAGAGAGTTGTGGTAGAATTGAGGAACAAAGGAGATACGACACATAGAAACAAGTAGCAAAATGGCAGAAGTAACTCTTTCCTTATTTAAATTATGTTAAATGTAAATAGATTAAACTCACCAATTTGAAGACAGATTGGCAGAGTACGATCAGTAAAATAGAAGATTACGAAGCTACAGACCCAGCTTTTCTCAGAGAGTCACCCAGATAACAATACTATATGGACCAGAACATCTTTGTGAGAACGCTAAAGACATGCTGACAAAAAAACAGCCCCCAGGCCAACATAAAACCCAGATGGGATACTAGCAAGTAGTTAGAAAATTTGAAGCATTTTCATACCTGTCTATGTCCCTTCCCCTAGGAAAACCACAGTTGTTTTGCAGTGAGTAGGTATATGCGAATCTATGCCTAAAGGCCAATGGAGCTGAGAGGCCAAGGAAAGAGGCTGACAGGGTAAGTCATGGTGGCTCATACCTGTAATCCCAGCACTTTGGGAGGCAGAGGTTGGAGGATCACTTGACATCAAAAGTTCAAGCCCAGCCTGGCCCACATGGTGAAACCCCATCTCTGCTAAAAATACCAAAATTAGCTGGGCATGTTGGTACGTGCCTATAATCTCAGCTACTCAGGAGGCTGAGGCAGGAGAATCATTTGAATTTGGGAGATGGAATTTGCAGTGAGCTGAGATCACACCACTGTGGTTTTCCTAGGGGAAGGGACATAGTTGTCCACTGTACTCCAGCCTGGGCAACAGAGAGAAACTATCTCAAAATAAAAAAAAAAAAAAAGAAAGTAAGAGGCTGATAAATCGTTTCTCAGAAAAAAAAACTACCTAACAGAGACAAACAGAAGTGATATATCGGCAGCTGCAAGATGGTGAGTCCCTGCACCAACTCCCAGAAAGTGTTCTTTATAAAAGGAAGCATTTTGGGTGAAGATGTGCAAATAGGTGAAGATGTGCATCTGGTCATGCCTAAGACTTTCTTGGAAAACTTGTGGCCATTGGGGAGTTTATATAAGCATCTTTATGAGGGCTTAGCAATGCTACAGGGATTGTTTAAAGACCTTGCTGCAGGTGTAAAGTATTGATCATGATGTCAGTTTTGCTTCAAAATGACATTACTCTTGCCATATAACAAGTTGTTCTCCTGTAATAGCATATCCAGGAGAAAACCTCCCTAAACTAAGAATTGTTATTTGGCAGAGGAAACGGCATTTTGCATTCAGTGTTTTGATTTGTCTGAGATTTTCTGTGATACTAGTTTCACCTAAACACTATCAGGACTGGCAGCATAACTTGAAAGCTGATGAAAAACGTGGAGACTACAGCCATTTAGAGACACAGTCCTGCATGCAAAACCTAGAGGAATCAACATCTCAGGAAAAATCTGGGATGTTCCAAAGCCTCTGGGCTGATTGGTCAAGGTCTTCCTTTGATCTAAGCCAGTATGTTAAGACTAGAACAGATGTGTCCCTTTTTTTCCTTCAACAGTTCAAATTGCAGCAAAAGTTTACATACCATTGAAAGAAACAGATAATTGTGGCCAAATTATAGAAATTAAAATGAAATTCAAGTGACCAAACCTAAAGAAATGAAGATCTATAAGCAGTCAGACAAAAACTTAAAATAACTGCCATGAGAATTCCTGAAAACTAAACAAAATCAGGAAATAAAATATGAACAAAAAGATAAATTCAACAAAGTAGAAATCATTTAAAAAGCTACAACATCTAGGCTGGGCATGGTGGCTCACGCCTGTAATCCCAGCACTTTGGTAGGCTGAGGTGTGTGGATCACCTGAGGTAAGGAGTTTGAGACCAGCCTGACCAACATGGTGAAACCCTGTCTCTACTAAAAATATGAAAATTAGCCTGTCCTGGTAGCACATGCCTGTAATCCCAGCTACTTTGGAGGCTGAGGCAAAAGAATTGCTTGAACCCAGGGGGCGGAGTTTGCAGTGAGCCGAGATCATGCCATTGCACTCCAGACTGGGCAACAAGAGTGAAACTCCATCTCAGAAACAAAACAAAACCAAACAAAAACAAACCTACAACATCTAGACAGAATTTTTTTTAAACAGAAAAATTCTGTATATGGATTAAATAGCATTTGAAATAATCAAGTCAGAGATTCAAAAAGTAAAAAGAGTAAAGAAAAATAAAGAGGCCAAGGAATTTATCATATATTATCAAACAGAGCAATATAAGCATTATGGGAATCCCAAAAGAAAGCAAGAAAGAAACAGAAAACATATGTGAAGAAATAATATACCAACATTTCCTAATTCTGAGGAGAGAAAAAGATATACAAATTCAAGAAGCTCAAACATTTTTGAAAGAGAAAAAACTCAAGAGAACCACACCAAGATATATTATATCACATTGACTAAAGTCAGAAAAAATGTTGAAAGCAGAAAGACAAAAGTGACTCACTGGCCAGGCACAGTGGCTCAAGCCTGTAATCTCAGCACTTTGCGAGGCTGAGGCGAGTGGATCACCTGAGGTCAGGAGTTCAAGACCAGCCTGACTAACATGGAGAAACCCTGTCTCTACTAAAAATATAAAATTAGCTGGGCGTGGTGGCGCATGCCTGTAATCCCACCTACTCAGGAGCCTGAGGCAGGAGAATCACTTGAAACTGGGAAGTGGATGTTGAGGTGGGCTGAGATCACACCATTGTACTCCAGCCTGGACAACAAGAGCAAAAAACTCTGTCTCAAAAAAAAAAAAAAAAAAACTAAATAAAATAAAAAAACTAAAAAAAAAAGAAAGTGACTCATCACACACAAAGAAGCTTCAATAAGATTATGAAGGGATTTCTCAACAGAAACCTCACAAGGCAAAAAAAAGAGTGGGAGAAAATATGCAAAACACTGAAAGAAAAAACTGTCGGTGGTATCTGACAAAACTTTTCTTCAGAAATGAAGACTTTCCAAAATGAGTAAATGCTGAGGATGTACATTATCATCAGACCTACTGTATAAGAAATGCTAAAAGCAGTCTTTCACGTTGAAATGAAGACGGTGGACAGAAACATGATGTCATAGAGAAATATAAAATTATCCAGTAAAGATAAATACATGAACAAACATAGTAAACTGTATTATTTAATTTTGGTGCATAGAACATGAAGACAAAACTTAAAAAACACAAATCTATGTTAATAAGTAACAATATATAAACATGTAATGTATGACATAAATGAGGTGAAACTAAAAGAGTAGACTTTTACTAAGTTTAGAATGTATAATTTTAATACAGTTCATGTAATTACAATGATAATCACACAGAATGTATATATACACAAAAAGATATGAGCAGAAATTCAAAACGTGTTACTAAAAATGAAATGAAACAGAAAGACAAGACAAGACAGAGAAAAGTAAGAAATACTTGGGAACAGTGAGTGTTTCCCTATATTCTGAGTACTTTTGGAGGCCAAGGTGGGCAAATCACATGAGCCCAGAAGTTTGAGACCAGCCTGGATAATGTGACTTTTTTAAATTTACAAACTAAAAAGAAAAACAGAAAATAGTAATTAGCTGTGTGTGGTAGCACACACCTGTAGTCCCAGCTATTCCAGAGGTTGAGATGGGAGTATCACCTGAGCCAGGGAGGTTGATGCTGCAGTAAGCTGTGATCACACCACGGCGCTCCAGCCTGGGTATTAGAGTGAGACCCTATCTCAAAAAGAAAAGTAAATGAAATATACTTTTCAATCAAGAGATGTAGATTGCCTAAATGCATTAAAAAGTCCAAATAAATCCTGTCTACAATAAATTCACTTTAGATCTAAGGACATAGACTGAAAGTGACAGGACAGAAAAATGTATTCCATAATATGGAAAAATATATTCCAGTATAATAAAAACAGCACAGACATGGCTGTCATAATGAAAAAAAAATTGAGTTAAAAGCTGTTAGACAATGTTATTATATAAGAATAAAAAGGTTATTTTAGTAAAAATATAAAAAGAATATAATTATTTGCACTAACACCAACCTGTTCCTAAATATGTTCCTAACTGTTCCAGACAGTTCCTAAATATGTAAATCAAATATTGACAGGACTGAAGTGAAAAATAGACAGCAACACAATAATAGACGTGTTTGACATCTCAGTTTAAATAATAGAATGACATAGATGATCAACAGAAATATAGAGGAGTTGAACAACATTATAGACAAATTGGAACAAATAGACATAAATAGAATACTTTATCCAGAATACACATTCTTCTCAAGCTCCACAAAAACGATCTCGAGAATGGACCACATGTTAGGCCACAAAACCAGTCTTAACAAATATAAGATGAATGAAATCATACAAAGTGTCTTCTTCAATAACAATCAAATGAAAGAAAATCAACAGAAGGAAAAAAATCCATAAATATGTGAAAACCATACTGCATACTTTTAGACAATGAGTCAAGTAAGTCACAAGGGGTATTAAAAAACACTTGGAGATAAATTCAAGGAAAATATAACATACCAAAACTTATGGGATACAGCTAAAGCCATGCAGTGACAGAAATTTATGGATGTAAATACGCACATTCAAAAAGAAAAAAAAAGACTTAAATCAACAACCTAATTTCACACTGAAGGGAACTAGGAAAAAAACAGATGAAAGTGAAAGTTAGCAAAAGGAAGGGAAAAAGAAACAGATTAAAGCAGAGATAAATTAAATAGATAATTTTAAAAAACAATAGAAATGTCAGTGATACTACGAAATGGTTTTCTTAAAAAAAACCCAACAAAATTAACATACCTTTTGGTACATTTGCTATGAAAAGAGAAATGAATCAAATAATTAAAATCAGGAATGAAAGAGAAAATATCACAGAAATAAAATTGTAAAAATACTATAAATAACTGTATAAAAACAAACTGGGTAATAGATAAAAATGAAGGACTGGTTAAAAATTCCTAGAAACACACCACCTACCAAGACTCATTCACTAATAGAAAATCTTGACAGACCAGTAACTTATTAATAAGATGAAATTAATAATGAAAAACCTTCCAACAATGAAAAGCCCAGGACCAGTGGCTTCACACCAAAGCCAAAAATACCAGAAGCAAAGAAAATCACAGATTAATATTCTTGATGAATACTGGTGTGAAAATGATTAATAAAATACTAGAAAACTGACACACTGAAATAATTATACACCATGAACAAGTGGGATTTATTTCTGGGATACAAGAATAGTTCGACACATGAAAATTATTAGTGTAATATATCACTTTAGTACAATAAAAGTTAAAAATGCAATCATCTCAATCAATGCAGAACAGCATTTGACAAAATTTAACACTCTGTCATGATGAAAAACACTCAAAACTAGGAAACACAGGAAAACAACCTCAACATAATAAAAGCCATATATGAAAAGCAGACTAGGAAAACAGGAAACTATGAAACATAGGGAAACAACCTCAACATAATAAAAGCCATATATGAAAAGCAGACAGCTAGTGACATCTGCAAGTTGGTAGAATAATGAGTACCAGCCCTTGACTCCCACAGACACACCAGTTGGACAATATATGAATCAAAATACCTTTATAAGCAGTCCCTAATCAAGTGAACAATGTGCAGTACCCCAGAAAGACTCCTCTCCTAGTTCTGCACTGCCAAAAGAGATTCCACTGGCCCATGACTTCTCCTGTGTGGGTGGGTGTGTGTGTGTGTGTGTGTGTGTGTGTGTGTGTGTGTGTGTGTGTGACGGGAGAGGGGTTGAAGGGGAGTGCAGTATGTATCCTAAACCCTGACTTTTTAGTGCACTGCCCAAGGGATTTGTTTCTGCATCACCTCACCTGGAACACTGAGGAAAATGGCATAGTTCAGATGCCTAGGGGCAGATAAGAAAAAAGAAAATGGGTGGGCAGCTTTCAATAGTTGCACAGCTTGTTGAGATTGGGAAAAGGTGGCACACTATGTGAGACATTCCTCATCCCCCAGTAGGAAAAGAAGAGTGGAGTGTTCATTCAACATCTTGGTCTTTCGGTGCACCCAAAGGATTGGGTGGCTTTCTCTACCCAACATGGTTCTGCAAGATTGGGAGATGGTACATAATTCTGAGACTTCTTCAAGAACAAGGGACAAGTGTGGAATGTGAATCTAACATCCTGATCTTTTGTGCACTGTCCTAGGGATAAGTGGGGAAAGGTATTTCTCGCTTTTCACTGCAGACTATAGAGCACTGCATATTCACTGCAGACTATTGAGCAGTGTAAGTTTAAGAGAAGGCATAGAATTCTGATATCGCTCCCCAGGAATGAGGGAGAAAAACCAGCTGTGTACATACATAGAAACAATTTGAGAGGGTCCTAGAATCTTTAGCCAGTCTGATTGGTAAAGATGTTTCTCTGCCAAATTCATCTGTAAATACCGGGAAAGATAGTTTATTTTCTTCAAATGCACAAACACCAGTGCAAAACTACAAGAAATACAATGAATGAGGGATATATGGCACAAGCAAAGAAATAAAGTGATCTCCATTAACTGAAAGATCTATGAATGGCCTAACAAAAATTCAAAATAATCATCAATTATTGTAAATTCAAAAGTCAGTAAGCTTCAAGTGAATATGGCTGGGCAACTAAATGAAATAAGAAAAATGATGCATTAACAAAATCACAATGTCAACAAACAAATAGAAACCATAAAAAGAACAAGATATTTTTCAGCTGAAAAATACAATAACTCAACTATAAAACTGAACATAGAGATTCAACAGCAGAGGAGACCAAACAAAAAAATCAGCATACTTGAAGACAGATGTTTATAAATTATCCAGCCAGAGGAATAAAAAACAAAGAGTGAGGAAAGACTAAGGGACTGCAGGGACAACATCAAATGAATCAATATAGAAGTTCTAAGAGTTTTAGAAGAGAAAGAGAAGGGGACAGAAAGCTTAAAGAAATAATGGCAAAACTTTCCAGGAACTGGAGAGGTAAATAGAGATCCTGATTCATGAAGTGCAAGGGATCCCAAGGATGAGGAATCCAGAGAAGTCTATGCTGAGACACAGTACAATCAAACTGTCAAAGGACCAATAGAGAATGTTAAAAGTAGCAAGGAAAAGGGACATATTCTTTTTGTAAAGTCATGAACAGATTTCTTCAAACAAGTTTTGCAAGCCAGAAAGAAGCAGGATAATAAATGCAAAAAAAAAAAAAAGGATATAAATTGCCAACAAAACCCTATTCTGAGGAAAATTGTCCTTCAAAAATAAAAGAGAAAGATTTTCCAAAATAAACAAACACAGAAACAAAGACAAAAATAAAGGGAATTCATTACCACTAGATGTGCTTTACAAGAAATCCTACTACTAGTTTTTTTAAATTAAAATGAAAGGATGATCTAAACGGTAAAACAAACAAATAAAAAACCCCACAAAGACATGAATGTATAAAAGTAACTGCTAAGGTTGAAACATAAACAAATACAGAATAAATAATACTATAATGGTAGTATGTAAATCACTTTTAATTTTAAAGTTAAAGATGACATTTTTTAATTGTTAATTTTAATTTTTGTAGATACATGGTAGATGTATATATTATGGAGTACATGAAATATTTTGATACGGGCATGCAATGCATAATTATATCATGGAAAATGGGGTATGCGTTCCCTCAAACATTTATCCTTGGTGTTACAAACAATCCAGTTATATTCATTTAGTTATTCTTAAAGGCATAATTAGATTATTATTGACTATAATCACTCTGTTGTGTTATCAAATAATAGGTCTTGTTCATTCTTTCTATTTTTGTTTTCTTTTGTTTTGTTTGGGTACTCATTAACTATCCCCAGCTCTCTTCCACACCACTCCAAATTACCCTTTCCAGCCTCTGATAACCATTCTTTTACTCTCTAGCTCCATAAGCTGAGATAACAGTACCTTAAAATATAACTACAAAAATTTAATGGATATAATTGTGACAAAAATATTACCATGGAAGGAGAAATGTGTAGAATTTGGATGTGATTGATTGAAGTCAGCTTAAAATAGAATGTTATAAGATGCTACATGTCAACCCCATTTTTACTGCAAGAAAAAACCCTCTTTAAACATGAATGGACTAAACTTCCCAATCAAATGAGGTACAGTGGCTAAAACAAACAAAAAACTCAATTATTAGGTGTCTACAAGACACGCACTTTAGAGTAATAGACACACATAAAGTAATGGGATAAAGAAATAAATATATTTCATTCAAATGGTAAGAAAAAGAGAGTAGTACTTTCAAGCACTACTTGAAAGTTTATAGCAACAAAATATACTGTAAAAAGAAAAAAATGGCCAGGCACAGTGGCTCACACTTGTAATCCCATCATTTTGGGAGGCTAAGGTGGGTGGGTTACTTGAGGTCAGGAATTTGAGACCAGCCTGGCCGACATGGGAAACCCTGTCTTTACTAAAAATGCAAAAATTAGCAGGGCATGGTAACATAGTCCTGTAATCCCAGCCACTCAGGAAGCTGAGCCAGGAGAATTGCTTGACCCTGGGAGGCCAAGGTTGTAGACAGCAGAGACTGTATCACTGCACTCAAGTCTGGGTAACAGAGTGAGACTCTGTCTTAAAAAAATGGAAAGAAAAACTCTCCCTAACTTTATACTTGGACTATTAAGGGAGGCAAGGGGAGAGAAAACCATGTCCAAAGTTAGCAGAAGATGGAAATAATAAAAATTAGAGGAAATATAAATAGAAGTTAGAAAATAAAATAATACAGAAAGTACATGAAACTATGCTTTTTTAAAACAATATTGATAAATCTTAGCTAGACTAAGAAAAAAGAGAGAAGACTCAAATACAATTAGAGATAAAGGCAGATATTATAACTTCTCATGTCACTGATGCCACAAACATAAAATCGTAATAGATTACCTATGAAAAATAACTATTGGGTACCAGGCTTAATACCTGGATGACAAAATAATCTTTATAACAAACCCCCATGATACAAGTTTACCTCTGTAACAAACCTGCACATGTTCCCTTGAACTAAAAAGTTAAAAAAAAATTAACATTTTTAAAAACAGAAATAAGACAAGTGTGGTGGCTCACACCTGTAATCCCAACAATTTGGGAGGCTAAGGCGGGTAGATTGCTTGAGCCCAGAAGTTTAAGACCAGGCTGGGCAATATGGTGAATCCCTATCTCTTTAAAAAATCCAAAAAAAAAAAAAAATTACCTGGCATGGTAATACTGTAGTCTCAGCTACTCAGAAGGTTGAGACATGAGGATCTCTCAAACCTGGGGAGCAGATGTGGCAGTGAGCCAAGATTGTACCACTGCACTCCAGCCTGGGTGACAGAGAGAAACTCTGTCTCAAAAAACAAACAAACAAACAAAAAACAGAAAGAAAACAAAATCCTAAAATTCATATGGAACCATGAGAGACCACAGATGGCCAAAATGATGTTGAGTATAAAGAAAAAAACACTTGAAGAAGCACACTTGTATTTTCAAAATATATTACAAAACTACAGTAATTAAAATGGTATAATACTGGCACAAAGACAGATATATACCAATGGAATAAACTATAGGCCAGAAATAAATACACATATATACAGTCAACTAACATTTGAATATTGCTGCCCAAAATACTCAGTGGGGGAAAAATGACCTCCTCAAATAATGTTGGGAAACTGTATATCCATAGGGAAAATAATAAAACTGAACTCACACCACACACACACCATCAAACTCAAATGAGTTAAAGACTGCTTAAATGTAAGACCTAAAACTATAAAACTAGTAGAGAAAGCATAGGAGAAAAGCTTGATGGGCTTAGGCTTCGTAATTAGTTCTTTAGCACCAATAATAATACAGGAGTTATTAAGAAATTCTTTTTGAGATGGAGTCTTGCACTGTCACCCAGGCTGGAGTGTAGTGGCACGATCTCAGCTCACTGCAACCTCCACCTCCCAGGTTCAAGAGATTCTGCCGCCTCAGCCTCCTGAGTGCTGAGATTACAGGCAACCGCCACCACACCTGGCTAATTTTTTTGTATTTTTAGTAGAGACAGGGCTTTACTATGTTGGCCAGGCTGGTCTCAATCTCCTGACCTCATGATCTGCTCACCTTGGCCTCCCAAAGTGCTGGGATTACAGGCGTGAGCCACCGTGCCAGGCCAATAAATTCTTTTTAGACAGCTAGAAAGGATAAAAGAGTTATTGGTGAAATTTTCCTTTAATAAAAAGCAGCTTGATAGATATACAAACTAGAAAATTACATATTTAAATGCCAGGAGTTGTACCTGGAAGCCAGGTACATTCAATATGGCATTTTTCACTCTCTTTTCCTTGTCACCATGTGTACAAGTGTCATGACAGTCACCAGGTGGAAGATGCATTTACATAATAAAAGATTAGGGTGAGAGGCCAGTCTTTTCTCAGGCTGTGTAAATGGCACACCTGGTCAAACCAACCCCCTGGGTCCTATGTAAATCAATCACCACCTCCTCAAGTCTCTGTACAAAATTGATTGTGTTCTACCCCAAACTGGAGACCTTCTCTTGGGCCACCCGTTCTCTCAGCGTAAAGAAGCTTTTGCTCTGTTTCCTCTTTCTTGTCTTTTTTTTTTTTTTTTTTTTTTTTTGAGATGGAGTCTTGGTCTGTTGCCTAGGCTGGAGTGCAATGGCACAATCTCAGCTCACTGCAACCTCCATCTCCTGATTCAAGTGATTCTCCTGCCTCAGCCCCCCAAGTAGCCAGGACTATAAGCATGTGACACCACCCTGTCTAATTTTTTAATTTTTGGTAGAGACAAAGTTTTGCTTTGTTGGCAAGGATGGTCTCGAACTCCTGATCTCAAGTGATCCACCCACTTCAGCCTTCCAAATTTCTTGTATTACGGGCATGAGCCACCATGCCCAGCTCTTTTTTGTCTATTAAGTTATCCATTCCTAAACCACTCCTCTTGTGTGTCTGTCTCCTGAATTATTTCTCTGCATGAGACAAAGAAGCAGGGCACATACCCCAGAAAACAAAGCCATTTCATTTGGGGGCTTGATCCCAATCCAGGATTGGGATCAGAACAGAAAATAGAAACATTGGAGTGGTCAGTATAGAGTGAACTTTAAACTGTCCTTTAATCTCAAGGCTCTCTTCAAACTGGTTTCCTTTCACAGAGGTACTAATCATTGTGCAAGGCTGGGAGAAGTCTGGAGCCACTGATGATTTCTGAACAGGGCACACCCTGGCATTATTCAAAGGCTTCTGGACAAGCCAGCCTCTGACAGCCCATCCAGGTGTTGGTAATGGATCTCCAGCTATCCTGTCAAAAAATGTTCCTAAATTTTACTTCCTTTCTACCAGTGTTCACAATTTCTCCTATTCTGTCTGTGTGTGCAATGTGCGGGAAGTTTTACTTTCACTTTTCTTTGCATTTTAAAGTTCTCACTGAGAGTTTATAAAGATTTTTATTAAACTTGTTTCCAAGTGTTTATGTTTTTGTTGCTATTGTAATTTAAATTATCTTTTTCATTTGATTTTCTAATTGTTTGCTGTTATAATGGTAAATAAAAATGTAACTTTTCTAGAGTCAGTTTGCATCAGTTAAGTCTACTTATTACTTCCATTAGTTATCTTAAAGTTTCCTTAAGATTTTCTTTGCAAATAGTCACGTTATTTATGAATATATATGGCGTTATTTCTTCCTTTATTTTATGCATATTACTTCTTTCTTGTGAAGACTAGAATTTCCAGTACAATGTCAAATATATGTGGTTAGAGTTTCCTATTTGAAAGAGAAAGCATTCAATATTTCACCAATTAAGAATGATAGATTTCTGTAAGTTTCCCAAAGATGCCTTTCATGAGCTTGCAGAAATAACCCTAAAGAGCTTTTGTAATAAATAACTATTGAATTTTTTCAAGTGCTTTTTCTGTATCTACTTAAATTATCTTTTTTTTCTTATTTTGTTAGTATGGTAAATTACATTAATTGATGCCAAATGTTAAATCAACCTTGCATTCTTAAGATAAATCCCACTTTGTCCAAACCCATAGAGCATGCACAGCCAAGAGTGAACACTGATATAAACTATGGGCTTGAGTGATAATATTATATCAATATTGGCTCATCAACTGTATCAAGTTTACAACAAAAATGCAAGATGTTAATAATAGAAAAAAAACTGTGAGGGAAGGAGGTGGAGGTATGTGAGAACCCTCTGCATTCCACTCCCTTTTTTCTGTAAACCTAAAATTGCTCTTAATAAAAAAAAAATTAAAAAGCGAGGCTGGGTGAGGTGTCTCACACCTGTAATTACACTTTGCAAGGAGGATATCTTGAGCCTAGGAGGTGAAGACCGGCTTGGGCAATGTGGCAAGACCACATCTCCACAAAAAAAAAAAAAAAAAAAAAAAAAAAAAATTGCCATTTCACTCTAGTCTGGGCAACAGAGTCAGAACTTTGTCTCTAAAAAATGAATAAGTAAGAAAAAAATAAAAAACAGTATGTCTTGAGCTTGAAATACATGAAAAACAGTTTAACCAATATTCAAATAATTTAGGTCAGAGAAGCTACCTAAAATATGTACCCCAAATGGCAAAATAAGGAAGTCAGATGAGATATTAGAAACTTAAAATTATATAAGATTTCTCATAAATAAGCATTGTCTTCTATTCTTACATAATTACACAATAAATCTTGAACTGGTTAAAACAAAAGAGATAAAAATATAAAATATATATTTCAGATGAGGTCTGATGTATTTATTAATAAAAATTAATGGTCATTAACAAAATGGGATAGAAAAACTAAATCTAAATCAGTTATTCAATATAAAAATTAATTGAAATTAACTTAATATACTGAAATGCCTATTTAAACACTGGCAGATATAGAGCAGAAATATAGAGCAGATCTGATAGCTTTTACTATTGAATAACTCCTAGGTAACAACTGCCAAAAAATAATCCTCGTACCTTGGTTCAGTGACATTTACTCCGTTATGCTCACCTTTTTAAGTACATAGGGATTGTTTCAATGCTGACAATCTTGGTTCTTTTGTAGATTCAACTTCCCATTTATGTACATTCTTGAACATTCTATGTTTATAAATTCTAAATATTTTCATAAGCATTATCTTTTAGGATTATATAAATGTAGTCTATATAATACAGTTTTTCACATCTCATTAAAAACCCTCTGCAAATAATTTTAAGTGCTAACAATGTGGGTGCTCTTAACATTTAAAATTTGGGGAAATTTCATTATTGCCACATTAAAATCAATATGGTAAATTTAAATTTTTTTCTTAACAAGCTAATGAATATCTATCTCTACTAGAAATTTTCAAAGAATTCATAGTTATGATATTTCTGACATTTCACTACTCACCTTTTTTAGATGGGTTGGGTGGTACAACTGGGCCATGTTTTATGTTGTCATAAAAATTATTCATGGCTTTTGGATCAAAGTTGCCTATAAAAAAAGGAACTAGGAATTTATGATTCTTTCTCTCAAATTTCATTCTTTCACTATTATTTGATTTTTCAAGGAGTAACTATGAAAATTAAAATTGGAAGAAAGATAATCATTTTCTAGAATTTAAAATCTCATTATCATCTCTACATCACAAAACTGTCACATCAGTGTTTGTCTATAATTTATCATGTAATGGACTATTTCTCCAATTGCAAAGCTAGTCTCCCTCGGCAGGATTAAGCATGAGGGACATTTTAGAAAGCAAACGAAGAGGAGAAATGGAAGGATGACTGAACAATTTTCCTCTGTACTTGCCCATAAGAGCTATGACAAAAAAAGATATAAGTATAAAATAACTGCTTATGGATTCTTATGTTCAAGGAAAGAGAAGCTTAAATATTATATACAGATTTATCAATGACCAAAGAGAATATTGTGCTTATTTCACAACAATAAAACAATCCTAAGAACTTAATGTTGCCTCAAATATTTCACTTTTAAAAAAGTTCACTCCGGCCGGGTGTGGTGGCTCACACCCGTAATTCCAGCACTTTGGGAGGCTGGAGCAGGTGGATCATGAGGTCATATTGAGACCATCCTGAGCAACATGGAGAAAGCCATCTCTACTAAATGCAAAAATTAGCGGGATTTGGTGGTGCACGACTGTAATCCCAGCTACTCAGGAGGCTAAGGCGGGAGAATCTCTTGAACCTGGAAGGCGGAGGTTGCAGTGAGCCGAGATTGTGCTACTGCACTCTGTCAACAGAGCCAGACTCCTCAAACAAACAAACAAACGAACAAACAAAGTTCACTCCCAGAACAAGTGTCTATACTTCAGCTATATCTCTTGCCTTGGCTTCTCCAACATTAGTTTTGATTCAAGCAATGGTTTGGAGCCCATCTTCACTTCCGCAAACCAGCAGACTGTCCTGCACAATTCCAATTAAGATTTATAACTATGCCATAGTTATTTACAGATAATGATGTATGGTAGAGATAATTCAAGTATAGTAAATCTCTTAATTTGTAAATTTTTTTCCCAGAAAAAGTTTTCCTCCCTAAAATCAACAAAAAAATCTACTTTTTATCAAATCAAGCATTAATCTAATCTAAATGTCAAAGAAAAAGAGTATTCTTTTTCTAAATTAAATTATAGATTGGAAACTCATTATTAAAAGTTTTCCAGAGATTGGGGGGGGGGGGGAAGAAATTAGTTAATTCTGCTGTATTTAGATCTGTTATCAAGGGAATTAGAAATACTAAAATATAAAAAAAGGGCTTATTATAAGGATATTACTCAATGTAGACCAAAAACATCTCTTATTAAAATTAAATAGTGGTTTCTTTTGTGGGGACATTTGAACGTTTATTTTATTTTAAGATAGCTTTCTGAAAATAATTTATACATAGCTTTCCAAGTCTCTACTCGATCCAGGAAGTCCAGCTACCTTCACCTCTCACTGGGATTACAGGGATGAGCCACTGCACCTGGCCTGAACATCAGCTAAGTATATTTTCCAAATAAGTTGAACATTACTTAAACTGGTGATCAGTTAAGATCATCTGTACTATAGTGTACCTCCATAAAAAATTAAAAATACTTTACACAGGATGTAGTTAAATATTTTCACATCACATATTTGCCCATATTAAAAAATGACATAAGAATGATTTTAAAACTGAGACATCATAATTTTGGATCTCTACTCATAGATTTTTTTTTTTTTTGAGATGGAGTCTCACTCTGTCGCCCAGGCTGGAGTACAGTGGGGACATCTCGGCTCACTGCAACCTCTGCCTCCCAGGATAAAGCAATTTTTCTGCCTCAGCCTCCCGAGTAGCTGGGACCACAGGCATGTGCCACCATGCCTGGCTAATTTTTGTACTTTTAGTAGAGAGTTTCACCATATTGACCAGGCAGGTCTTGAACTCTTGACCTTGTAATCTGCCCACCCCAGCCTCCAAAGTGCTGGGATTACAGGCAAGAGTATTCATAGATATTTTTAAGAAGCACATAAACATGGTTTGGAATTAAAAGTCATCAACTTGTAAAATATTCACAACTGACCAAAAAAGGAAAAATGCAGAATAACAGTATAGAATAGCCTAAAAGAGCTTAACAGTGAAATTGTCAAACTAAAACTATTACTGATGCCTCAAATATGACCTATAACTATGGAGTAGAAATTTCTTTACTAGGACCATAACCTTTCTTATATAACATTTTTCTTAATCTCTGAAACCAAAGTAACAATTTAAATACCGAATTATTTCTTATGTTACCAAATAGTGAAGTCTATACTTCTAGACTGAAGGAGGTTAACTTCTTTCAGTGTGCAGTCAACATTTATCTAGAGCTGTCTGTTCATGCGTCTCAATCTTGTTATTTTCTCAGGCTAGTATTTGTGGGAAAGTCAGTATCAAGCCCAACATTTAAGAACTCCATTTTATGTTAATATTTATGACAGTTCATTATGAAATATATGGCCACAGTTGCTAAGAAACAACATGTATAATTCTACATGTGATTTATAAGGGGCAGTCAGGTAAAGTGGTGACACATATTTGCAGTAAACAATACTTAGAAAAAAAGAAGGAAAAAGGATGGCCACATATAAATATGCAACATATTCCTCGTGTAAAGCAGACACTGTTTTAACATTAAAAAATATTACTTCTTTAATCACACAGCACTGAGACTATTTCACTTAAATACTTATATGTCAAGGGAAATTATAGAAACCAACATTTTAAAGAGTCAAAGCCAATAATTTTAGGTTTGCCAATACTGGTGGAAATAATACAGCAGCTGTGGCAGGCAGTGGGTTTACCAGAATTCCTTTGTTTTCTCACAACACTCTTTCAAGGTAGGTACTGGTATCTCCTTCAACTTGAAGATGAGGAAACTGAGACACACAGTGATGAAATAATATTCCCAAAGTCATAAATCCAGTAATTGGTAGGGCCAGGATTTATATTGAAAACTACATATATTCTTTTTTGTCTTTATTTTCTAGATTTTTAAAAATAAGCTATTAATGTAGAACATATACTCCACTTTATTTTCTTCAGCCTTATCTTTCCACCCACTCTACTACTCATTAGGACTTTCAAGTATAAACATAGGGTAGTAAAATGTGAAGTAACTTTTTAGTTCACTTAAATGAAGTGAATGTGGTTTTTTTTCACATTCGTAATTTCTTTATGCATACAATTAAAAACTCAGAGATCTGAACCCAAAGGTATGGCTATTAAAGCTTTTAACAGAGCCCACTTTCATTAGACTGTCTGGAGTTACCTCAATTGTAAAGGAGATCTCAACTATATATACATTAAGTAACAATAATGCAGTAACTCAGGCTGTTGGGAAGTATTAGCAAATTTAGGGACTGCCCAATAAATCAGCAGATATCAAAACAACATAAGTGATATAAGAGACCAAATATAATAGCAAGGTAATACCCTAAAATTCTAAAGATAAATATCATTTAGAAATGTTTTCTTCTTTATTTATTACTCAAGGAAAACCCTAAGTAATTAACATATAAACATATATAGCCATTAACATATAAAATGTTTGAGTCTGGCTACCAGGTAATACAGAAAAAATTTGAAGCGTATACCTGCGCTTTAACAAAAGATATAAAGCACTTATATAGCTAATGTTCTCTTCCATGCAATATGCAAGAAAAAGTGTTCTTTTCTTTTTAGGATTATATCAGTAAAGTCGAGTAGCTGAAGAACCTGTTTCCTTAGAACTCATTAAATTAACTGTTTATAATATTATATATGTTTTCATAGCTTCTGGTTAAATAAAACTGCCTCTCAAAATAAACTACCCATTATCAAAAGTATTCATGGAGGAGGGGTTTCAAGATTTACTGTGTAATTTACGGTTACTTGGATTTCTCTCTTACAGCAGCTAATATAATGCTTGGTTTAGTGGTAGATTGAGACAGATGATGATTATTACACATCTTTCATGTAATTTTTAAAAAAGATTATTCACAGCTATGCTGTAAATTTCTGCAACCACATATATAGCTAGACACATACATATATTCCAAATAAATTAGGTAAATGTATTTGTAACCAACTTTTAAAATACTGCTTGTTAAGAAAGTAAGGTTTGAAAACTTAATACTCTATGATTAGCACAAAAAAGTCAGTTCTCTATTCTACAAGAACAAGATAAAGATCAGGCTACCCAGCATTTACTGAGAAATTACTTGATAAAAATATTACTATATGTGAGATATAAATTCTCTTGAAAAATGGAAAAAATAAACATAGGTAAATTGGACATAGTCAGTGAGTGCCAAAGCAATTTTAACTCCAAAACCTATGTAGGCATTCTTTCCACAGTATCATAGCAGCACTGGCAGGCATTGGATTTACCAGAATTATATGAACCAAAAGGGAATTCTGATTAAATGCTTTATTTCCTGATTAATTCCCTCATAATACATTCCTGTATTATTCCTGTATGTTCCTAAAGTTAAAAGGAAAACAAATTTAGATTTGCCTCAGATTCACATGGGTAAGATTTTTCCAGTATTTTGTAACCTGCACTTTTCCTGAATCTTTACAAAGTTAGGCATTGAGCTAAATGTCTTGTATGTTAGGTTACATAATACTAACAAAACTCTCATGAGATTAATACTGTACCATGCACATTTCATAGAATAAAACAAGTATAAAATTACCTTATTCAAGGACATGTCAGTGACATGTAAATTGTAGACGTAGGATTAAATTTTTCATCTGACTCTAAAACCCAGTATCTAAAACTGCCCCCAAGCTATGCACTCCCTATACCCCTTCACTTTACTTTGGGCCTGGAAGTGGAAAAACCTGGGAATCACATTCAAATCTCTCATATTCCAAATATTGTTATCCACATAAATTAACAAATTTTGAAGCTGAATGGTATGAGAGTTCATTATATTATCCTAGAAATTTTATGTATCTTTGAAATTCTCTGTAATAAAAAGTTAAAAATCAGTTAGTTGTGACGTGAATTTTAGCTCAATGAAATAAATAAATTATGGCTCAGCATGGTAGTGTCCTCAAAAAACTCTCATTTTCTTTTCTATTGTCTGAAGAAATCTCATAAGTAAAAGCTCTGATACAAATCCTATTTTCAGGCCACACATGCTGGCTCACACCTAAATAGTCCCAGAGCTTTTGGAGGATCATGTGAAGCCAGGAGTTGAAGACCAGCCAAAGTAACAGAATGACACCACATTTTTACAAAAATAGATAAATAAAAAATAAATAAAAATAAAAACATATGGTAGTCCTAGCTACTTAGGAGGCTGAGGTAGAAGGACTGCTTAAGCCTAGGAGTTCAAGGCTGCAGCATGATATGATTACACCACTATACTCTGGTCTGGTCAACAGAGAGAGATCCTATCTCTAAGACATATAAATAAAATATGAATATAAATATATATATAAAATATAAAAATATAAGTACTGTTTTCATAGTTTTGAAGCACTAACCCATTGTGCATCAGATAGCTTCCTACTACCAACAAAAAGTTCAGTAGGGTCATATTTGGCAGAAATTTTCATATAGTAAGTGCTTGCCATTAACAAAAAAATTTCATAGGATTATTTTAAAATAAGTGAGTTCTGGGCTAAGAAAATTCGTTTATACAGGTACATAATGGACTGAAAGTATTCAGTGTACACAGGTGGATTACCAAACTGGTTATATACTTCAATGTCTTCCCTAATGAAACAACTGAATTAAGATTTCAAATGGAGAAAAAAAGAAGAGTTGATTTACATTAACACTGCCTTTCATTTATATTTAAAGATGTCTTTCAGTCAGGTATGGTGGCTCAGGCCTGCAATCCCAGCACTTTGGGAGGCTGAGGCAAGCAGTTCACTTGAACCCAGGAGTTTGAGATCAGCCTCGCCAACATGGTGAAACCCCAACTCTACTAAAAATACAAAAATTTGCTGGGCATGGTGGCACATCCCTTCAATCCCAGCTACTCAGGTGGCTGAAGCACAAGAATCACTTCAACCTAGGAGGCTGAGGTTGCAGTGAGCTGAGATTGCACCACTTCACACTAGCCTGGGTGACAGAGAAAGGCTGTCTCAAAAACCAAACAAACAAAAAGATACCTTTCATTTGAAGACAGTTCTAATTTTACAACTGTTAATGATATCAACGTTTTAAATTTAGTTACTATTAGAAATGGTGTTTTTATATTGTTGAAGATGCCTGTACTCAAATCTGTTTCTAAAAAACTTCTGATTCTCTACTGGCAATACAATAAAGTCCTAAAACCTCAAATTAGGCATATTAATCTTTGTTAAGACATTGAAAAATCTTACTTTTGAGCCAGGGAATCATATTCACTGCTTTCTGAAATTCAGTATGTTTTGATTTCAAGTCACTAGCTCACACCTTTTTCCCTACCAAAAATGCCTTCGCCTTTTCTTCTTCCTATTGCAATACTGTCTACAGTTGAGGGCAGTGGTTCCTAACCTCTTCCTCTTGCCCAATGCCTTTCATTTAATAGCCTTAGGAAAATCAGATGAAAGTTACAAACCCATGTCACATTCAAACACAAAATTTTGCGTGTAATTTCACAGAATTCATAGGTCCCCTCTGAAGCCATGAATCTCAGTTCAAATTTTCTAAATGAAGACTTAACTGCATATTGCAGACATACCACAAAAGGCCTGATGTATATGCCCATTTCTCTAAAGTTATGAAGACCACGAGAGGAGAGAGATAAGGACAGAAATGGAGAGAGGGCATGTATAAGCAGACAGATTACTTTGAGGAAGGTCCCTGAAAAAAAGTAGAGGTTAAGGTGAGATGTGAAGAAAGAATAAACAGGATTTATACATGCAGGGATGTAGGCTTAGGGCATTATGCCAAGGGAATAATATAAGAGAGTGAAAAAATGATTGGATGATAAACATTCATCTAGCTGATATGATAGTTTATCAACATAAATGAGTATACATAGCTCTTACCATATTGTATTATAATTATCTGTTGATGCATCTATTTTTCCTACTAGCAGATATGCTATAAGCACTTAGCACAGTACCTCATTCAAAAACTGTATGCAAAAATCTTAGTTGAGTAAATGTTGAAAGGTGAAATAGTAGGTTCAATCACAGAAATCTTGTGATGTAAAGATTTTAAGAAGTATTTACAAAATTACGAGTTGCTTAAGAACTTAAACTTCGGCCAGGTGCAGTGGCTCATGCCTGTAATCTCAGCACTTTGGGAGGCTGAGGTGGGTGGATCATGAGGACAGGATATCGAGACCATCCTGGCTAACACAATGAAACCCCATCTCCACTAAAAAAAAAAAAATACAAAAAATTAGCCGGGCGTGGTGGTGGGCACCTGTAGTCCCACCTACTTGGGAGGCTGAGGCAGGAGAATGGCGTGAACCCAGGAGGTGGAGCTTGCAGTCAGCTGAGATCACGCCACTGCACTCCAGCCTGGGCAACAGAGCGAGACTCTGTTGAAAAAAAAAAAAAAAAAAACCTTAAAATTCATGAGTATCAACCAACACATAAAATATATATCCCCCTAATATTTTCATTAGACTAATTCCTCTTAGAAATCTTAACAATACTCTAAAATTCAGTTTTTAAAATTACTTACATTAAATAAAATTCAGAAGCATTAAAAATAGTTTATGGCTAATACATCTTTCAAATTCATACTGGTCTCTTTCTAACTCCAAGCTGGACGCTGTGGCTCATGCTTGTAATGTCAACACTTTGGGAACAGAGGCAGATAGATCACTTGAGGTCAGGAGTAGGAGAGCAGTCTGGTGAATATGGTTAAACTGTCTCTATTAAAAATAAAAATAATTAGTCAGGCATGGTGGAGCACCCCTGTAATCCCAGCTACTTCAGAGGCTGAGGTGAGAGAATCACTTGAACCCAGGAGGCAGAGGTTGCAGTGAGCTAAGATCATGCCACTGTACTCCAGCCTGGGCAACAGAGCAAGACCCCACCTCAAAAAAAAATTACCTAGAAGAAATAAATTCAAGGAGAAAAACAAATAACATCTCCAATCTCTATCTTGGTTTCAGTCTTCATTTTTATTTTGAATGAAAGAAATTTATAAAAATAATATGTTGTATTTTATTATATGTGTCAGTATATGAAGACACTAATGAGCCTAGAATCACTCTTTTGCAAAATAGGCCATTGAATTATTCTAACAAAAGGCATTGTTTTCAAACACTATGCAGGAAGTAAATACTAAAAAATGAAATTGCCTAGACAGTTAATATCCTCATGTCCCTTCTAATACATTCTGACAAATCACTTACCATTGGGATCACAGTAGTGCAGCTGACCCTTATTAGCCATCTGTGCATCACGTCATGTTCCATATCATTAACTTCAGCCTTTAATAGCTCTAGCTCCCCTTTCTCAAGTTGCAGCTGCTTTGCTAACCTCTCCATCCTTGCTCGTTGATGTAACAGCAAGGCTATATATATATATATATATATAAGCATTAAAGATAGGGCCATTGCAGAGAATAACACTGAAAAATCTACCTGGAAATTTATGTATAAAATAATCATAAGAAATCCTATCATCTAACTTTAATTGGCATTTCCTCACATTTCTTTCAAGTTTTATTCCACTTATATGGGATAGAACTAGACAGACCAAAATGTAACTGCTGCATCTATACATCCATGTAGTTATGTGATATTTTCAATCAGATTCTTTCAAACTGTAAGTGTGTGTGTTTTAAAAAGGCCCAATATCACACATAGTAGCATGTTCATTCTAATTCCAATTCTATGTTATAATTATCATTACCCCTTTCAGTACTTTTTCACTCCAAAGTTTAAATTCTTTCACTTTGATGAAGATTAGCATCCCTCTAAAAATCTATTTTCCCCTCTCTGAAGTCTGTACTTTTGACGATATACATTTTACTTATTGACATCTTTCTCTCATTATCCTCAGAAGTATTTTAGGTCTTCTCATGCCGGTTTTTCATAAGAAAAATGTACAGGACTTTGTATGTAAGTAAATTTGTAGATGACTCTGAAGGACTTGCCTTATCCTTATAAATTACATTGTTCAACATTTAATAAATATTAAACTTAATAGTGAATATAAATTACTTTATTTTGAATAAGAATTTAACTTTTCACCTCAAAGATTGAATTTCATAAAACAATTAAAATTCACCTTGTACATAGGCATAGTCATCTGATCCAGAACTAGAACGCTGATATTTATGACTTACCTTTTTTCCTCCAGGACCTGGAGTCACTAAAATTGGCTGAACGGGTTCTGGCGCTGCCAACTATTCATCTTGGTCCATGAAATTTAAAAGATTTTCAGTTGTTGCTCCACCTACAGTAATTTTTAAAACTGCAGATAGATGTGGTATTATCTGAGGAGACTGTGATAGGGCACATGAAGGTCCACTTCGTTGTGTATATGTAATATGCATGGGATTCACATTCATTGAAGGCTTTGATTGACTATACATTCCCCTTGAAGAACTTCAAGGTGTTACAGTGCCTGCATAGAGAGAACGCCAATTACATGGGGAAAGTTGATTACTGATGGGTGAAGGACAGCTATTAATTACTGTTCCAGGTCTTTGAGAAGGTTAAACCATAATTTCTGTCTTTTTCATGAATCCTCTGTGCAAGCTAGATGTTGTGTATTGGATATATGCTACTGAATGATTTCACTGTTTCTGACAGCCAGGAGGTCCTGATTAGGTGGCACAAAGATGTGACTACTTGGGTGGCCCAACTGGGAAGGCTGTACTTGATGATGAGGAAAGCTGAAGGGTGAAGAACATTGAGACCTAGGTGGTGACTGGTAAGCTGACTGAGAAATCTGCTGTTTGGGAGAATACTGAGATGTCTGGTAGTTCTGTTGATGTGGATAAACAGGTAAAGGATGCTGGCTATAATGAGGCAGTGGCCCTGTAGTGAGGACTACCATGGCATACTGTAACAGGTGTGCCTCACACAAATAGAAGCAGGAGAACCATTGTATTGCTTGGAATTTGTAAACCTCTTGGTACCGTCTGTTAAGAAGCAAGGTTTTGAGATACTGTAATGGTAACAGGATTTGTACTATACTGAGGAATGTGCACAAATGAAGGAGGAGGTGGTGATGGTAGTGCACACCCTTGCATAGCAGACAGATTCATTTCCATTTGCATGGAAAATGACTGTTGAGGTGGCTGTGAAGAAGGAATACCTGCATTGCTGTGCTGTTCAATCATAAAAATTAAATTATAGTTGCAAGTGGCAGTCACAACAGCTGGAAATGAGTGTGGTTCTTGAACTAAATATATAAGCTGTTTTACTTACTCTTTGGTGTAGATCAATATGCCCATCACTTGAGCTATGTACCAGCGTTTGTCCACTATTAAGTTGAGCTCCATCTCCTGGGTGATAACTACGAGAAGACTGAATACCCAAGTTAATACACAAATGGTGATTTCTATTCATCTTGTTATCTGGACTATGGTATTCCAAATATAAATATTTGTTACTCTCCTGGGAAAGGGCTTGGCAACAGGCATCAAGATTATTACTGGTCTGGGCGGGAAAAATGATGAAAGTTAACACTAAAAAAACTGAAAATAGTGAAAATCACTCTTTGACTGACAGAAAAATTCAGTCATCTTAGAGTAAATAAAAATACTGGTTTAATCATAAAAAACTTCAAACTCAGTTATCCTGTAAAAGATATCAAAGTATTCACACACTTTACAAACACTTAGCTTACATTAGTTTACTTGTATAGTAGATTTATATTACATTACACTACTGCTAGAGAAATGTTACAAACTCTGGAAAAACTGCTAATAAATAGTCACTCAACAACTTTTCTGATTCCAGGTGTAAGACTAATTTTATATTTGTTACATCTCTATAAACAGAAATACTGAAGTAATCTTAGATTCACCACAATTGCTACATTATATAAATAACATCCTTTATTAATATTTAAACTAATAAACATAAAAATTACCATGCTTTAGTTTTCAAAAACCCTAAAGGAAAAAAGATTACAATGAAATCCCAAGTAAAAACATTCAAAATTCTAAAGCAATCTTCACTTTTTAAAACTACATTTACCCCACTACCTAAATTCAGTTGTCTTCATATTTACAACAGATTTAAGCTAAGCAAAACAATCAACGACAAAAATAAAATCAATATTTTTGTCAACTCTGCCACAATTAGAGCAATTTAGCAGTAAAACTTATCTCTATTATTTTAACATAACTCATTCATCTGGAGTTTTGAATTTTTCTTTCCCATTGATAAATGGCTTGGTATTCTTTCAAAATCATTTACTAACTTGAATTGTTTTAGATTATCCATTTAGAACAATTCATCATGTTGGATATAAAAATGCTCTAGAAATAAATGCTTAGTGCGGCAAAGTGAAACCAGAACCCAGGCAAAAGTTTTCTCATCAAGGCAATTTACTTCTGCAGAAGGGTGCCACTCACATCAATCAAGATAGCAAGAGCACAGGGAACAAAGGAGAACGGGGTTTTTTTTTATCTCTGATGCATGGTCCTTACCTCTGTGTCACTTCCCCATGGCCTGGGGTCGGACTGCACAATCTGAGCTGACCCACTTTGACCCAATCTGACCAATCTGACCAAGCTGACCCAATCTGAGCTGCAAATATTTTTCTAAATATGGAAGGAAAGAGGGACATTGGGAACAATGGTGAAGAGTGTGAGATGTGCAGTTTTGGGGAAACAATGGATGCAGGTAACCAAGGGAACAAATGTGAGTTACTGATTAGAGCTGACAGGAAGTGGGTAGGCTTTTTAAAGTAACTAGGAGGCATGTAGAACACAAAAGTTAGGTTTGGGAACAAAGAAAAAGGCACTTAGCAGTCTAAACCTTTGAAGAGAAACTCAGAAATTCGTTGTATCTTACAATCATAGCAAGGCAAAATATTTCATGATTTGTGTGTGTGTTTCATGATTAAGGGAGTGGGTGTGAGGGCTCCCTCTGTTGCCCAAGCTAGAGTGCAATGGTACAACATAGCTCCCTGCAGGCTCAAACTCCTGGGCTCAAGTGATCCTCGTAACTGAGCCTTCTGAGTTGCTAGGATTACAGGTGTGGGCATTAGGCCTGGCTCCAAAATATTAGAAATTTTGTGCAACAAAAGTCACAAGGAAAACTTCTCCATTCAAGAATTTAAGAACTCTTATAAAATGTTTTCTACTAAAATGAGAAATCTGAACTATTTTATTAATCTTAGAATGTTTACTTCTCATCATTTATTTGCATGATTTTCAAATGACACAAGAGAAAACTATCATATTTCTTAAATTGCAACAACTACTTTTTTCTAGGATGAAACATTTTGATGCCCTAAGGGATCACCTACTCTATTTCACATTTACACATGCAGAAAGACATATGTAGAAATATACATAGTTTGGCTACAGGCACTTAATTAACTGGATAGTTTCCTGACTCCCAGTATCCTTTCCATTATAATACAGTAATTGTCAAAGACAATGTTAGGTCAAAAGTAAAGTACTATACTGGGGGAAGTAAAAGAAGGGTAAGTCATATAAACCTTTGCAAAATATATTCTCTGAAAGCTCAAGAGCTGATTTGGTGGCTGGGTGTAGTGGCTCATGTCTGTAATTCCAGAACTTTGGGAGGCTGAGGCGGGTGGATCCCGAGGTCAGGAGATTGAGACCATCCTGGCCAACATGGTGAAACCACATCTCTACTAAAAATATAAAAATTAGCTGGGCATAGTGCCACGTGCTGATGCATGCCTGTATTCCCAGCTACTCAAGAGGCTGAGGTAGGAGAATTGCTTGAACCTTGGTGTCACGTGCATCTGTATGAAGAGACCACTGAACAGACTTTGTGTGAGCAATAAAGCTTTTTAATCACTTGGGTGCAGGCAGACTGAGGCTAAAAAAGGAGTCAGCAAAGGGAGATGGGGTAGGGCAGTCTTATAGGGTAGGTAGTGGAAAATTACAGTCAAAGGGGTTTTTCCTCTTGCGGTCAGGGGCAGAGGCTACAAGGTGCTCATTGGGGAGCTTCTGATACTCATTGTCCAGGATAAGGTCAATTGATCAGTTAGAGTGGGGCAGGAACAAATCACAATGGTGGAATGTCATCAGTTAAGGCAGTAACTGGCCATTTTCACTTCTTTTGTGGTTCTTCAGTTCTTCAGGCCATCAGGATGTATACGCACAGGCTTGGGCTCAGAGGCCTGACAGTGGGAGGTGGAGGTTGCAGTGAGCTGAGATTGCACCACTGCACTCCAGCCCGGCAATAGAGTGAGATTCTGCCTCCCAGAAAAAAAAAAAAAAAAAAGAATTTGTCAGAACTTCAAAACAATATATATTTTTCCTATAATGCTTCTGTCACTGAGTACTTTTAAAATACTTTCTAAATAACAGGGAAAAGTATTAGTTGAAGTTTAAGAAGAATATAATCATAATTCAAAGATCTGTTTTTTTCTTAATCCTTTTGAAAACCATACTAATAAAAGAAGAAAAATTAGACATTAAAAAGAAAATTTAGCTTCAAAGGATTCAAGTTAATTCTCAACAAAAAATTGTCACTGTAAGAAATCCAAAGGAAAACACATCTAATTAGGAAACTACTAAAATATGAGTTTCATTTAAAACCTAAGTCAATTCTGGAAGCATTATTAAGTAATATACTTATTAATAAGCATGTATTTTAATTTTTGTCAATGAATTGATGATCTAAATAATAATATTGCAAAAAAGAGACAAAATTTACATCTGTCAGCCTATTCAATATGTATCTGTAAAGTAATAAATTATTTTTTCCCAGAAAGAAAATTTGAAAATATATTTTCAAGATATTTAAATACCATCTGTATGAAAGTGTTGTAAAAGAAAAACAAATCGCAGTAAATCCAGTAAGTCTACAATAAACTGCTAAACTTAAAAAGACTGCATCCTTTTTTTAAAATGGATAATCAATTTATTAAAAAAAGTAAAAAACAAAAAAATTATTTAGGTTGGTAAAGAGTTGAAGGTTATTATGAAAAATAACAGTCTTCAAAATAATTCTAGATTAGAAAACAAAAGCTCAGAAAGGCATTAAGACTTATATATTAAATGTAAGCTATTGAATCTTATATATTTTTTGGAAATAGAGAAACTTCCCCAAGCAAATAGGTGCTAAGTCTCCAAGTTAATACACTCTGTTAATCCCAGGGAGGGGAAAAGATTAACAACTTAGGACACTATTTGAATGCAATAAATTATCATGATATGTTTACAGAGTTATATTTAAAATCCCATTCCTTTAGTTTGGTTAAGTGAGATGAAAACTCTGGGCCGTGAAAAAGTTGTTGACCACAATGGTCTAAATAATAATAAAAACTCAAAAGTATTTCATGCCCTAGGACAGGAGGAAAGTGATTGCAAGGAGAGTAGGTTAAATGAGAAACCCCACTTATGCTTAGTTTCACTCCACCATGATCCTTTGTTCTTTCAGAGACCAAACCATGTACAAAGTAATGGCTGAGATTCAGATTGGGGATTTAAAAAAAGGCATATTAACACAAAAACTGTAAGTCCAAGGTCTAGACCTAGTATAAAGGCTTGCAAAATAGTGAAAGGTTTATGTTAGATCCTGAGTTGCTCATACTACAGTAAGGTTAAGTTTTAAGATGACAACTGTCTGTGTGTAAGGAAAATAAGTAGGTAAAAGTTCAAATCACAAGATTTTTTAAAAAAATCCTTGAAAAAGAGATTGTTGTCTCTTTTAGTGAGAGCACAAATTCTGTTCCACAGATTAACTATTTGAGTGAATGAAAATAAGCAAAGAGAAAGCAGGCTTAGGGTCATATATTAAAAAGTATTTATCTTTCCCATAACAGTGTGGAGGAATATATCTTGGGCCCCTTCAAGCTGGGAACCGCTCAGGGCAAATCTGCCTCCCATTCTATTCAAAGTTATCTCTCTGCTCAGAGAGACAGATGCATTTCTGATTGCCTCCTTTGGAAAGACTTAACAGAAACTCAAAAGATGTGTAGCCATCTATCTGTCTCACATCTACCTGTGACCTGCAAGCTCCCAATGGTGGGAGGGAGGGGAAGTACATGGAAGCGGGGGAAGGGGCAGGGGGCTTGCTTTGCGTTATCTCTGCCTTTCTGGACAGAACTAATGTTTATATTATATTATATTATATTATATTATATTATTTTATATTATATTATATTATATTATATTATATTATATTATATTATATTATATTATTTTATATTATATTATATTATATTATATTATATTATATTAATGCCTTATGTCTCCCTAAAATGTATAAAACCAAGCCATGCTGTGACCACCCTGGCACATGTCTTCAGGACTTCCTGAAGTTGTAGCACAGGCATGTCCTCAACCTCAGCAAAATAAAATTTCTAAATTAACTGAGACCTATCTCGAATTTTGGGGGTTCACATTTTTAGTACACAAAGGGATTGTGAGTGGAGATGCCCCTGATCTTTGACAAATCTCCTATTGGTGCTTGGAACCAGCTTGAGCTAACTTTATGGCTGAAACAAATAGGACAATTTGGTGAGGTCTGATTCCAGAGAGTCCCTGAGCTCCCAAAATCTGATGAAGATTTTGCTGTACAACTCCACTTTTGTTTTTTTTTTTTTGTTTTTTTTTGGAGTTTTACTTGCTTCCAACACAAGGAAGGTGTTTTTTTTCCTGCTTCTATGATGATGGAAGGCAGGTGATTCCTTTATGGAGTTTGAGCTCCATTCCAAAAAGAAAGATGAGTTTGGATTTTTTTCCTGCTTCTAGGATGGTAGAGAGCCGTCTACAGCCTGAGACCCATCACTAGGTAAAAAAACCAGTTTGGGATTCTGTCTTGCAAATTATTTTTAAGCAACTCAAGTTAGCATTATTAGATATGAGTTCTAAATTTCTTTTCAAAGTATAGCAGGACCAGTCACAGACAAAACCTCTCAGACACCAGTTTTATGAAGGAAGGGGCTTTAATCAGCTGGGAGCATCAGTAGACTCGCATCTCAAGGTCTGAGCTCTCTGAAGTAAAGATTCCTCTCTCATTTAAGGGCTTACATCCCTAAGGGGTCCACATGAAAGGGTCTGCAAGTAGGGGCTATGTGACTGAGGGCTACGTGCATCAGTGATGGGGGCTAGCAAAACAGAACAGAACAGAAAGTTTCACAATGCTTCCTCATACAATGTCTGGAATCTATAGATAACACAGTGGTTAGGTCAGGAGTTAATCTTTAACTACCATGCCTGGTTTTTGGTGCCAAGCCCTCTGTCTATTGATCCCACTTCTGCTTCTTTTTAACTTTTTGCTTCCTTTTTGAAACAGGAGACAATGGGACAGGTGGTCTCCTTCCTTATTTTCCCCCTTTGAGTATCTCACTTATTAGTGGGAATTCTGACTTTCATCTTCACTATCTAGGTCTTTCTGTGAGACAGATCAATAGTGATTCATGTAATACACTTGTGCTGAAGTATTTTGGTGAACTAAAATAGTGAAAAATCTTCTCATTATTTGAAGGAGCAAAGGCAGCAAGCAGGGGAGCAACAAGTAGGTTCCTATTATTAAAGCATCCATATGTCAGTATGTTTAATTCTTTGCCTTCTACTTTAAAACTTAACTTCCTCATAAAGCAACCTTTTTTGATTACCTGCTCCCCCCTGACTCATTTCAATCACCTCCTCCACACTGACTCATTTCGATTTACCTGCTCCACCCTGACTCATTCCAATTACCTACTCCACCCTGACTCATTCTGATTACATACTCCACCCTGACTTATCCTGATTACCTGCTGCATCCTGACTGCTTCTGATTACCTACTCCACCCTGACTCATTCTGATTACCTGTTCTGTCATAACCATTTTTCCTGCCAAACCACTCACCCTGTCACTTTCTTTAAATTAGCCAATTGGAATTAGTTTAGCCTGTGCTGTCTAATCCTAGCCAATAGGGGAACAACATAGCAGCAGGGCCACATGCATCAGGGATAAGAACCCCTTCCCTTCCCTTGTCCAAGTGTGCACTCACCACTGCTCCATCTGAAGGGTGCACCGTTCTATAGAAATAACTTGCCTTGCTGAGAATTTTTTAAAAAATTATATTCGAGTGCTATTTCTTTGCAGCATTGAAGCTTTATAAATAACAGCAATAATAACAAGCTGGTGTGAATTTCTCCTTACACTTAGAGCACTCAGAAGTCATATAATTTATCGATGGTTTAGCAGCATTTTGTCCTAGCTGAAATACGGTAATGAGAATTTAAAAGTTTTTGTTGTTGTTGTTGTTATTGTTGTTAAAGGAGCTCAGTGGTTAAAGGTTAGCTTAATTAAAAGGCTAACATGCAAATTCTGTTTGTGCATGTATGCCTGTGTGCAAGTTTGTATTTAAGAGGCCTTCAGTTTTTGGTTATTTCTGTTTTTCTCTCCTAAATCTTTGTCTTTTTTTTAGCAAAAATTTTTTTCTTCTCAATTGACTGAATTCTGTTTTTCACCTGATTTTTTCACTAAAATAGTATTGCAGCAAAGGCTACTCTTGGCTTTTTAAGAAATAATGTAATTTAGACACTCAGAAATGTCTTTGTTTAAAAAAAATTAAGTGCACTTTGAAAGTGTCTCCCTCTAAAACAACTTTTTCTGTGTACCTTATGATTTGAAATTTGCAACTTGATTTTCACCTGAGTTGTTTCTTTTAATATGCAAATTTAAAGCTATTCAGCTAACAACTGCCTAGAGTTGTTAAGACAGGTTATAAAGCATCTGAAAATCTAAGGTAAAAAAAAAAGTGGGTGTGGGGTCTTTATGAATCTCTAAAAGGTACTTCCACAAGCATGTCTAATATGTCTATTTATTCATATGGTATACATAATGTTTCACTACTAAAAATATATAAAAGAGCTCTAATTAATTAGCTTAAAGAAAAATAAAGGTGCTTAAATCAGATACTAAAAATGAAAAGGCTAGTCAAATGCTTTTCAATTTTATGTAACTAAGGTAAAATCTTTAATAACAAAGCTGGCCTTAAAATTCTTGGTAAAGTAATATTAGAAATTGCTGAGACCAGCTTGGAGACCCCAATACAGTGGTGCTAGAGGAATTAAAGACACACACACAGAAATATAGTGTGTGAAGTGGGAAATCAGGGGTCTCACAGCCTTCAGAGCTGAGAGCCCCAAACAGAGATTTACCCACATATTTATTGACAGCAAGCCAGTGATAAGCATTGTTTCTATAGGTTATAGATTAACTAAAAGTATTCCTCACAGGAAACAGAGGGATGGGCTGAAACAAAGGGATGGACTTCGGCTAGTTATCTGCAGTAGAAACATGTCCTTAAGGCACGGGTCGCTCATGCTATTGTTTGTGGCTTAGGAATGCCTTTAAGTGGTTTTCTGTCCCATTTGGGCCAGGCGTTCCTTGCCCTCATTCCAGAAAACCCACGACCTTCAGCGTGGGTGTTATGGCCATCATGAACATGTCACAGTGCTGAGAGATTTTGTTTATGGCCAGATTTAGGGCCAGTTTATAACCAGATTTGGGGGCCTATCCCCACCATGTCCCCCTTCTTGTTTTTTCAAAGTGACAAAAGCAAAGGCAGCTTTGTCATGGTGAGTTACTTCTTGCAAGAGTTGGGATCCGCATCTGCAGACCATACAAAGAACACAGATTAAAAACACAATCATCATTGAAACCACAGAGCTTCCAAGTGATTTTATCAATTTTAATGGGTTACTAGCTGTTAATCTGTCTGCAGCTCTAGTTCCTGGCATTAAGGTCAGGTGTGCCTGGGATGCCTTAAATATTTGTTCTTTTAATTTTGCCATATCCAAAGACAAGTTTGTACAGTGTCCTTCTGGATGGTTTTTTATTCTTTCCCAAATTTTTATCTTATTAAGAGTCATTAATAGTTTCCACAAATCCTTATGTTTAGCTCTTACTGTGGGCCACATCATTGAGATTGAGGTGCCACTATACTGCCATGCTTCCAGATAATAGAAACTCTTGCCATATTTCTTACTATTTCTACCATCTGACCATTTTGTTTAGACTAGCTGAACATAGTGTGGCCATGGCATGCAGACTGAGAGGTGCAATTCAAGCTAAACATCCCCTCAGTGGATCAATCAATGATGATTCCATAGGAATTGTTGTGCAGCACCTCTGCCTGTTCTGCAGTGCAATCTTCCTAAACAAGTATGTTCATTATTTCTGGCAAGATCCAATTGTGTTTACAAATAAGTTTTTGGGGGCAGTATGCCTCAATTATAGGAGCAGATTTATTATGGTAAATACTGAGATTAGAAAGCATGTGTAACTGTGTCAGAGTGATTACATCCAGGCATTATTGCCAGCCAAGATTGATAAATATGCCCAATAATATACTTGTTCTCTGTGTCAGCACTTGTTGAAGGGATACTCATGACAGTGGTGATCACCGCTATCATAGCTACCATTAAATTACTCATTGTGACTGGTTGTCCTGCTTTCCTCAGATTTTCTTCTGCCATCTGTGACAGCTTCTTGATCTGTCCCCAGGTAGGTGGCTGTGTTCGATGGGTGTTGCTCATGACAGTTGGGATCCTCCGCAATGTCAGTCTCAACATGGCTGCAACTGGAGGGTCCTTGGGATCCTCCTGGAATCTCTTCTTCAGCATCTGGCTCATGATAAGGTTTCAGGTGTCTTGATGGTACCATCAAAATCGGCTGTTGATTCAGTCCTGGAGAAGCACAAGCAGAAACTCTACCCCAACTTATTATTTTACCTATTTCGCAACTTTTTGTTATTGGATCTCTCCACCAAACGAGTTGTTCTGCTTCTGTCTTTGCAGCTGGTTTCTGTAGATACTGTTCAGCTGTTGATAGCATCTGGCCTTTAGGCAGGCTCAAACAATTTATGGTCAATAATGCTAGATTCAATTGCATATGCAGTGTCTCGTAGTATCTGTTTTCCTCCTTTTGCTTTTGAAACTGCTGTTTCAGGGGGAGATTCATTCTTTCTACTGTGGCTTGTCCTTGAGAATTATATGGGATGCCAGTAAAGTGGCTAATATTTCATACAGAGAAAAATGTAGCCAGAAGTTGGCTAGTATAGCCTGGGGCATTATCTGTTTTGATAGAAGCTGGAATGCCCATCACCACAAAACACTGCAAAAGGTGACATTTAACACTGGCAGAAGACTCTCCTGATTGGCATGTAGCCCAGACAAAGTGAGAAAAGGTATCCACACATACATGTACATAAGCTAGTCTCCCAAATGAGGGAAGATGTGTGACATCCCTTTGCCAAAGAGAGTTAGGTTCCAATACTTGATAATTAACTCCTCCCATAAAAGATAAGCAATGCACCATTTGGCAAGTTGGGCATTGCTGAATAATGGCTTCAGCTTCTTCCCAGGTAATGCTGTATCTGCATTTGAGACCAGAGGCAATAACATGGGTTAAACTGTGAAAGTGTCGGCATTAGATATTGCAGTAGCAACTAGGCGATCAAGCCATTTGATTCCTTGCAGTCAAAGGTCCTGGAAGAGGTGTTTGAGCCCTAATATGAGTGAGTAAAAAGGGTGCATTCTACTCCTAACTGCTTTAATTGGGTAGAAAATCACCAGTTGTTCATCTGTATGAAATCATAACTGAGCATTTTCAATTAATTGTGTGGAGTGAACCACATATGAAGAATCAGAAATCACATTAATAGGCATATAAAAAGCAGTCAATACCTCAACTACAGCTACAAGCTCTGCTTTTTGAACTGAGGTATAGGGTGTCTGAAAAACTTTTCCTTTTGAAGCAGAATAAGATTAGACCCATCTATAAAAACATTTTCAGCACCTTCAATTAGTTTAAATTTAGTTATTTTAGGGAGAATCCAATTAGTTAATATCAAAAATTGAAATAATTTTGTTTTAGGAAAATGATTATCGAGAACACCCACAAAGTCAGCTAAATGGGTTTGCCAAGTAAGACTATTTATGAAAGCTTACTGTATTTGTGCCTTCGTGAGAGGGATAATAATTTTTCCAGGATCATATCCATGTAATTTAACATTCTGAGTTCTCCTATTTCTTATCATAGTAGCAATTTGATCCAAATAAGGAGTTAGAGTCTGTGAATTAGTATGTGGAAGAAAAAGCCATTCTACAAAGTCCACTCTAGGACAATAACACCAGTAGGTGAATGCTGAGTTGGAAAAAATCAGCAAATCTAGAGTCTTCTCTGGATGTATTCATGTGAGCTTTATAGACTTGCTTTTGAATCAGCTGTAAGTCTGCCTCAGCCCCCTTTGTTAATTGCAGAGGGCTAGTTAGACTAGGATCTCCTCTAAGGGGAGAAAATAGATTACTCATGGCATAGATAGCAATGCCTAGAGCAGGATATATCCAATTAATGTCCCCTAGTAATTTTTGAAAGTCACTTAATGTTTTCAACTGATACCTACATATGGTTAATTTTTGTGGCACTATTGTAGTGTCATTTACTAAGGTCCCCAAGTAGGAGTAAGGAGTAGTAGTCTGCATTTTGTCAGCAGCTATAATTAAACCAGCACAATAAATCAAATTTTGCAAGTGCTTATAACATTGGAGTAATATTTCTCGAGTGGGGGCAGCACAAAGTATGTTGTCCATAAAATGAATAAATCTAACACTGAAAATTTTTATGAGTAGGTTCAATTGCTTGCCCTACATACATCTGGCAAATTGTTGGGGTGTTTAACATGCCTTGTGGCAACATTTTCTACTGAAAATGCTTAGCAGGCTGCAGGTTGTTTACCGCAGGAATTGTAAATGCCAACCGTTCACAGTCTTCAGTAAAGAAACAGTCTTTTAAATCCATGACTATTAAAGACCAAGTTTTTGGAATCATAGCAAGAGAAGGCAGTCCTAGCTGCAATGTACCCAAAGGTTGTATAGCTGAATTAATGGCTGTTAAGTCAGTGAACATTCTCCATTTACCTGATTTTTTCTCAATTACAAAAACTGGAGAATTCCAAGGGGGAAATGTTGGAGTTATGTGTCCTTTTTCTTATTGTTGATTAACAAAGTCCTCTAAAGCTTCCAGTTTCTCTTTACTTAGTGGCCATTGTTCTATCCAAATTGGCTTATATGTTAACCATTTTAAAAGTATAGATTTTGAAGGCTTAATAATGGATCCCATCAAAAATGATATCCTAAACCTCGGTGGGAGATTTGTCTTTTTGCTTGAAGCAGTTCCTTCAAACCTTGCAAGTTTTTCTCCTAGTCCCATACAAGGGACATACCGCATTTCATGCATCATATGTTGACTTTGAGGGCTATACATCTGCTCTGGAATTAGAACTTGTTCTCCCCATTGTTGTAATAAATCTCTTCCCCATAAATTTATAGGTACAGAAGTTACAGTTGGTTGCATAGTCCCACGTTGTCCACTGGACCCTTCACAGTGCAAAATATAACTACTTTGATATACTTCAGGGGTGTTACTCTCTCTAACTATGTTAAATTGAGTGCATTGAATTGGCCACGTGCATGGCCAGTGCTGTAGAGAATGATTGAAATGTCCACTCCTGTATCTACCAAATCTTTAAATTTCTTTTCCCTGAATAGCTATTTCACAGGTAGAACATTTATGAGTAATTCGATTCACCCAATAAGCTGCTTTGCATTGTTTATTTGTTCTTCCACATCCTCTCTTTCATTTAGTTTCACTTTCCCCCATTTCCATATATGGCACAATCAGGAACTGTGCTATACGCTCTCCTGGCTCTGCTTTCAAGGGAACAGAAATTGATATAACAATTTGATTTTCCCCATTGGAATCTGAATCAATGACTCCTGTTTGTACTTGCACTTCTTTTAAATTTAAACTAGACCTGCCTAGAACTAATCCTATTGTCCCTGCTGGCGAGGGTCCACAGACCCCTCTTGGAACTTTTTGCAGGTGTTCCCCAGGAAGAAGACTTACAGCTTTTGTGTAGCATAAATCTACTGTGGCACTACTGGCTGTGGCAGGAGACAGACATTGTACAGGAGTGAAGGAATGGCCTGAGCTGGAAATGCCCTGGTTTGGAATGGGACTGAGGACTAGCCCCTCATGGCATTTCTCCAACTTAAAAAGAAAATGCTCAAATGTAGCTATAATATTTCCCTGTTGATCTGGGGGATGTATTCTAACAGGGAACTATGAAGCCTCTAAATCATCCTTTCTTCTAGCTTGCTGAATTCCTGCCTGAATGGAACTGAGAGCAGTTGCTCAAGGTTCTGCTCAAATAGTCACTGGGGCAACAACTTTTTGCCCAGTGCCCTCCAGAAAGAAAGATCTGGAGGGTCAGGCCACTCTGTTTCTTCAAAATAATGAGGGAATGGAGAAGGGTAGGGATGAACCTCTCCTTCCTTTGCTGCTTTAGCTTTAGCTGGCAAACAAACCTGCTCTGTCACCTCTTCTGTTACTTTGTTATATAATCCTTCCTCCTCTTCATTAGTGTGAAAAGGTTCCAAGGTGGAATGAACCAGAGCCCACACTTGTCCCATTGTCACCCTGATGCTTCTGAGCTCCCCTTCTAACTCATCACGGGGATTGCTTAAGTGTACTTGCATGACCTCCAGCTTAGTTCCACATTCTCCAACCATTGCTCTGGTGACCCTTTGACCTGGGCTTGAGCCCCACATATGGGCGCCACTTGCCAAGACCAGCTCGGTCAGGGAGATCCTAACCCAAGGGTGCTAGAGGAATTAAAGACACACACAGAAATATAGTGTGTGGAGTGGGAAATCAGGGATCTCACAGCCTTCAGAGCTGAAAGCCCCAAACAGAGATTTACCCACATATTTATTGACAGCATGCCAGTGATAAGCATTGTTTCTATAGATTATAGATTAACTAAAAGCATTCCTCATGGGAAACAAAGGGATGGGCCAAAACAAAGGGATGGGCTCTAGCTAGTTATCTGCAGCAGGAATATGTCCTTAAGGCACAGATCACTCATGCTATTGTTTGTGGCTTAGGAACACCTTTAAGTGGTTTTCCACCCTGGGTGGGCCAAGTGTTCCTTGCTCTTATTGCAGTAAACCCACAATCTTCAGCATGGGTGTTATGGCCATCACAAACATTTCACAGTGCTGCAGAGATTTTGTTTATGGCCAGTTTTGGGGCCAGTTTATGGCCAGATTTGGGGGCTTGGTCCCAACAAGAAATGTCTTATGAATTGCCAACATACATTTTTGTTTGCATTTATTAATCAAGCAATTTCATATTTATCCCTGCTGAATAGTATAAGTTGTCAAAGTTTGGCATAGGGGTTACAAAACTATAAATGCAGCCCAAATCAGAATGATCTTTGGTTATGTAATTTAAAAAAAATTATGTATTCATTTATTTTTGAGACAGAGTCTTGCTCTGTTGCCCAGGCTGGAGTGCAGTGGCATGACCTAGGCTCACTGCAACCTTTGCCTCCTGGGTTCAAGCAATTCTCCTGCCTCAGCCTCCTGAATAGCTGGGATTACAGATGTGCACCACTACACTAAGCTAATTTTTGTATTTTTAGTAGAAAGGGGGGTTTCACCCTGTTGGCCAGGCTGGTCTTGAACTCCTGACCTCAAGCAATCTGCCCGCCTCGGCCTCCCAAAGTACTGGAATTACAAGTGGGAGCCACTGTGCCCAGCCTGCTTCTGTATTTTTTAGTACATAAGACATTGATATGGGTTTAATGAAAATAGCTGCATCTTGAATTTAGTAAGATTACCATAACTTCTAATCCTGCAGCTATAGACAGTCCAGTCCACAGACAATAAGGAGATTTGTTTTGCAAACAGACTGTTATCATATTTTTTTCTTCTCCCAAAGTTAGTTCAGCCTATGCCCAGGAATGAAAAGGACAGCTCAGAGGTAAAGAGCAAGATAGAGTCAATTAGGGCAAATCTTTTTTCACTGTTTCAGTTATAATTTTGCAATGGTGGTTTCATAACTTTAAATTCATGACTATCACAGTTTTCATAAATAATCTAGGTAAACAATTAAAATAGGTAAATGTAATGGGATAAATACTTGTAGACAAACTGGTCATAATTTAGACTATAAAATTAAATTAAATTAAATAATAAATATTTCATTATTTGGGTATTTTCCAATATATATTGTAGGAAGATATTCTTACTAAAAAAAAAAGTGAGAGAGAAGTATATTCTTTTTTTAAAAATTGGTGAAAATTTTTTGTCTAATTTGAACTTTATTTAAAGGTTATATATAAAACAAGGTAACAAAAAAGCCAGGAAATTTTAAAAGATGTAAAGAAAGTGATAAAGGCTGGTGCCTGTGAGCACTTTGGGAGGCCGAGGCAGGTGGATCACTTGAGGTCAGGAGTTCAAAACCAGCCTGGCCAACATGGTGAAACCCCATCTCTATAATAAAAATAATTTTAAAAAGTAGCTGGGCATGGTAGCTGGTGTCTATATTCCCAGCTACTCGGGAGGCTGAGGCAGGAGAATCACTTGAACCTTAGAGACAGAGGTTGTGGTGAGCTGAGGTTGTACCATTGCACTCCAGCCTGGGTGACAAGAATGAAACTGTGTCTCAAAAAAATACAAATACAAATACAAATAAAAAGTTATAAAAATAAGGAGGGGTTTTTTTTAGGTTAAAAGGTTACAGAAAAATATAAGAAAAAATATTGTATGATAAATGTAGCCCTAAAGTAAAATAACTAGTTGTTTAAAAAGGGGGGATATTCAGGCCAAACCAGAAGTCATAAATGGTTGGTTTAGTCACTATAAGAAGATTTATATGTTAAAAAACCCAAAAACTTTTATGTAATCAAGTTGTCATATTATTACTAAGTTTTGGTTTGCTTAGGACAAAAAACTGTGGCATAATTTTTCTTAAAATTCAGGTCATTACATCCATGTATCTTTCTGTATGTGCAAAGCCCTTGTAATATTGAGTTACAGGACTTTAACACTAAGGTCTAAAAAGGACACTAAGTCCTGCTGAATCTTAAACACTGACAGCAATTAAAGCGTCATCTCAGGCCCTATAGAAGATACCAATCAAAATAAACTATATTCCTCAGACACAGGAAAAAGAAAAAGAAACAAAAGCTATTCAATTCCTCAAGGCTCAGGGAATGTCACAAAAGGGTTGGGCATGTAAGATGGTAAGGGCTGATTTTGAAAGATAAGTTCACTTTCTCTATAAGTTAATTATCAGGGTCAAATGTACACTGATGCAAAACAAGTACATGAACCCCTGTGTCAGATTAACAAGGTTTTCTTGAAGCATTAACCAAGAATTTAATATAGGTTATACAGGTAACAAAAGGTTTATGGAAGTTATATTTAATAATGGAGATTAAATTTTATAGATTGTTTACAAAATTTTGAACAACATATGTAATTGGCTTCATGTTGTTTTTATTAGAGCTTCTTGTTTAGAAAATTACTTCCCATCCTCAAAGAATAAAGGTTTTCACTTTTTAAAAAATTCTTAAACTATCACTTTTGTTAAATAAATGACTTTACAATGACCTGTAATCCTAATTTGTAATATCAAGTGTTTTAAACATTTTATATTTGACAAACATTCCAAAAATCAAAGCATAAATTATGTCTTTTTCTAACCTAATTACATGCTTTAAGATGTTAGTTATCCTAAAGATCAAAAATGACATAATTTGCCTTATTTTATATAACAATTATACAGGAAGCATTTGTCATATATGAAATGGTGTTTAGTTTTCTTTGGGCTGTATTTGCACAAGTGATTTACTGGTATGTGTTCCAAAATTATGGGAAAATCCTGTAAGTCTGATAAAACAGTGTATATTATCAGTAAAACAATCATTATGCTAAAATTGTGTGCCACAGAGGTAACAGATTTCCTTGTTAATTGTGTATTTTAACTATGGCTGTCTTAAAATTTTTTAAAATCCATGGACAATTGTCTTGTTTTCATCCTCTTTAGAAGGTGATTTTATTTTCAGCCATAAAACTCCAACAGATGCTTTTAAATGCAGGTTCCTGGTAACTTTGGAGACTATGACATCAGAACAAAGGAAAAACATTCAGAACTCATGGACAGCTAAAATATTCATGAGTATCAAGCAGAAGAGGAATTAACTGCATGGACTGAACTAATCTTGTTGATTTTTTGCTTAAAATGATGCTGATCCTTTGTTTTCTTTTTCAGATCTTAAAACTTTTCTTTTGAGCTACTAACAGATTTTAACAATTTAGTATAGTCCCATGAACAAAATTTGGAGCACACTTGGTTTCTTTCTACATGATTTTCTCCAGAATTTGGAAACTATTTTTTAGTATTCTTATCTTATGGCAATACAATTATTTGCATAACTGTAACAAGAATCTGTTTTCATTTGTAACAGGACACAATTGGAAACACTGGTAATTTTTTTTTTTTTTTTTGAGATGCAGTCTTTTTTTTTTTTTTTTTATTATACTTTAAGTTTTAGGGTACATGTGCACATTGTGCAGGTTAGTTACATATGTATACATGTGCCATGCTGGTGCGCTGCACCCACTAACGTGTCATCTATCATTAGGTATATCTCCCAATGCTATCCCTCCCCCCTCTCCCAACGCCACAACAGTCCCCAGAGTGTGATATTCCCCTTCCTGTGTCCATGTGATCTCATTGTTCAATTCCCACCTATGAGTGAGAATATGCGGTGTTTGGTTTTTTGTTCTTGCGATAGTTTACTGAGAATGATGGTTTCCAATTTCATCCATGTCCCTAAAAAGGACATGAACTCATCATTTTTTATGGCTGCATAGTATTCCATGGTGTATATGTGCCACATTTTCTTAATCCAGACTATCATTGTTGGACATTTGGGTTGGTTCCAAGTCTTTGCTATTGTGAATAATGCCGCAATAAACATACGTGTGCATGTGTCTTTATAGCAGCATGATTTATAGTCATTTGGGTATATACCCAGTAATGGGATGGCTGGGTCAAATGGTATTTCTAGTTCTAGATCCCTGAGGAATCGCCACAATGACTTCCACAATGGTTGAACTAGTTTACAGTCCCACCAACAGTGTAAAAGTGTTCCTATTTCTCCACAACCTCTCCAGCACCTGTTGTTTCCTGACTTTGTAATGATTGCCATTCTAACTGGTGTGAGATGATATCTCATAGTGGTTTTGATTTGCATTTCTCTGATGGCCAGTGATGATGAGCATTTTTTCATGTGTTTTTTGGCTGCATAAATGTCTTCTTTTGAGAAGTGTCTGTTCATGTCCTTCGCCCACTTTTTGATGGGGTTGTTTGTTTTTTTCTTGTAAATTTGTTTGAGTTCATTGTAGATTCTGGATATTAGCCCTTTGTCAGATGAGTAGGTTGCAAAAATTTTCTCCCATGTTGTAGGTTGCCTGTTCACTCTGATGGTAGTTTCTTTCGCTGTGCAGAGCTCTTTAGTTTAATTAGATCCCATTTGTCAACTTTGGCTTTTGTTGCCATTGCTTTTGGTGTTTTGGACATGAAGTCCTTGCCCACGCCTATGTCCTGAATGGTAATGCCTAGGTTTTCTTCTAGGGTTTTTATGGTTTTAGGTCTAACGTTTAAATCTTTAATCCATCTTGAATTGATTTTTGTATAAGGGGTAAGGAAGGGATCCAGTTTCAGCTTTCTACATATGGCTAGCCAGTTTTCCCAGCACCATTTATTTAATAGGGAATCCTTTCCCCATTGCTTGTTTTTCTCAGGTTTGTCAAAGATCAGATAGTTGTAGATAAGCGGCATTATTTCTGAGGGCTCTGTTCTGTTCCATCGATCTATATCTCTGTTTTGGTACCTGTACCATGCTGTTTTGGTTACTGTAGCCTTGTAGTATAGTTTGAAGTCAGGTAGTGTGATGCCTCCAGCTTTGTTCTTTTGGCTTAGGATTGTCTTGGCGATGTGGACTCTTTTTTTGTTCCATATGAACTTTAAAGTAGTTTTTTCCAATTCTGTGAAGAAAGTCATTGGTAGCTTGATGGGGATGGCATTGAATCTGTAAATTACCTTGGGCAGTATGGCCATTTTCACGATATTGATTCTTCCTACCCATGAGCATGGAATGTTCTTCCATTTGTTTGTGTCCTCTTTTATTTCCTTGAGCAGTGGTTTGTAGTTCTCCTTGAAGAGGTCCTTCACATCCCTTGTAAGTTGGATTCCTAGGTATTTTATTCTCTTTGAAGCAATTGTGAATGGGAGTTCACTCATGATTTGGCTCTCTGTTTGTGTGTTGTTGGTGTATAAGAATGCTTGTGATTTTTGTACATTGATTTTGTATCCTGAGACTTTGCTGAAGTTGCTTATCAGCTTAAGGAGATTTTGGGCTGAGACGATGGGGTTTTCTAGATAAACAATCATGTCGTTTGCAAACAGGGACAATTTGACTTCCTCTTTTCCTAATTGAATACCCTTTATTTCCTTCTCCTGCCTTATTGCCCTGGCCAGAACTTCCAACACTATGTTGAATAGGAGCGGTGAGAGAGGGCATCCCTGTCTTGTGCCAGTTTTCAAAGGGAATGCTTCTAGTTTTTGCCCATTCAGTATGATATTGGCTGTGGGTTTGTCATAGATAGCTCTTATTATTTTGAAATACGTCCCATCAATACCTAATTTATTGAGAGTTTTTAGCATGAAGGGTTGTTGAATTTTGTCAAAGGCTTTTTCTGCATCTATTGAGATAATCATGTAGTTTTTGTCTTTGGCTCTGTTTATATGCTGGATTACATTTATTGATTTGCTTATATTGAACCAGCCTTGCATCCCAGGGATGAAGCCCACTTGATCATGGTGGATAAGCTTTTTGATGTGCTGCTGGATTCGGTTTGCCAGTATTTTATTGAGGATTTTTGCATCAATGTTCATCAAGGATATTGGTCTAAAATTCTCTTTTTTGGTTGTGTCTCTGCCCAGCTTTGGTATCAGAATGATGCTGGCCTCATAAAATGAGTTAGGGAGGATTCCCTCTTTTTCTATTGATTGGAATAGTTTCAGAAGGAATGGTACCAGTTCCTCCTTGTACCTCTGGTAGAATTCGGCTTTGAATGCATCTGGTCCTGGACTCTTTTTGCTTGGTAAACTATTGATTATTGCCACAATTTCAGAGCCTGTTATTGGTCTATTCAGAGATTCAGCTTCTTCCTGGTTTACTCTTGGGAGAGTGTATGTGTCGAGGAATGTATCCATTTCTTCTAGATTTTCTAGTTTATTTGCGTAGAGGTGTTTGTAGTATTCTCTGATGGTAGTTTGTATTTCTGTGGGATCGGTGGTGATATCCCCTTTATCATTTTTTATTGGGTCTATTTGATTCTTCTCTCTTTTTTTCTTTATTAGTCTTGCTAGTGGTCTATCAATTTTGTTGATCCTTTCAAAAAACCAGCTCCTGGATTCATTGATTTTTTGAAGGATTTTTTGTGTCTCTATTTCCTTCAGTTCTGCTCTGATTTTAGTTATTTCTTGCCTTCTGCTAGCTTTTGAATGTGTTTGCTCTTGCTTTTCTAGTTCTTTTAATTGTGATGTTAGGGTGTCAATTTTGGATCTTTCCTGCTTTCTCTTGTAGGAATTTAGTGCTATAAATTTCCCTCTACACACTGCTTTGAATGCGTCCCAGAGATTCTGGTATGTGGTGTCTTTGTTCTCGTTGGTTTCAAAGAACATCTTTATTTCTGCCTTCATTTCGTTATGTACCCAGTAGTCATTCAGGAGCAGATTGTTCAGTTTCCATGTAGTTGAGCGGCTTTGAGTGAGATTCTTAATCCTGAGTTCTAGTTTGATTGCACTGTGGTCTGAGAGATAGTTTGTTATAATTTCTGTTATTTTACATTTGCTGAGGAGAGCTTTACTTCCAACTATGTGGTCAATTTTGGAATAGGTGTGGTGTGGTGCTGAAAAAAATGTATATTCTGTTGAATTGGGGTGGAGAGTTCTGTAGATGTCTATTAGGTCCTCTTGGTGCAGAGCTGAGTTCAATTCCTGGGTATCCTTGGTGACTTTCTGTCTCATTGATCTGTCTAATGTTGACAGTGGGGTGTTAAAGTCTCCCATTATTAATGTGTGGGAGTCTAAGTCTCTTTGTAGGTCACGCAGGACTTGCTTTATGAATCTGGGTGCTCCTGTATTGGGTGCATAAATATTTAGGATAGTTAGCTCCTCTTGTTGAATTGATCCCTTTACCATTATGTAATGGCCTTCTTTGTCTCTTTTGATCTTTGTTGGTTTAAAGTCTGTTTTATCAGAGACTAAGATTGCAACCTCTGCCTTTTTTTGTTTTCCATTGGCTTGGTAGATCTTTCTCCATCCTTTTATTTTGAGCCTATGTGTGTCTCGGCACGTGAGATGGGTTTCCTGAATACAGCACACTGATGGGTCTTGACTCTTTATCCAACTTGCCAGTCTGTGTCTTTTAATTGCAGAATTTAGTCCATTTATATTTAAAGTTAATATTGTTATGTGTGAATTTGAACCTGTCATTATGATGTTAGCTGGTAATTTTGCTCGTTAGTTGATGCAGTTTCTTCCTAGTCTCGATGGTCTTTACATTTTGGCATGGTTTTGCAGCGGCTGGTACCGGTTGTTCCTTTCCATGTTTAGCGCTTCCTTCAGGAGCTCTTTTATGGCAGGCCTGGTGGTGACAAAATCTCTCAGCATTTGCTTGTCTATAAAGTATTTTATTTCTCCTTCACTTATGAAGCTTAGTCTGGCTGGATATGAAATTCTGGGTTGAAAATTCTTTTCTTTAAGAATGTTGAATATTGGCCCCCACTCTCTTCTGGCTTGTAGGGTTTCTGCCGAGAGATCCGCTGTTAGTCTGGTGGGCTTCCCTTTGAGGGTAACCCGACCTTTCTCTCTGGCTGCCCTTAACATTTTTTCCTTCATTTCAACCTTGGTGAATCTGACAATTAAGTGTCTTGGAGTTGCTCTTCTCGAGGAGTATCTTTGTGGCGTTCTCTGTATTTCCTGAATCTGAACGTTGGCCTGCCTTGCTAGATTGGGGAAGTTCTCCTGGATAATATCCTGCAGAGTGTTTTCCAACTTGGTTCCATTCTCCTCATCACTTTCAGGTACACCAATCAGACGTAGATTTGGTCTTTTCACAGAGTCCCATATTTCTTGGAGGCTTTGCTCATTTCTTTTTATTCTTTTTTCTCTAAACTTCCCTTCTCGCTTCATTTCATTCATTTCATCTTCCACTGCTGATACCCTTTCTTCCAGTTGATCGCATCGGCTCCTGAGGCTTCTGCATTCTTCACGTAGTTCTCGAGCCTTGGTTTTCAGCTCCATCAGCTCCTTTAAGCACTTCTCTGTATTGGTTATTCTAGTTATACATTCTTCTAAATTTTTTTCAAAGTTTTCAACTTCTTTGCCTTTGGTTTGAATGTCCTCCCGTAGCTCAGAGTAATTTGATCGTCTGAAGCATTCTTCTCTCAGCTCGTCAAAATCATTCTCCATCCAGCTTTGTTCCGTTGCTGGTGAGGAACTGCGTTCCTTTGGAGGAGGAGAGGCGCTCTGCGTTTTAGAGTTTCCAGTTTTTCTGTTCTGTTTTTTCCCCATCTTTGTGGTTTTACCTACTTTTGGTCTTTGATGATGGTGATGTACAGATGGGTTTTCGGTGTAGATGTCCTTTCTGGTTGTTAGTTTTCCTTCTAACAGACAGGACCCTCAGCTGCAGGTCTGTTGGAATACCCTGCCATGTGAGGTGTCAGTGTGCCCCTGCTGGGGGGTGCCTCCCAGTTAGGCTGCTCGGGGTCAGGGGTCAGGGACCCAATTGAGGAGGCAGTCTGCCCGTTCTCAGATCTCCAGCTGCGTGCTGGGAGAACCACTGCTCTCTTCAAAGCTGTCAGACAGGGACACTTAAGTCTGCAGAGGTTACTGCTGTCTTTTCGTTTGTCTGTGCCCTGCCCCCAGAGGTGGAGCCTACAGAGGCAGGCAGGCCTCCTTGAGCTGTGGTGGGCTCCACCCGGTTCGAGCTTCCCGGCTGCTTTGTTTACCTAAGCAAGCCTGGGCAATGGTGGGCGCCCCTCCCCCAGCCTCATTGCCGCCTTGCAGTTTGGTCTCAGACTGCTGTGCTAGCAATCAGCGAGACTCCGTGGGCGTAGGACCCTCTGAGCCAGTTGTGGGATATAGTCTCCTGGTGTGCCATTTTTTAAGCTGGTCTGAAAAGCGCAATATTCGGGTGGGAGTGACCCGATTTTCCAGGTGCGTCCGTCACCCCTTTCTTTGACTCGGAAAGGGAACTCCCTGACCCTTGTGCTTCTCAGGTGAGGCAATGCCTCGCCCTGCTTCGGCTCGCGCACGGTGCGCGCACACACTGGCCTGCACCCACTGTCTGGCAGGCACTCCCTAGTGAGATGAACCCGGTACCTCAGATGGAAATGCAGAAATCACTCGTCTTCTGCGTCGCTCACGCTGGGAGCTGTAGACCGGAGCTGTTCCTATTCGGCCATCTTGGCTCCTCCTGAGATGCAGTCTTGCTCTGTTGCCCAGACTGCAGCAGTCCAATCTTGGCTGACTGCAACCTCCACCTCCCAGGTTCAAGCAATTATGTGCCTCAGCCTCCCAAGTAACCAGGAGTACAGGTGCCCACTACCATGCCTGGCTAATTTTTAGTAGAGATGGGGTTTCACTATGTTGGCCGGGCTGGTCTTGAACTCCTGACCTCGTGATCCACCCACCTCGTCCTTCCAAAGTACTGGGATTACAGGCGTGAGCCACTGCACCAGGCTATTTTTTTTTTTTTTTTTTTTTTTTTTTGAGAGAGAGAGTTTTGCTCTTGTCACCCAGGCTGAAGTGCAATGGCACAATCTCAGCTCACCACAACCTCCACCTCTGGGGTTCAAGCAATTCTCCTGCCTCAGCCTCCTGAGTAGCTGAGATTACAGGCATGCATGACAATAGTTGGCTAATTTTGTACTTTTAGTATAGACGGGGTTTCTCCTTGTTGGTCAGGCTGGTCTTGAACTCCTGACCTCAGTTGATCTGTCTGCCTCAGCCTTCCAAAGTGTTGGGATTACAATTTTACCAAGGCTTTGACTGGAATGGTGTGCTTTCCTTTAAGGAATCAAACTTGACTTATGGAGCCAATAAAACCCTTGGAAAACTGGCCTCATATTCTCCTGGACTGGTCTCACAGTAGATGTACAGGTTTCTGACCTGTGGCAGGTAAAGAGTGTCACTTTCTCCGAGGCACAAAAACGCAAAGTTTATCTTGGAACCTCACAAGGAGAGGAAATTCAACCAACTCATAGATATTTGATGGCACATATTCATGGCTCGACTCAGCTTTTAAAAAGTCCTATCTGAGATTCCTCCTATGGAACAAAGTTCCATCAAAGTCCATTTAAAGGCCTATGTAAAAAAAATTATTATTGAAGAATGCTCACAGTAGCTTCCAAGATGGCCGAACAGGAACAGCTCTGGTCTTCAGCTCCCAGCGAGATCGACACAGAAGATGGTTGATTTCTGCATTTACAATGGAGGTACCTGGTTCATCTCACTGGGACTGGTTAGACAGTGGGTGCAGCCCATGGAGGGTGAGCTGAAGCAGGGCAGAATGTTACCTTACCTGGGAAGTGCAAGGGGTAGGGGGATTTCCCTTTCCTAGCCAAGGGAAGATGTGACAGACTGTACCTGGAAAAACTGTACACTCTCACCCAAATACTGCACTTTTCAATTGTCTTAGCAACTGGCAAACAAGGAAAGTCCCTCCTGTGCCGTCTTGGTGGGTCCCATGCCCACGGAACTGTGCTCACTGCTAGTGCAGCAGACTAAGATCGACCCATGAGGCTGCAGCCTTGTGGGGGAGGGGCGTCTGCCATTGCTGAGGCTTGTGGGTAAACTAAGCAACTGGGAAGCTCAAACTGGGTAAGCGCACCACAGCTCAGCAAGGCCTACTGCCTATATAGACTCCACCTCTGTGGGCAGGGCATAGCTGAACAAAAGGCAGCAGACAATTTTGGCAGACTTAAATGTCCCTGTCTGACAGCTCTGAAGAGAGCAGTGGTTTTCCCAGCAGTGCATCTGAGCTCTGAGAATGCAGACTGCCTCCTCAAATGGGTCCCTGATCCCCAGGTAGCCTCACTGGGAGATACCTCCCAGTAGGGGCCAACAGACACCTCATACAGGAAGTTGCCCTTCTGGGATGAAGCTTCCAGAGGAAGGATCAGGCAGCAATATTTGCTGTTCTGCAATATTTGCAATTCTGCAGCCTCCACTGGTGATACCCAGCAAAACAGTGTCTGGAGTGGGCCTCCAGCAAACTCCAAGAGACCTGCAGCTGAGGGTCCTCACTGTTAGAAGGAAAACTAATGAACAGAAAGGAATAGCATCAACATCAACAAAAACGACAGCCACACCAAAACCCCAACTGTAGGTCACCAACATCAAAGACCAAATGTAGATAAAATCACAAAGATGGGGAGAAACCAGAGCAGAAAAGCTGAAAATTCCAAAAAGCAGAGAACCTCCTCTCCTCCAAAGGGCTGCAGCTCCTTGCCAGCAATAAAACAAAACTGGATAGAGAATGACTTTGATGAGTTGACAGAAGTAGGCTTCAGAAAGTCAGTAATAACAAACTTCTCTGTGCTAAAACAGCATGTTCTACCCCATTGCAAGGAAGCTAAAAACCTTGAAAAAAAGTTAGACAAATGGCAAACTGAATAAACAGTGTAAAGAAGACCTTAAATGACCTGACAGAGCTAAAAACCATTGCAAGAGAACTTCCTGATGCATGCATGAGCGTCAATAGCCACTCTGATCAAGTGGAAGAAAGGATATCAGTGATTGAGATCAGCTTAATGAAATAAAGTGAGAAGACAAGATTGGGGAAAAAAGAGAAAAAACAAACAAAAAAAGCCTCCAAGAAATATGGGACTATATGAAAATATCAAATTTACATTTGATTGGTGTACCTGAAAGTCATGGGAAGAATGGAATGAAGTTAAAAAACACTCTTCAGGATATTATCAAGTAGAGCTTCCCCAACCTAGCAAGGCAGGCCTACATTCAAATTCAGGAAATACAGAGAACACCATAAAGATACTCCTCAAAAGAGCAACCCCAAGACACATAATTGTCAGATTCACCAAGGGGGAAATGAAGGAAAACATGTTAAGGGAAGCCAGAGAGAAAGGTCGAATTACCTGCAAAGGGAAGCCCATCAGACTAACAGCAGATCTCTTGGCAGAAACCCTACAGGCCCGAAGACAGTGGGGGCCAATATTCAACATTCTTAAAATAATTTTCAACACAGAATTTCATATCCAGCCAAACTAAGCTTCATAAATAAAGGAGAAATAAAATCCTTTACAGACAAGGAAATGCTGAGAGATTTTTCTCACCACCAGGCTTGCCTTACAAGAGGTCCTGAAAGAAGGACTAAACATGGAAAGAAACAAACTGTACCAGCCACTGCAAAAACATGCCAAACTATAAAGACCATCAATGCTATGAAGAAACTACATCAATTAATGGGCAAAATAAACAGCTAACATCATAATGACAGGATCAATTTCACACATAACAATACTAACCTTAAATGTAAGTTGGCAAAGGCCCCAATTAAAAGACACAGACAGGCAAATTGGATAAAAAGTCAAGACCCATCAGTGTGCTGTATTCAGGAGACCCATCTCACGTGCAGAGACACAAATAGGCACAAAATAAAGGGATGCAGGAAGATCTATCAAGAAAATGGAAAGCAAAAAGAAGCAGGGGTTGGAATCCTAGTCTCTGATAAAACAGACTTTAAACCAACAGGATCAAAAGAGACAAAGAAAGCCATTACAAAATGGTAAAGGGATCAATTTAACAAGAAGAGCTAACTATTCTAAATACATATACACCCAATACAGGAGCACCCAGATTCATAAGGCAAGTCCTTAGAGACCTACAAAGAGACTTAGACTCCCATATAGTAATAGTGGGAGACTTTAACACCCCACTGTCAACATTAGACAGATCAAGACAGAAGGTTAACAAGGATATGCAGGATTTGAACTCAGCTCTGAACCAAGCGGACCTAATAGACATCTGCAGATCTCTACACCCCAAATCATCAGAATATACATTCTTCTCAGGACCACACTGCACTTATTCTAAAACTGATCAGATAGTTGGAAGTAAAACACACCTCAGCAAATGTAAAAGAACAGAAATCACAACAAACTGTCTCTCAGACCACAGTGCAATCAAATTAGAACTCAGGATGAAGAAACTCACTCAAAACCATACAACTACATGAAAACTGAACAACCTGCTCCTGAATGACTACTGGGTAAATAACAAAATGAAGACAGAAATAAAGATGTTCTTTGAAACCAATGAGAACAAAGACACAATGTACCAGAATCTCTGGGACTCATTTAAAGCAGTGTGTAGAGGGAAATTTATGGTACTAAATGCCCACAAGGGACAGCAAGAAAGATCTAAAATTGACACCCTAACATCACAATTAAAAGAACTAGAGAAGCAAGAGCAAACCAATTGAAAACCTAGCAGAAGGCAAGAAATAACCTAAGATAAGAGCAGAACTGAAAGAGACAGAGACACACACACAAAAAAAACCCTTCAAAAAATCAATGAATCCAGGAGCTGGTTTTTTGAAAGATTTACAAAATAGATAGACTGCTCGCAAGACTAATAAAGAAGAAAAGAGAGAAGAATCAAATAGACACTATAAAAAATGATAAAGGGGATATCACCACCAATCCCACAGAAATACAAACTACCATCAGAGAATATTGTAAACAGCTCTACCCAAATAAACTAGAAAATCTGGAAGAAATAGATACATTCCTGGACACATACCCTCCCAAGACTAAATCAGGAAGAACTTGAATCTCTGAATAGTCCAATAACAGGTTCTGAAATTGAAGCAGGTATTAATAACCTACAACCAAAAAAATCCAGGACCAGATGGACTCACATCAGAACTCTACCAGAGGTACAAAGAGGAGCTGGTACCATTCCTACTGAAACTATTCCAGTTGATAGAAAGAGAGGGAATCCTCCCTAACTCATTTGTTTTTCTTATTATACTTTCAGTTCTAGGGTCCATGTACACAATGTGTAGGTTTGTTACATAGGTATACATGTGCTATGCTGGTTTGCTGCACCCATCAACTTGTCATTTACATTAGTTATTTCTCCTAATGCTATCCCTCTCCCAGCCCCCCACCACTCAACAGGCCCTGGTTTGTGATGTTTCCTGCCCTGTGTCCCAGTGTTCTCATTGTTCATTTCCCACCTATGAGTGAGAACATGCAGTGTTTGGTTTTCTGTCCTTGTGACAGTTTGTTGAGAATGATGGTTTCCAGCTTCATCCATGTCCTTGCAAAAGACATGAACTCATCCTTTTATGACTGCATAGTATTCCATGGTGTATATGTGCCACATTTTCTTAATCCAGTCTGTCATTGATGGACATTTGGGTTGGTTCCAAATCCTTGCTATTGTGAATAGTGCCACAATAAACATACATGTGCATGTGTCTTTATAGCAGCATGATTTATAATCCTTTTGGTATATACCCAGTAAGGGGATTGCTGGGTCAAATGGTATTTCTAGTTCTAGATCCTCGAGGAATTGCCACAGTCTCTTCCATAGTGGTTGAACTAATTTACACTCCCACCAACAGTGTAAAAGCATTCCTATTTCTCCACATCCTCTCCAGCATCTGTTATTTCCTGACATCTTAATGATCACCATTCTAACTGGCATGAGATGGTATTTCATTTGGGTATTGATTTACATTTCTCTGATGACCAGTGATGATGAGCACTTTTTCATGTGTCTTTTGGCTGCATAAATGCCTTCTTTTGAGAAGTGTCTCTTCATTTCCTTTGCCCACTTTTTGATGGGTTGTTTGTTTTTATTCTTGTAAATTTATTTCAGTACTTTGTAGATTCTGGATATTAGTCCTTTGTCAGCTGGATAGATTGCAAAAATTTTCTCCCATTCTGTAGGTTGCCTGTGCACTCTGATAGTAGTTTCTTTTGCTGTGCAGAAGCTCTTTAGTTTAATTAGATTCCATTTGTCTATTTTGGCTTTTGTTGCCATGGCTTTTGGTGTTTTAGCCATGAAGTCTTTGCCTATGTCTATGTCCTGAATGGTATTGCCTAGGTTTTCTTCTAGGGTTTTTATGGTTTTAGGTCTTACATTTCAGTGTTTAATCCTGGCCTGTTTTTTTTTTTTTCTTTTTTCAATTTTTATTTTCTACAGTTTGGGCTGAATTCTAATTTTTTTCTCCTTGGCTGCAAGTCTTCAAAATAATGTTTTCAAATTTTTTCTTTTTTTCCCCCCATTTTCCTAATGGGGACCCACTGAAAACTAAGCTGTGCTTTGTTAAAGTCCTGCCAACTGCAATTATACAACTTAAACTTATTTCTACTGGTCTTCCTCCTTTTTGTCCTGCCTTCCTGCACATCTCGGCCAAAGTATTTATTTTGTAAAATGCAAATCTGATCAAGTCCTCTTCATTCTCTACATTGCAATTGTCAGATCCAAATGTGATGCTATACATCAGTGTGCCATGCCTCCTCCTCTAGGGGCAGTGGCACATTGTCAATTATCTCCTGAGCTACTTTTCTGTCTCCACTGTCCCCTGCTTCATTAATAAATTCTACCAAATATTTAAGGAAAAAATAACATAAATCTTAACACAAACACTGAAGGGAATAAAAGGATAACATTCCCTCAATTCATTTTATATACTTTGATTTTTAAAATTTTCATAAAATTTGTAAAGGGTAGTTTCACAAAATAAAACCAGACCTCAATCTCATTCAACACATGTCTAAAATTCCTAAACAATTTAAAAAGATAATGCAATATTGATCAATTTTGACACAATTTGAAAATTAGTGTAATTTCATTAAGAAACATTTTAATCTGATTGTATATATAAAAGGAAAACCATTTAATACATCTAATATTAATTCATAATAAAAGTTCTGCAAGCTAGAAACAATTAGTAAAACCAGCCCGGTGTGGTGACTCACTCCTGTAATCCCAGCACTTTGGGAGGCTAAGGAGGATGGATCACCTGAGGTCAGGAGTTCAAGATCAGCTTGGCCAAGACGGCGAAACCCTGTCTATACAAAAATACAAAAATTAGCTGGGCATGATGGGGGTTTCCTGTAATCTCAGCTATTCAGGATGTTGAGGTGGAAGACTAGCTTGAACCCAGGAGGTGGAGGTTGCAGTGAGGTGAGATTGTGCTATTGCACTCCAGCCTGGGTGACAGAGCAAGACTCTGCGTCAAACAAACAAACAAATAAACCTGGAAGCCAAAGGTGAAGAAAAAGTCTTGCAAGCATCAAAACAAATGTTTTTCAACATACCAAGGAGTCCCAGTAAGACTATCAGCAGAAACATCTCCTTGGTTTAGATTATTCCTAAGTATTGTATCCTTTTAGAAGCAATTGTAAATAGATTATCTTCCTAATTTCCTTTTCACATTGGTCATCACTAGTGTATAACAACTGATTTTTGTATGTTCATTGTATATCCTACATCTTGCTGAAATAATCATTTATTGCTTTTTATGGAATCTTCATGGTTTTGTACATAAGTATCAGGTCAGTCTGCAAACAAAGCTATTTCTAGTTTTTTCCTTTCCAATTGGGATTTTTTTTTCTTTTCTGTTGTAGTTAGAATTTGTAAAACCTTATTGAATGGTAATGGCCATTCAGTAACTCAATAAAAATCTCTTTTATCTTATTCCTGATGTTACAGAAAAAGCTTTCAGCCTTTCACCATTAAGTATGTAAGCCATATGTGGACTTTTCACATGCATTTTACTGCATCAATGCAGTTTCTTTCTTAGTCTGCTGAATATCTTAATAATTAAAGGATGTTGAATTATCAAGAGTCCTGCATCATGTGGTTTTTGTCCCTCATTCTGTTTGCATATTGACTGATAAAAATCAATAAATGTTGATTTGATTGATTGTTGAGCCATCCTTGTGTTCCAGGTGTAAATGCTGAACCATCCTTGTGTTCCAGGTGTAAGTTATTTTTGAACATGTTGTATAATTCCTTTCACGGGCTGTTGAATTCAATCTGCTAGTATTCTTTTTTGAAGAATTTTGCATCAATATTCTTAAAGGATACTGGTCTATTGTTGTCTTGTGTGTCTGTATTTGATTTTGGTACAGTAATGCTCGCCTTACAGAAGTTAGGGAATGTTCCTACGTCTTCAATTCTTTGCAACAGTTTGGGGAGGATTGCTGTTAATTCTTTTAAATGTTTTACAGAACTCTCCAGTGTTGGGGTTTCTTTTCAGAAGAATTTTGGTTACTACCTCAATCTCATTTACAAGTTTTAGGTCTGTTTGGATTTTTATTTCTTCATATCTGCAGTAGGTTGTGTGTTTCCAATAATTTACCCATTTCTTTTAGTTTATCCATTTGTTGGTGTATTCTTATTTATATTAGAGTCTTCCAAATCTTTTTATTTCTGTAACATCAATTGCAATGTCCCCTTTTTCATTTCTAATTTTAGTTGAGTCTTTTTTGGTTCTTATTGTAGCAAAAGCTTCTTCCATTTTTCTACTGTTCAAGAACAAACTGTTGGTTTTTTAATTTTTACCATTTTGTTTACCTCTTTTCTAATGTTTACTTTCTTCCTTCTGCTAACAGGAGGTTTAGTCTGTTCCTTTCCCAGCTATTGAAGTGTTGTTAGTTTTCTTATTAAAGATCCTCTTTTTGCATACAAGTAGTGATCTCTAAAAACTTTCCTGTTACTACTGGATTCAGTGCATCCTAAAAGTTTTGGTATACTGCATTTTTGTTTTCATTTCTCTCAAGACATTTTCTACATTCTCTCATGATTTTTCAACCCATTGGTTAAGTTTTCCAGTTTTACTTCTGCTGATTCCTAGCTTTGTACATTGTGGCTGGAAAAGATTTTGTATGATTTTAGTCTTCTAAAATTTGTCAAGACTTGTTTCATGGCACACCATGTGATCTATGAGGTAGAATGTTCCATGTGAGTATGAGAAGAATGTGGCTGACAGCAGTGGCTCACACCTGTAATCTTAGCACTTTGGGAGGATGAAGTGGGCAGACTGCTTTAGCCTAGGAGTTTGAGATTAGCCTGAGCAACAAGAGGAGACCCTGCCTGCACAAAAAATTAAAAATTAGCCATGTGTGCTGCATGCCTGTAGTCCCAGCTACTTGGGAGGCTGAAGCGGGAGGATCACTATAATCCTGGAATTCAGGACTGATCTCATTACTGCACTCCAGCCTAGGCAACACAGCGAGAGCCTATCCCCGCCCCATGCAAAATAATAATAATAATAATAATAATAATAATAATAATAATAATAATAATAGAGAGAGAGAGAGAGAGAGAGGAATGTATATTCTGGTAAACTGTTCTGTGTAAGTTAAGGCCAAATGCTCAGTAGTGTTTCCAAGTCCAGTGTTTCCTAATTGATCTGGCTGGCTTTTCCAACCATTCATTATTTCCTAAGTGATCTGTCTGGTTGTTTCATTCATTCATTATTTAAACCAAGGTACTAAAGTCCTCTACTATTCTTGTGTTGCTATTTCTCCCTTCAATGTCATGATTTTTGCTTCATACATTTAAGAGCCGTGCTATTAGGTACATATATAATTGTGTATCTTGTTGATGAATTGGCCCATTTATCATTATATATTGTCCTTCATTATCTCTTATGAAAGTTTTCCTCTTAAGTCTGTTTTGTCTGACAAGAGTATACCCACCTCTGGTCCTTTCAGTCTCCCATTTGCATGGAATATCTTCTAATCTTTCACTTTTACTCTATGTAAAAACTCTATTTTGTGATTCTCTTATAGACAGAATATTGCTGGGTATTTTTTGAAAACATTAAGCCAATCTGTATCTTTTAATTAGAGCATTCAATCAAATTCCATTTAAAGTAATTACTTTTAGTATAGGACTTACTGCTATTTTTGCATTGGTTCCTGTAAATCTTGTAGCTTTGTATATCCACACTCTCTTATTGCTTTCATTTGTGTTTCACTGTTTTTTAATATAGTAATGTTTTTATTCCCTACTCAAATCTCTTTGTGCATAATCTGTGTACATTTTCTTTGTGATTAACATTGTAATTAAATAAAACATCTTAAAATTACAACAATCTACTTTAAGATAACTTAAATCATACATAGAAACCCTACTAGGGACATCTCTGTACTCTGATGACATAAATGAACTCCTTAATACTACATATCCATTAACATAATCAGCAATTACTTTTTTAAAAAAAAAGTTATGCCAAGAGATTTGTGCACCTACATTACAGTACTGAAGACTCTATTTGTTCCTATATTTAAAGTTAAAAAGGAGTTTGTTTTCAGATGGTTTCATGTTGCTGTTTGCAATTCTTTCACTTAAACTTGAAAGGCTCTCTTTACCATTTCTTGTGCACTAGTGTAGAATTCAATTTTTTTTTTGTCTGGGAAAGTCTTAACTTCTCCCTTATTTTTGAAGAACAGTTTTCCAAATACAATATTCTTCTTATCCAGGAGGTTTTAAAAAAAAATGTTGCTTTAAATTTTCTCTATTTGTGACTTCTGTCACTTTACTTTTGTGTTTTAGTAGGTCTGTTTACATTTATCCCAATTGGAATTCTCAGAGCTTCTTGATTATGTTATAACCATTTCTGTCCTCAGAACTGAAAACTTTTCAGTCACTATCCAAAAAGTCTAACATTCTTTTCTATTTTATTTTCTGTTGTGACTCTCATAATACATGTGTTCCATTTGTTGGTGTCTCATAGCCCCTAATTTTTTTGTTCTCTTTTCTTCATTTTTATTTTTCATTTTGCCTCTCTAATTTAACAATTTCAAATATCTTCTCTTTCAGTTCAGTAATTTTTTTCTTTATTCTGATTGATACACTGTTGTTCCACTAAACCGACTTTCCTTCCTTCCTTCCTTCCTTCTTTCTCTTTCTTTCTTCTCTCTCCTTCCTTCCTTCTCCCCTCCCCTCCCCTCCCCTCCCCTCTCCTCTCCTCTCCTCTCCTTTCCTTTCCTTTTTCTTTCTCTCTTTTTTTTGACAGGGTATCGGACTTTATCACCACAAACTTGAATGTAGTGGTGCAATCATAGCTCAATGCAACCTTGACTTCCTGGGCTGAGGGATCTTTCCTCTTCAGAGCAGCTGGGCACATGTCACCACATGTGATAGTGTTTTTGTAGAGATGTGGTCTTCCTTGTTTTCTAGACTGCTCTCAAACTCTTGGTTAGCTTCAGCAATCCTCCTGCCTCAGCCTTGCCAAGTGCTGGGATTATTTGCATAAAGCTGCCAAAGAACCAGCCTTGCAAATTATTTAACTCAGTTTTTGTAGTATTCCATTCCAGAATTTCTGTTCGAGTCATCTTAGTTTCTAACGTTTTATTCATATTTTCATTCCTTTGTTGTTACTTTCATTTCTGAACAAAATACCAACATATCAAATTCAACAGCACATTAAAAGAGTCACACACCATAATCAAATGAAATTTATTCCTGTTAGGGAAGAATTATTAACCATATAGGAACAAATCAATGTACTATCCTACATTAATAGAATGAGGGGAAAAAAACATGAATATCTCAGTTGTTGCAGAATAGTACTTGATAAAATTTAGCATATTAGGTTAGGCACAGTGGTTCACATCTGTAACCCAAGCAATTTAGAAAGCAGAGGTGGGAGGAATGCTTGAGGACAAGAGTTCAAAACCATCTTGGGCAACATAGTGAGACCCTGTTTCTACCAAAAAAGAAAAAATTAAAATTTAGCCAGTTATGGTGGCTTCAGCCTGTAGTCCTATCTTTTTGGAAGGCTAAGGCAGGAAGATTTCTTAAGCCCAGGAGTTTGAGGCTGCAGTAAGCTAGGATCAAACCACTACCTTCCAGCAACAAAGGGTAACAAAGTAAAACTGTTTCTAAATAAATAAATAAATGAATAAATTTAACACATTTTTTGATTAAAATATAGTTAGGAATACAAGAAAGCCATCTCAATATCATCAAGACCATAAATGAAAAGCCCACAATTAGGTAATATTAAATGGTGAAAGACTTAAAAACCTTCCTTCTAGAATCAAAACAAAGAAAAAACACTCTTGCCATCCTATTCATACCACACTGAAGTCCTAACCAGAGCAGTCAGTCAAGAGAAGGAAGGTAGGGGAGAGGGGGTAAGGGGAAGAGCAGGGTCATACAAATTGAAAACGAAGAAAAGTTATCACAGTGCATTGATGACATGCTCTTATAGGTAGAAAGCCCTTAGGATTTTACACACACACACACACACACACACACACACACACACACACACAAACTCTTAGAGAAAAGAACCAAGTTTAACAAAGTTGCAGGATACAAAATTAACACAAAGAAAACTGTGTGTTTCTATTTATTAACAATGAACAATCAAAAATGGAAACCTAGAGAAAATTTCATTTACAATATGTATAACCTTAACCATTAAAAAGATAAAAGACTCATTCACAGAAAAGTATAAGTTGTTGAAAAATATTAAAAGACATAAATTCATGGAAAGACATCTTTTATTCACGACCTGAAGAGCTAATATTCCTAATATATCATACCCAAAAAGATCGAGATTCAATACAATGCCTATCAGAATCCCTCCACAAAAAATCTTAAAGTTCAAATGGAATGTTAATGAACTCTAAACAGCCAAAACAATCTTTTAAAAAAGAACAAATTTAGACAACTCTTCATTTGAAATAACTTCCTTATCTCAAAACTTACTGCAAAGCTACAGTAATCAGAAGTGATAGTGGCATAAAGACAGACATATAGACCATTGTTAACCAACAGAGTACAGAGATAACCACAGCATACGCAGTCACATGATCCTCTAAAAGGGTGCCAAGACCATCCAATGTTAAAAACAGTCTTAACAACAACATAGTGTTGGGGAAACTGGATACCCACATGGAAACAAATGTAGCTGGAACCTTATCCTACATTATACACAAAATCAACTCTCACAAAGGATTTAAGGCTCAAATATAAGACCTACAACTATAAAATAACCAAAAGAAAACATGGAGGATAGACATTAGGACATTGCATTTGGTAATAACTACTTGACTATATGCCAAAGCCACAGGAAAGAAAAGCAAAAACAGACAAATGGGACATCATACTTAATTTCTGAGAATCAAAGACAACAATCAGCAAAAAAAAAAAAAAAAAAAAAAAAAAAAAAAAAAAAAAAAAATCCCAAAACAAATAATGTAAAAATGTGCAAAAAACTTGAAGAAACATTGCTTAAAACTGAATGTACAAATGGCCAACAATTGTAAAAAAAAAGATGTTCAAAATTACCATTACAGAAATAGAAATCAAAACTAAATTGGGATATCAGCACCCAAATATTAGGATGGCCACTATAATACCAAAAGAATTAAAAAAAAAAGGAATTACAAGATTTGGTGAGGATGTGGAGAAATTAAAACCTTTGTACAGTGTTGGTCACACCATATGATGTTGCAATTACAATAGAAAATGGAATATAAGTACCATTTGATCCAGCAATGCCAATTCAGGGTATGTAACAAAAACAAATGAAAGCAGGATTTTAGAGCCATGTTTATAGCCATACTATTCACAATAGTCAAGAGGCAAAAGAAACATTAATATTCACTGACAGGTAAATAAATACAACAAGACATGATGTATATATACAATAGAATATTATTCAGCCTTATATAATATTCACTCTGTCACATGCAACAGTAAGGATGGATTTTTGAGGACATAAAAGTGAAATAGGCTGGGTGTGGTGGCTCATGCCTGTATTCCCAGCACTTTGGGAGGCTGAGGCAGGTGGATCATGAGGTCAGGAGATCGAGACCATACTGGCTAACATGGTGAAACACCGTTTCTACTAAAAATACAAAAATTAGCTGGGTTGGTGGCACATGCTTGTAATCCCAGCTACTCGGGAGGCTGAGGCAGGAGAATTGAGCCACTGCACTCCAGCCTGAGACAGAGTGAGACTCCATCTCCAAAATAAATAAATAAAAAAATAAAGTGAAATAAGCCAGTCATTAAACAAACAAAATAACTCTGATTCTTATATGAGATAACTAAAGTAGTCAAACTTATAAAAGCAGAAAGAATGGTGCTTACTGGGGCTACAGCTGTGGAGAAATTTGGGTACAGTTTCAGCATTGCAGGATGAAAAAGCTCTTGACATCTGTTGCACAACAATGTGGGTATACTTAACACTACTGTAGTATACACTTTAAAAATGGCTAAAATAGTTGTAAAACAAAAAAGTCCACGGAGTGCGATGGCTCATGCCTGTAATCCCAGCACTTTGCGAGGCTGAGGCAGGCGGATCACCTGAGGTCAGGAGTTCTAGACCAGCCTGGCCAACATGGTGAAACCCCATCTCTACAAAAATACAAAACTTAGCTAGGCATGATGAGAGGTGCCTGTAATCCCAGCTACTCAGGAGGCTGAGGTGGGAGAATTGCTTGAATCCAGGAGGCAGAGGTTGCAGTGAGCTGAGATTGTACCATTGCACTCCAGCTGGGTGACTAAGCAGGGTTCTGTTTAAAAAACAACAACAACAGTAACAACAAAAAAGACAAACAAAAACCAAGTCCAGTGACATGTAACTATTTATTTTTTGGCATAACTTCGAGAGATGAAAAGAGCTGAGTGACGCTGCTATAACCGAACTCCTACAATTCTCATCTTTCATATTTTGGTGAACAGCATTTCTCAGAACTTATGTTCATAAAGATCTCAAATGGTAAGATTTGAGACTAAACCTTATTTAAATCTAACAAGGGGTAATACTCACCATCCAAGTATATATGAATCCAGGAAAAGCACCATTGATTTCATTTAAGATATGTTTCCAGTAAAAATTAGTTAAATTTTCATCAAAATTTAGAATATTCATTCAAATTATTTTTTGAGACATAGAATATGCGATAGATTTCCAGAGAATAAAGGGCATAAATTCCTGTGCTCCGAGAACATAAAGTCAAGACAAAGGACTCTAGTAGTAGTAGTATATCATACTTCAGAAAGAAAAAACTGCAACTTAGTTGCCAGTGAAAACCTCTAAGAGTGACAGAAAAGAATCTAAAGAGGTGAGGGAGTAATTTACATTGATATTCAGTGTATACCAGGTAAAGAGGAACTAAGACTGGAGAGCCCTAAAGCAGAATATCTAGCATGTTGGAGGAAGAGAAAGCCAACCAATGTGGCCTGATATACATGAACAACAGACAAGGAAATAGTTATGGTAATAAAGGTCAAGTGAAGGTAGATTAGATAAAGTCTTATCAGCTTTTGTGAGAACTTTCATAGAATGTGATGAGAAACCATTAAAGTATATCTAGGTGAGGTAAAAGAAGACTGAGTTTTTTTATTTTAAGTTTTTAAAGTTTTTATAATTTTTAAGAATTATCATCCCAACTGCTTCTATGATTATGTGACAAAACTGCCAACAACAAAAAGCAAAAATAAAAGCTGTTATAGGTTCTTTTCATAATCCAGAATATGGATGATAAATGGCTTGTACCTGGATGGAGACGGCAATAAGTAATCATATTCTATATTTGTATTTACATTTATAGCCACATAATTTGCTGGTACACTGAATATGATTTACTAGAAACCAAAGGGTGTCAAGAAAGACTAAAGATTTTTGGCTTGAACAACTTATGAATGGAGATTGTCTAGTGTGATACAGAGAAAGATATATTGAGGTTTGTTTTATTCACACTTTTTAATTGTAAATATTTTTTCTTGAGTCAGGGTCTTGCTCTATTGCACAGACTGTAGTGCAGTGGCACAAACACATTTCATTGCAGCCTCGACCTTCTGGGCTTAAGAAGATTGAGGTTCTCAGCTTCCCGAGTAGCTGACGCTATGGGTGTGTGCCACCACACCAGCTAATTTTTTTATTTTTTTCTTCTTTTAGAGATGAGGTCTTGCCATGTTGCCTAGGTATGTCTCAAATGCTTGGGCTCAAGCAATACTCCTGCCTCAGCCTCCCAAAGAGCTAAGATTACAGGCACTACACTCAGCTTTACAGTATACTTAGAATAAGAAATTCATTACTTTCTATAAGGAAAAGTTAGCACACCACAGTTTATGATCACAGGAAAAAAATTTATTTCAACTTACATAACTATTTTTGTTACAGATCAGTATAAGACTATCAATAAAAGTTTCAACCATAAAAATAAAATATATTCTGATAAAATTCTATGGTAACATGAAAAATAAATATTAGTCGAAGCAGAAAAAGAAACAATATAAAACATTCAACTTTGTCAAAGGACAGTTTGCCATTTTTTAAAATGAACAATGGTTGACAACAAATTAGTGTTATTTAGATTCCTTTGAATATATTTAAATATAATAAAAACACTTTATTTAAAGAATTAATACTTAGAAATGCCAGAGATTATACCTTTGGTATTTATATTCATGACAATTTTTAAACATTATCTTAATATACAAAGATATTAGGAGTGGCACAATTACTAATAAACACCCAGGACATATCTTTTGATAAATATGTGTATACCTTATGGTAAACATATATCTCAGGAGTGAAATTAACAGGTCTTGATACAATTGATTTAAAACTATTTGCTAAATTTCACAGTGGTTATACAAATCTTCACTTTCACCAGCAGTATCTGAGAGTTTTTACTGTTGCCTATCTTTGCCAATATTTAATACTTTTGTTTGTTTCATATTAGTCATTTTCCTAAATATGCAGTATTCACTCTGATTTTTAGTTGTACTTCCTGTATGAATAATGAGGAACAGCCTCTTTTTTTTTTTCCACTTAGCTATTTACATGTGAACACACTCTTTACTGATAGACTGCTTAGTTGGTTTTTCTTTTTCTTTCTTGATTTCTCTGGGTATTTTTTTGTTTTCTTGGTCTTCCATATATAGCTTAGATACAGTACACAAGTTCTATGTCAGATTTCTGTATTTTGAGTATTTTTTCCAATGTGCACCTTGTCTTTTCACTCTCTTAAAAGTATATTTTGGCCAGGCATGGTGGCTCACATCTATAATCCTAGCTCTCACTATAGGAAGCCAAGGTAGGGAGATCACTTGAGCTCAAGAGATAAAGACCAGCCTGGGCAACATGGCAAAACCCTGTCTCTGCAAACAAACATTAACCAGGTGTGGTGGCACACACCTTCAGTCCCAGCTACTTGAGAGGTTGGGGCAGAAGAATCGCTGGAGCCCAGAAAGCAGAGGTTGCAGTGAGACATGATTGCGCCACTGCATTCCAGTATGGGTGACAAAGTGAGATCCTGTCTCAAAGAAAAAGAGAGTATATTTTGATGAAGAGAAATTGTTAATCTTAATAGAGTTCTAACTATCAACCTTTTCTTATGAAGTTACTACTTTTTGTGTCTAAAAAACTTTTGTCTATTATAATCCAAGGTCATAAAGATGTTTCCTTAAATTGATAATTAAATAAAATATCCATCACAACAGAATGATAATATACTGAGGTACAATGGAACCATATAACCTATAAACAATATTAAGCAAAGGAAGTCAGAAACAACAAAGTATATATTGTAAGCACAACATATTATTTTGATATAAAGTGCAAAAAGAGACACACTTTTGATATGAAAAAATCACAAAATTATCACTTTGGAGGGTGGAGGAAGAGTAGGAAGTGGGGGAGGGGGGAGATAAAAAAGGGTTTTTAAGTAACTGTTCTTAAAACAGTTACAGTTTAGTAACTTGCTCAAGTTGATGTTCAGTTTCATCATGTGGATACTTATGCATAGTAGAAAGAGAACCTGCTTTAGAGACAGATACATATGAGTTTGAATTCTAGTTTTGCAACTTACTACTTCTATGACCTTACAAAGAATACTGGATAGAAATGAAGTTATCTGTATCAGTGGTTTAACACTGCCTACAACATAAAGTAGTTTTGAAGATTAAATGTGAACATACTCAACCTATCAAGCAAAGTCCTTGAACATCCTTAACACTATTTCCCCAATATAAACCATAAGCAGCATGGTATTTATAATTAAGACGAAACTGTGTTAAACAAACTTGTAAAAGAAAATTCAATTTAATTAGGGTATTAGTTATCCATAACTAACATATTACCCCAAAACTTAGCTGCTTTAAACAGCATACACGTAGTATGTCAAGTTTAAGTAGGTCAGAAATCTGGAGTCTTGCTGGGTTCTCTCTCAGCTGTCTGTTACAAGGTTATAATTGAGGTTTTAGCAGGGGTTGTTGCCGTCTCAAGGTTCAAATGAAAGAGGATTCAGTTTCAAGCTCAATCAAGTAGTTTTAGAGGGACTCAGTTCCTTGAAGATTATTGAACTGAGGGCCTCAGCTCCTCACTAACTGTGCATTTCTGAGAAAGATATTATACAAAGGCTGACTACCAGGAGGCAGAGGGTCACTGGGAGAAATTTTACAAGATGTCTACTACAATAAGCATAGATCATTCCACTGTTAAATGTAGAAATGAAAATCATGTATTTGAGAGTTACCTCCACTGAAGTAAAACTACCATATGATTAAGCATATCATTACTTTAAGAAAAACTGTAATACTTCATAACAATTAAAAATTATGTATATGTGGCCGGGCGCAGTGGCTCACACCTGTAATCCCAGCACTTTGGGAGGCTGAGGCAGGTGGATCACAAGGTTAGGAGTTCAAGACCAACCTGGTCAAGATGGTGAAACCCCGTCTCTACTAAAACTACAAAAATTAGCCAGGCATATGGCGGGTGCTTTTAATCCCAAATACTAGGGAGGGTGAGGCAGAGAATTGCTTGCACTTGGGAGGCGGACGTTGCAGTGAGCCGAGATCATGTCAGAGCACTCCAGCCTGGGCAGCAAAGCGAGATTTGGTCTCAAAAAAAAAAAAAAAAAAATTATGTATACGCATATAGTGCATTCTTCCAGAGTCCATAAAAAGACACCAAACTGGTGATGCGTTTACTAATTTCAACACTTTCAAAAATTAAAGTTTACTCTCAAAGCCAGAGATGAAAATGTCTTCCCTCCTGCGAGTATTTCTGTGGTCTTGGTAAAGCAAAAAAATCCATTTATCTGTAAAATTTAAAGGGCAAAGTTTTAACTTATTTTTTCTATCATTTTTATTATTTTACAAACAATAAGAACAAGCATCACAGTCTACAACTGAATAACATCATTTCAAAACTTATCAAGTCATAGGCACTGAAATTACCTTTAAGTACAGGCAAAACCGCTTTCCATCTTATGATACCAAAAGTGTCAATTTTTGATATCATGCTCAATTTAGTTTGCACTCCACCTTCCTCCCACCTCCAAAATGTACTCCTTTGTTGCAGCTTATGAGGTGGCACGCAGCAGTAAAATACAAATCCAATCTAATTTGTTGTTGGGCCTCAGAGACCTGTTTGTGTGGATTTTTTTTAAGTATAGGCAGTGTTTTCTTACTTAAAACATAACAATCATTTGCAAACCTCTTTTATTATGATTATTACTTTAATTACTAACCTTTTCTACTTCTCTAGAAATATTTAAACAGCTCCAACCTTGCTGCTGCCAGGCCTCTTCCCTAAACAGCTTGCTGGGGACTGAAGGCTGTTTACAGTGGTCCACTTTTCACAATATCCTGGGTCCAGCGAGAAGGGGCATCACTCCTATTCCAAGAGTGAAGGAAAGCCCATGCCCCAGCCTGTCCACAGCCACTCTTCTTCCCATTTGCCTCCGTGCCAAGCCTAGGCACGTCAAGGAACTACGGAGTTCCAGGTGTCTGCCACAGTACCAGGCTAAACCGAGGACCCTCATGCCTGCATTTATGCACACACCCACCGCATGGGAGTTGGGTCATCGTGACGATTCCAGTGCTTCTCCCGACGGCCTCCACCGGAGAAGTGTCAGGCCTCCTCCTGGACACCTACCTAGCGACCTCTGCCCTCTACCACCTTCACCAGCTAAGCATCCGGGACAATGCCGCTTCTGCACACAAACAGCCCTCCTTCAGTGATAGATGCAAGACCTGGATGTGCCTGCAAGCTTCCAAGTTCTCCTCCCAGTTCCCTCCCCTTTCCTTCCAGTTCTCCTCTCCTTCCCAGTTTCCTCCTCTTTCCTGTGCCTTCGCTTAGTATGTACTTCCCATCGAGGCCCGCCTTGTATTTCCTGGATCTGGTCTCCAGGAGAGCTTGGTAACAAGTAAACCCACAAGCATCATAGCTCCAGTCTGGCACCACAACATGCCAGGCACAAAGATGGCGCTGCCCAGGCGGTTAAAGGAGATCTTGTGACGCCTCTTCACAGAAACCAGAGGGCAGGCTTACACAAGAAACATGGTAAATTAGGGTAACATCGCTTTCAGTTCAAAAGCTCCCATATATTGGAAATGGCAATATTACTTTTGGGGGAACTTACTGCGACTGCGTGTGCAGCGTGCCTAACCATGCTCAAAAAGGTCTTTCAAGTAAGTTTGACTGGGATGGCGAAAGAAGGGCGTGACCAGAGGAGGGAGCATAGAGGAGAGGTCATAGGAGTTGGGCAAACATTTCCTACAGCTTATTCGTGTTGCCAATGATTGTTTGCAGTGTGCCTCAGCTGCCCCTTCATGTCAATTCATGTTATTTGTTGAGCTTCCTGTGTGCATAGGTTTGGACCCTCCAGTTTCCCATGTTAGTCACTCATTTCCTCTTATGAAGGTACTGCAGAAGCTTACCAATTCTCATGTTAATACTTGCTTTGTTTCACTCATTTCCATGTGAAGAGACCACCAAAAGGCTTTGTGTGAGCAACAAGGCTATTTCACCTGGGTGCAGGTGGGCTGAGTCTGAAAAAAGAGTCAGAAAAGGGAGATGGGGGTGGGGCTGTTTTATAAGATTTGGGTGGGTAGTGGAAAATTACAGTCAAAGGGGGTTGTTCTCTAGCAGGCAGGGGTGGGGGTCAAAAGGTGGGGAGCTTTTGAGCTGGGATGAGCCAGGAGAAGGAATTTGACAAGGTCATGTCATCAGTTAAGGCAGGGACTGGCCATTTTCACTTCTTTTGTGGTGGAATGTCATCAGTTAAGGCAAGAACAGTCCATTTTCACTTCTTCTGTGATTCTTCAGTTACTTCAGGCCATCTGGATGTATACATGCAGGTCACAGGGGATATGATGGCTTAGCTTGGGCTCAGAGGTCTGACACTTTGTTTTCTTGTTTTATTTTTCCTCGGCCATTCATTAATTTCTTGAACATACTGGAAATCTCGTTAGTGCCATCCAATGAGGGTACATACAGATGTACAATGACATCAGGGAGCAACTCGCTTGAAATCAAGGCCAGTTCATGAGCAGAAGACATGCATTTGTAGCACAAGTCTTGAGCTTCAATGACTTGGACTAATTGCTCTGCTGTGGCAGTCCTGAATTTCTTATTTTATTTTTTTTCTTTTTTGAAATGGACTCTTGCTCTGTTGCCCAGGCTGGAATGCAATGGTCTGATCTCAGCTCCCTGCAACCTCTGCCACCACCATTCAAGTGATTCTCCTCCCTCAGCTTCCTGAGTGGCTGAAATTATAGGCTCGCACCACCACGCCTGGCTAATTTTAGTAGAAACAGAGTTTCACCATGTTGGGCCAGGCTGGTCTCAAACTCCTGACCTCAGGTGATCTGCCCACCTTGGCCTTACAATGTGTTGGGATTACAGGCATGAGCCACCATGCCCAGTCTCTTAATAATTCTTTGACAAGTAGCCCTCCATTTTTATTTTGCACTGGACCTTACAAATTATGTAGCCATTTGTGCCTGGGATAAGACAGTTGCCAAAAACCATGATTGAAATCACAGTAAGTTCTGTGACAGAAATGAGTACAGTAAGGAGTTACAGATATGGCAGGAGACTGACTAGAAATAATAGGAATTTTTGAGGGGAGTCACACATGAAGACAAGTTAATCCACAGAACTGATAATGGTTAAATCAAGAGATACAGACCACCCTAGTTATTTTGGCTCAAATAATTTAACATAAATAATGGATAATTACATAACTGAAAAAGCAAAAAAAACCACTGCAGTTTATCATAGAGGTAACAGCAAGAGAAGAATGAACTAGAGCTCTGGGAGCAAAGAAGAGGTTGAAATTACTGTAATTTAGACATTTATAAGGAGGTCCTTGTGAAGCTAAAATGCACACATCCGAGAAGTGATCAACAACTGGCAGATTCTGATGTCTTTGGAGGGAGAAGACAGACCTCAAAAGGCGATGCTGCCATGTGCAAGAAATACTGTACTTTAACTGCTCATATTGGAAGGTCCTACGGTTGTTCCTCTGTGAACTACATATTCTTCATAAGCCTGGAAAGAAAAAACGTGGAGCAGTGGTAAACAGCTTACATCCTGACACAAAGCATTCCAGTGTGGAGAGCTGGACATTTTGGAAACAACATGGTTGAAAGGGCATTCACTCCTGTTAAACATCCCACAGAGTGAGGATATATCATTGCTAAAATAGTGTTAGAAAACCTGCTGTGGGTTCAGAGTTTTGTACTAAAAAAAGTTTCCCAGCCAATTTACAAATTTATATGTAAGAAAGAAATGTTTACGGGCATCAACCACAATGTCATAACAAGGAATTACAAAACTTCACCCCTCCTCAAAAACAATAGAAAAAATGGTAGTGAAAGAAAAACTTTCAGATTTAACATTTTCAGAACTGTAGACACTAACCAAAAGCTTGTTAGGAACACAATCAGTGCTTACTGAAGAAAAACAGCCAAATCTTGGTAAGAATAGTAAGCAGTGTGGCATTTAACACACCCATTGCAACCCAACTCAAGCAATAGCCTTGAAAATAATAGTCTGCATTCTAGGTAGGAGTACCAAATGGAAGAGAATGAAAGAATTATGATTTGGAAAGAGTTATCCTCAGTTGAACTGTCTGATGGCTCCCTGGAGGAGTGGCTGAAAAAGTTTGCCTTTATCATACCTAACTTAGAACTCACACAGTAGTATAAAAGCCACTATGTAGGGTTGTTGCCTGGAAATATTTAGAGGCAACTGTTTTGGTTGCACCTACCTAAGTGTCTTAAAATACACTTTGGATTTGTTTTAATGAGGTTAAAACAAACATGGAGACACAAATGACTACCATATAAAAAGAAATTTGCACACTCACAGATCTCTAGAAATAAGAGACACTGCATACCATGGAAGGGCACATGGGGAAGCACCATGGTCAGTGAATTGTTAAGCACAGCAATGGAGAAATGTTGACAAGAGACTTTATTGTTGTTTTCACAAGAAGGAATGAATCAGGGTAAAGAGTTTAATTTTAATAATTTTGATAATTTCAGTGAGTTCTAGGGACAGGGGCTATGTCTAGTTTCCTGTTCCCTAGCCCTGGAGTGATTAACAGAGTCTGAATTTATTGACTTATATATAGAGGGACACTCCTGCGAATGGTCTTTTATTATCACTAAAAATTGCCTAATCTTGGGAGACTCAGTCTCTCCAGCATCAGCAAGACCCCAAGATGTCACAGCATCAGAACAAAATGGCATGCTTTATACACAGGAATTGATAAGAAGTGCTGCAAGCAATAGGTTAACCAAAGTTGTGGGGAAAAAAGACTAAAGAGATGACCTATGTTTAAAAAAGGCTTTGTAAAATATCTACATATTACCAGAAATGTAGAAGAACATGTGCAGGTACCTACTCAGAAAAGGGCTTCAAGGGAAATATCCTCTCATCTATGCCTGATATTAAGGCTCTTCACGAGAATGAAGTAGAGGCTAAGGCAGACTAACTTCATGGTTAAATACGAAAGGCATTCTTAAGATCGCACACTGAGACTGGGTGTGGCAGCTCATGCCTATAATCCCAGCACTTTGGGAGGCCAAGACCAGCATATCAGTTGAGGCCAGGAGTTTGAGACCAGCCTGGCCTACATAGTGGAACCTCATCTCTACTAAAAATAGAAAAGAAAGAAGAAGAAGAAGAAGAAGAAGAAGAGGAAGAAGAGGAAGAAGAAGAAGGGGGAGAAGAAGGGGGAGAAGAAGGGGGAGAAGAAGGGGGAGAAGAAGGGGGAGAAGAAGAAGAAGAAGAGGAAGAGGAAGAGGAAGAGGAAGAAGAAGAAGAAGAAGAAGAAGAAGAAGAAGAAGAAGAAGAAGAAGAAGAAGAAGAAGAAGAAGAGAGCCAGGAAAGGAGCCAGGTGTGGTGGCATGCACCTGTAGTCCCAGCTGAGCAGGAGTAGGAGGTTGCAGTGAGCCAAGATCACACCACTGTACTTCAGCATGGGCAAAAAAGTGAGACTCCATCACAACAACAACAACAACAAAACAACAACACAAAAAACAAAAAAAAAAACAACAACACCACAGTAGAAAGAACAGAATGGAAAAGAAGAAGAAGAAAAAAGATCACACACTGAGATATTTGGATCTCACACCCTAAAGGAGGAGATTAACTTGATTTCCAGAGCTTCTCATGTTATGTGTCCCATTTTCAACAGAAGTATAGGAGGCATGCAAAGAAGCAGAATATATTACTAAAACACAAGGAGAAAAGCACACAGAAACAACTGTTCCAATGAAGCCCAGGTGATGGACTTACTAGACAAGTATTTTTGTAAAGATTTCTGGATTTTATTCCTTATGTTGTATCTTATTTGAATTTTTTCAGCTGACAAATAACTTTGAATTCTTTTATCATATGCAACATATTTCGAAGTATATATATATATTGCGGAATGATTACATCTAGCTAATTAACAGGCATGAGCCACTGCGCCCTGCTGGGTGTTTTTTTTTTTTTTTTTTTTTTTTTAAGATAAAGTTTTGCCATGTTACCCAAATTGGTCTTGAGCTCAAGCAATCCTCCTACCTCAGCCTCCTTAGTAACTGGGACTATAGGCATGCACCACCACACCTTAATTTTTGTGTTTTTAAAGTTTTCAAAAGTTCTTCCTGTTATTGATTTCTAGTTTTATACCACTGAGGTCCAAACAGTACAATTACCTGATTGAATATATCATTTCAATCTTCTTAAATATATGATTTCAGTCTTCTGCATATGTTGTTTTGGAGGCTAAAAGATGGTCTATCCTGGAGAAAGTTTCATGCAGTTGTGAAAAATGTATATTCTGCAACTATTGGATAGAATATTGTGTAAATGTGTTCAGTCAGTAATAAAATATCTGATAAGCGAGAGGCTATTGTCTTTGCAGGTCTTTAAACTAAATCAGTAATAAAATGTCTCTCATCAAAGAAAAGCCCAGGACCTGGTTTAACTGTAGAATCCCACCAAGCATTTAAAAAGAACTAATTAGACACGAAAAATAAATTTCAAGGTATCTATTGCAAAGCATATTGACTTTGTTTGGTCTAGAGTACAGTTCAAAGCCAGCATGTTTTTGTTAATTTTTTATCTGGATGATCTGTTCCTTGCTGAAAGTGGTATGTTGAAATCTCGCATTACTGTATTTGCTGTATTTCAGTATTTAGTGTATTTCAGTCTGTCTCTCACTTTTTTCTCTTTCACTGATATTTGCTTTATATATTTAGATGCTCTTATAGTGGGTGCATATATATTTATAATTGTCATCTCCTCTGCCTGTATTACCCTTTATTGTTATATAATAACCTTGTCTCTTTATAATATTTTTTAGTTAAGCATATTTTACTGAGTTATATAGTAAGTTATATACATATAGTTACTCCTGTTCTTTTTTTGTTTTCCACTTGCAAGGAACTTTTTTCCCATTCCTTTACTTGTAGTCTATATATGTTCTTACATATGAAGTAAGTCTCATAGACACTATGTAATCTGAATTTTTAAAAATCCACTTAGCCACTCTGCATCTTTTTTTTGAGATGGAGTCTCGCTTTGTTGCCCAGGCTGGAGTGCAGTAGCATGATCTTGGCTCACTCACTGCAACCTCTGCCTCCCGGGTTCAAGGGATTCTCCTGCCTCAGCATCCCAAGTAGCTGGGACTACAGGCACGTGCCACCACGCCTGGCTAATTTTTTGTATTTTTAATAGAGACAGGGTTTCACCATGTTAGCCAGGATGGTCTTGATCTCCTGACCTTGTGATCTGCCCACCTCGGCCTCCTAAAGTGCTGAGATTACAGGCATGAGCCACTGTGCCCAGCTGCCACTCTGCATCTTTTTATAGGAGAATTCAATCAAGTGACCTTCAAGGTTTGTATTATTATTATTATTTATTATTTTGAGATGGAGTCCCACTCTGTCATCCAGGCTGGAGTGCAGTTGTGCCATCTCGGTGAAACAGTGAGAAGTGGAGGTTCACTAGTCTGGTTGTCTAAAGTGTTATCAAACTCGTCATCTCAGGACCAAGAAAATTAAGGAGTGTGGACACAAAGGGTGAGGCTGCAGCATAAGTTTAATACGTGAAAGAAGACAACTCTCCAGATCCAAGAGCATTCCTTGGTGGGTTGCCAGGTTATAGCTGAATACAAAAGCTTTTATAAGAATCCACTCTTTGCAGCTGTTTAAGTAGCTTTCTTATCTGTAAAACTGTCTGCAACTTTCTGCACAATTCCCTCTGTATCTCTCCAGCTGTGGGATGTCTCCAGGTAAGGACAAAGCTCGGCTCTTTGTTTCTGTAACTGTGGGCTTGTTTTAAGCAGTCCCCTCTCTCCTTTCCCTGTGTAAGATCCCACTAAGCCCACTGTCTACGTGTCTGAAGAGAGGGAAACTTTTTCCTGGGAGCTCCCTAATCATACAAAGAACAAAGAGCTTCTATGATGTATGTTGACCTTGCCAGTCTGACTGCTTATCTATAAGTGCAGATGTTACCCAGAGTTTCTCAAACTGCTCTACATTTGCTTGTAACTGTGATTTTCAGGCAGGCAGCTTCTGCAGTCTGAGTTTTTTCCCCAGGTTGCTTTTTGTTAGAAGAAAAAAATATATATATATATTTTTTGAGACAAAGTTTCCATCTTGTCACCCAGGCTGGTGTGCAATGGCACAATCTCGGCTCACTGCAACTTCCACCTCCCAAGTTCCAGCGGTTTTCCTGCCTCAGCCTCTCAAGTAGCTGGAATTATAGTTGCCTGCCACCGCACCCAGCTAATTTTTGTACTTTTTTTAAGTAGAGATGAGGTTTCACCAAAAAAAAAAAAAAAAAAGAAAAAAAGAAAAAGAAAAAGAAAAAGAGACGGGGTTTCACCATGTTGACCAGGCTGATCTCAAATTCCTGACTTCAGGGAATCCGCCACCTCAGCCTCCCAAAGTGCTGGGATTACAGGCGTTAGCTACTATGCCTGGCCGAGAAATGATTTATTGAGCTTCCTTTTATTAGAAAAGTTCTTGCCAAAGACTGTCTGCTCTAACCATCTACCTAGGTGGTCTCTTTTTACCTCGTCTCTCATCAGCTCACTGCATCCTCCGCCTCCTGGATTCAAGCAATTCTCCTGCTTCAGCCTTCCAAATAGCTGGGATTCAGGCGTGTATCACCGCGCCTGACTATTTGTTTATTTATTTATTTTAGATGGAGTCTCGCGCTGTCACCTAGGCTGGAGTACAGCGGCGCGATCTCGGCTCAGTGCAACCTCCGCCTCCCAGGTTCAAGTGATTCTCCTGTCTCAGCCTCTCGAGTAGCTGGGACTACAGGCATGTGCCACCATGCCCAGCTAATTTTTAAAATTTTTTTAATAGAGACGAGGTTTCACCATATTGGCCAGGCTGATCTCAAACTCCTGACGTCATGATCCGCCCGCCTCGGTTCCCAAAGTGCTGGGATTACAGGCATGAGCCACCGCGCCTGGCTTTTTTTTTTTTTTTTTTTTTTTTTGTATTTTTATAAGAGACGGAGTTTTACCAGGTTGGCCAGACTGGTCTTTAACTACTGACCTCGGGTAATTTGCTTGCTTCCACCACCCAAAGTGCTGGGATTATAGGTGTGGTCCACTGCACCTGGGTTCAAGTTAATTATTGAGAGTTGAGAACTTATGCTATTTTGTTAATTGTTTTCTGTTGTTTTGTAGGTCCTTTTTTCTTTCTTCCTCTCTTACTGTCTTCCTTTGTGATTAAATAATGTTCGCTAGTATTATTATTTAATTTCTTCATAGTTATTTTTAGTGTATCTATTATAGATTTTGGCTTTGAGGTTACCATGAGGCTTAGAAAAAGAGTCTGATATTGTTGTAAAAGGTTTTTAAAACTAGTAACGTGGTGGGGCACGGTGGCTCACGCCTGGAATCCCAGCACTTCATGAGGCTGAGGGGGGCAGGTCACCTGAGGTCAGGGGTTTGAGAGACTAGCCTGGCCAACATGGGGAAACCCCATCTCTACTAAAAATACAAAATTATCCGGGTGTGGTGGTGCATGCCTGTAATCCCAGCTACTCAGGATGCTGAGGCAAGAGAATCACTTGAACTTGGGAGGTGGAGGTTGTGATGAGCCAAGACTGCACCATTGCATTCCAGCCTGGGCAACAAGAGCAAAACTCCATCTTAAATAAATAAATAAATAAATAAATAAAACTAGTAACAACCTAACTTTGATTACCAGAAAAAAAAAGTTCTACACTTTAACTCCACCCACATTTTGAATTATGATGCAAAAATTTACTTTTTTTTTTTGGAGACAGTGTCTCACATCTGTCACCTGTGGTGCAGTTGTGTGATCATGGCTCACTGCAGCCTTCAACTTCCCTGGCTGTGATTTTCCCATCTCAGACTCCCAAATTAACCACCATGCCTGGCTAAATTTTTTAGATTTTTAGTAAACACAGATTTCACCATGTGGCTCAGGATGGTCTCGAATCCTTGGATTCAAGGAATCTGCCCATCTTGGCCTCCCAAAATGTTGTGATTACAAGCACATGCCACCATGCCCGGCCTACATCTGTTTATTGTGCACAGCACCATTAGGCGATTAGAATATTCTGAGTTTGACTACATTTATTTTAATCAGAGTTTTAAATCTTTAGATGTTTTTGTGTTTCTTATTTGTACTCTTCCTTTCAGATTAAAGAACTCCATTAGCATATCTTGTATAACAGGTCTAATGATGATAAACTTTCTAAACTTTTGTTTGTCTGGGAAAACATGTATCTCTCTTCATTTCTGAAAGAAAGCTTTGCTTCTTGGTTGGCACTTGTTTTCTTCAGCACTTTAAATACATTAATTATCTCACTCCCTGTGGGCCCATAATATTTCTAGATGTATTAGAAGTTCCTTATGCTTTTTTCTTGCTGCTTTTAGGATCCTCTCTTTTTTGTTGACTTTTGGCAGTTTGATTGCAATATGTTTTATACTAACTTTGTTTGGATTGAATCTGAATGATGATGTTTTTATCCTGCACCTAAATATTTTTATCATTCTTCAGGTTTGACAAGTATTCTTCTATTATATTTTAAAATAAGCCATCTACCCATTTGTCTTCATATATCTCTCTTGAAATCCTGTGACCTAAACATTTGTTCTTTTGATGTTTACTGTACATCCCATAACCTAGTTTTGTTGCTTTTATTAAATCAATAAATAATAAATTTGCCTGAAGTTATTTATATTTATATATAATATTTATTTATATACATATTTATGCAATATATATAAAATATATATATAAAGCAGGAGAATCACTTTTCACTCTATTTTCTAATAGCTGGTCTTTGAACTCACTGATTATTACTTCTGCTAGATCAATTCTTCTGCTGATGCTCTCTGTTGCAATTTTTATTTTATTTGCCATATTTCCAATTCCAAGATTTTCATTTTATTTGTTTATAAACTGTCTGTTAAATTTCTCTGCTAAATTTCAAAATTATTTATCTGTTTTATTGAAGTTTACTGTTCTGCCTTAAAACATGTGTCTTCGCTGAGATCATGCCACTGCATTCCAGCCTGGGCGACAGAGTGAGAATTCATCTCAAAAAAACAAATAGAAAAAAGCAACACAGTTCTTCCTGGTCTGAATTCTTTGTTAGGCTAATCATATATATTTAGCAACTGCATTTTATTTTGTCCATTTGGTGCATGTCATGTCTCTGTTATTTTATTTTTTTTAGACAGAGTCTCACTATATGGCCCAGGCTGGAGCGCAGTGGTGCAATCTCAGCTCACTGCAACCTCCGCCTCCTGGGTTCAAGTGATTTTCCTGCCTCAGCCTCCCAAGCAGCTGGGACTGCAGATATATGCCACCACACCTGGCTAATTTTTTTGTATTTTTAGTAGAGACAGGGTTTCACCATGTTGGTCAGGCTGGTCTCGAACTCCTGACCTCAAATGATCTGCCCACCTCAGCCTCCCAAAGTGCTCGGATTATAGGCATGAACCACCACATCCTGCTTCTCTGATTATTTTTGATTCATGTGGTTGTGCATCAATGTCTGTTTGTTGAGGAAGTGGGTATTTATTCCAGTCTTAAAACTATAGTTTTGTCTGTGACCATCTTTTTCCTAGCAGGCCTGTCCATATATTCTGAACACACTATCTGTTGTGTCCCTAAGTTCTTGACTGTAGGGGTTCAATCAGGTTGGTGGGAAAAATATTAAAGATAGTAATAGCCCTAAACCTTCGTGGAAGGCTGAAAAGTTTGCAGAGCTTTAGTAACTGTTATGGCTGAAGCGAACCTGATCCTTACCTTAAGTAAATAGCTTAAAGTGAGTACAAAGGAATGTGGGGAGTTTATCTAACTAGCTTGTTTACTCATGTCGTCTTAAGACTAACCTTTGATCATTCATGGGTGCATGATTGCTCTCTCTGGGGTAGGGGTGACTAGGTCAATTATCCTCTAGTGGTGTTTACTCATGAACTTTGTCAATTAATCTTTACTGAATAAATGCAAGTCTCATTGATTGATCGAGGCCACACTGCAACTAAGTGGTCCAGATGCTCAGCTGAACAGGCAAAGCAGGATAACTATGTGTCAGTGTACTTTACTCATACATCATTAGGTCAGGGTCTGCAGAACAGACCCCCACACTTGATGACTGCTGCCATCACAGCACTAAGTGAACCTCAAGTCCATGACAACCATGCTTAATGCAAACCAAGTTACAATTCTATGACCTCTGATGCTGGCTTAGCACCTGATTAGAATCAGTCGACAATCAGAGCTTATTGATTACGTGGGTAGCTGGGTAAGAAGTCAACCCTGTAAGACCTGTGGATCATGTTTCCTCAAGTGTGATGCTGTTGGTCAATCTCTTTGGTGCAGCATCTCCATTGGCCACAATACAGACCAACCATCATTAGGTGTGTCCAATCTTTTAGCTGCCTTGGACCACACTGAAAGAACAATTGTCTTGGGACACACATAAAACACATGAACGCTAATGATAGCTGATTAACTAAAAATAAAATAATTTTAAAAAGTTCTGTGCATAAATCTCATAATGTTTTAAGAAAGGTTACAGATTTGTGTTGGGCCATTCAGAGCCACATGCAGCCTGTGGGCCATGGGTTGGACAAGCTTGATCAAAATTCATATACTGGTAGCAGCAAGCTGACTTTACTCCCCATCCCCCAAAGAAAACCAAGAAGAAATATATACCAGCCAGATTATCACCAGCATTATCTTAGAACTCAAATATAAAGATGAAACAGTTTGCCAGACCACAGACAAGTAAAAAAATTTCAAGCAGATGGTAAAAGAATTGGCCTTCCATATGTATAAGGCGCCTCCCCAAATCTGCCTGGCACCACTTAAGCATACAGAAAATTTCTTCATGACTCATATTTTGCAGTCTTTACTGCAAAAATTGAGATTGAAGTGGATAACCATCTTGGGTTCTCTGGCAGGAGACCTCTTCCTACCTCAACCCATAGAAAGCATCAGAAGTGTATGAAGGGAGACATTCCTTGAGGAAAGCCAGAGAAAAGGGGAGAAGGTGGGACTACCATCCACAGGCCTGCTGTAACTCTGCTGTCAGAAGGATCACGCTATAAGATATTTGTTGCCCAGGTCCCCTGGGCACAAACACTGAGCCAGCCTTCTGACACTAATGAAATATCCTTTTAGGCGTCTCCTAATTTGTTATGGGTGACAGTCTGATTGTTTACTAGAAACATGGCATGACAGGACTTAATGTACCATCTGGCCAAAAAGGAATCAGTTAACATTGAGGGGGAAAAGAAAGATGACCAACAGGTAAATTACAAAGAATCTCTAAGCAAACATATCTAAGATTGGATTAAATAACTACTCCTTCCCGGCAATAACATAGATGTATATCAATAAGAAATGACAGCAAAAAGGAACCATGACCTTCCCATACAAAGCAAGAAAGCAACGACTACACCTAATGGGACAGGATATGTGAACTCTTTGACCAAGAATTCAAAATATTATCTTTTATGACTATAAAGTTGATGGGAGAAAGAAAGAGAAAAAAAATTAATTCAAAATAACAGTTTTAAGGGAATGTAGTCCAAGATAACACAGAAAAATAACAACAATTAGAGAAAGTTAATAAAAAGATGGAAATAATTTAAAAGTCAAACAGAAATCTTGAAACTAAGAAATACATTTGTTGTACTGAAAAACTTACTAGAGGATATTAACAGCATAAAGCAAGCTGAGCAAAGAATCAGTGAGCTTAAAAACAGGCTACCTGAAAATACACAAAGAAGAAAAAATGAAAAGAAATGAAGATCCCTTAAAAGACAGAAAATTAGCTCAAAATGAATTCTAAGAATTATTATGGTTCAACAGGGAATTGAGAAGGAGGTAGAGGTAGAAAACTTATTCAGATAATAACAGAAAAGTTTTCAAAATGTGACAAAGATAAATATTCAGGTACAGGAAGGTCAGAGATCACCAAACCAATTCAATCAAAATAAGACTATCCCCATGCAAATAATAATCAAATTCTCAAAGGTCAAGGACAGCGAATCCCTCAAGAAGTAAGACAACAGAAGCAAATAACATAAAAGGGAATTTTGGTTGGGCACAGTGGCTCATGCCTGTAATCCCAGCACTTTGGGAGGTCAAGGCAGGTGGCTCACTAGAGGCCAGGAGTTCAAGACCAGCCTGGCCAACATAGTGAAACCCCATTTCTACTAAAAAGTATGAAAGTTAGTTGGGTGTGTTGACATACGCCTGTAATCTTAGCTGCTCAGGAGGCTGAGGCATGAGTATCACATCAGCCTGGGAGGTGGATATTTCAGTGAAGTGAGATTGTGCCACTGCACTCCAGCCTGGGCAACAGAGTGAAACTCTGTCCCAGAAAAGAAAAGGAATTTCAGTTCATCTGGCAACAGATTTCTCAATGGAAACCATGGGCCAGGAAGGAATGTTTTTAAAGTGATGAAAGACAAAAAATGCAATTAAAGAATACTGTATTCAGCAAAACTGTAATTTAAATTTGAAAGAAAAAGTCTTCCCCAGATCAAGAAGAAAAAAAACAAGAGAGAATTTAGCACCACCAGAATGTGATAATTCACCCATATCAGGCTCATCTTACAAGAAATGCTAAAGGGAGTGCTTCAATCTGAAAGAAAAAAAACACTAACTTGCAACAAGAAAATATTTGCAGATATAAAACCCACTGTTAAAATTATTATAACACAAACCAATACCAAATACTCTAAATAATACTATCATTCCAGTGGACAATCCACTCACAACTCTATAAAGACCAGAAGACAACTATATCAAAATCTACTCATAACTATAAAGGTCAGAAGACAAATATATCAAAATCAAATAATAATAGCTACAGCAACCTGTTAAGATATAGGCAATATAAAAATATGAGAAAACACTTTTAAGTTAGGAGAAATGCAGTTAAATTGAAGAGGTTGTTTTTCATCTTTGGGGTATTTTTAACGTCTTGCTTGTTATCAGTGATAAGTTGTCTTAAGCCTCATTGTAAATACTATGCATAAACCTAGAAGGGATTTACCAAAATTAAAAGCAATGAATTAAGACATAATATCAGAGCAATTTATTTAACCACAAAAAAAAAGGAAGGGAAGAGAGAGGAGCTACAAAACAAGAAAAATACATGACAAAATGGCAGTAGTGAAGTTTTTACTTATCTATTATAATACTTAAAGCAAATGGACTCAATTGTTTAATTATAATGCCTAGAGTGGGCTGGGTATGGTGACTCACACCTGTAATCACAACACTTTGGGAGGCTGAGGAAGGCAGATTACTTAAGCCCAGGTGTTGGAGACTAGGTGGGACAAAATGATGTAATGCTGTCACTACAAAAAATACAAAAATTAGCCAGGTGTGGAAGTTGTGCCTGTAGTCCCAGCTACTCAGTATGCTCGGGTGGGATGACTGCTTGAGCCCAGGAGATTGAGGCTGCAGTATGTGGACATTATGCCACTGCACTTCTGCATGTGTGACAGAGCAAGACCCTGTCTCAAAAAAATAAAAAATAAATTAAATAAAATAAAAAAGCATAGATTGGCTGAATAAAGATATAGGGCCCAGTGATATGCTGCCTACAATAAACCTACATCACCTACAAAGACACATACAGACTGAATGTGATAGGCTGGAAAATTATATTCCGTGGAACTGGAAACTGAAAAGGAGGAGGAACACCTATAGTTATATAGATAAAGTAGACCACAAATCAAAGGCTGTGCAAAGAGACAAAGAATGTGACTATATAATAATTAAGGGGTCAATTCAGAAGAGACTATAACAATTTTAAGGGTCTTTGCAACCAACATTGAGATCCCAAGGGTATAAAGCAAACAGTAATAAATTTAAAGGGAGAGGTAGATTCCAATACAACAATATTAGAGGGCTATAATGTCCCCACTCTCAGGAATGAGCAGATGATTCTGACAGGAAATCAAAAAATAAATATTGGAGTAAAACTACACATTAGACCAAATAGGCATAATTGACATTTACAATTCACCCAACAGTAGCTAAATGTATGTTCTTTCCATTAGGAAACAAAGCATTCTCCAGAATAGACCACATCATAGGCTGCAAAACAAGTCTCAACAAATTCATATAAGTAGGACTCATAGCAAGTACTTTTGCTGACAACATTGAAATAAAACTAGAAACAATTCAACAGTAATAATCAAGCTGAGCCCTAAATCAATGTCAGTCCCATTTATAATAGCTATAACCACAACAAAAAATGCCTGTAAGTACGTTATTCAAGGATTGAAAGATCTCTGCAAGGAGAACTACAAAACCTAGAGGAAAAGAATTCATAGATGACACAAACAAATGGAAAAGCATCTCATGTTAATGGATTTAAAGAATCGACATTGTTAAAATGACCATATTGCCAAAACAATCGATAGATTCAATGAAATTTCCACTAACATACCAAGGTCATCTTTCACAGGTACAGAGAAAACAATTCTAAAATTCACATGCACCAAACAACAAAACAAAACAAAACAAAAAAGACAGTCAAATGGCTAACACAGTTCTAAGTAAAAAGAACTAAACTGGAGGCAGCATATTACCAAATATCAAATTATGCTACAAGGTTTCTGGATGCAGTGGATCACACCTGTAATCCCAGCACTTTGGAAGGCTGAGGTGGGCAGATCACTTGAGCTCAGGAGTTCAAGACCAACCTGGGCAAAAAGTGAGGCCCCATCTCTAGAAAAAAAAAATACAAAAATGAGCTGGGCATGGTGGTGCATGCCTGTGGTCCCAGCCACTTGGGAGGCTGAGGTGGGAGGATGGCTTGAGCCTGGGAGGCAAAGTTTGCAGTGAGCTGAGAATGCACCAGTGCACTCTAACCTGGGTAACAGAGCTAGACCTTATCTCAAAAAATACATATATATGTATAATATATAATATATATTATATATATTTTGAGCTTATTACATCATTTTGCCCCACCTAGTCTCCAATATATTATATATATATTTACATACAGACATATAAAATCTACATATAATATATAGACATATACACACATATATTTATATACACACATATATGTGTGTGTATATATGTGTGTGTGTACACACACACACACACACATATACTACAAGGCTGTAGCAACTGAAACAGCATGACACCATTATAAAAAATAGACATATGGATCAATGGAACAAAACTGAGGACCCAGAAATAAAATCACGTATATACAGCTACTAATATTCAAGTCGACAAATATATGCAATGGGGAAAGGACACCCTATTCAATAAATGGTGCTAAGAAAACAGAATAGCCAAGTGCAGAAGAATGAACCTAGACCCACATCTCTCACTACATACAAAACCTAACTCAAAATGGATTAAAACTTAAATATATCAATTTTCTGCATATGGCTAGCCAGTTCTCCCAGCACCATTTAGTAACAGAGAACCCTTTCCCCGTTGCTTGTTTTTGTCAGGTTTGTCAAAGATCAGATGGTTGTAGATGTGCAGTCTTATTTCCGAAATCTTTATTCTGTTCCATTGGAGTATGTGTCTGTTTTTGTACCAGTACCATGCTGTTTTGGTTACTATATCCTTGTAGTGTAGTTGGAACTTGGGTAGCATGATGTCTCCAGCTTTTTTATTTCTGCTTAGGACTGTCTTAGCTATACAGCCTCTTTTTGGCTTCCATATGATTTTAAAATATGTTTTCCAATTATCTGAAGAATGTCAATGGTAGTTTAATGGGAGTAGCATTGAATCTATACATTACTTTGAGAAGTATGGTTATTTTCACAATACTCATTTTTCTTATCCTCAAGCGTGGAATGTTTCTCCATTTGTTTGTGTCCTCTGTGATTTCCTTGAATAGTCGTTGGTAGTTCTCCTTGAAGAGGACCTTTAATTCTCTTGTTAGCTGTATTCCTTGATATTTTATTGTTTGTAGCAATTGTGATATGGGAGTTCATTCATTATTTGGCTCTCAGCTTGCCTGCTGTTGGTGTAAAGGAATGCTTGTGACTTTTTTGCACATTGATTTCATATCCTGAGATGTTGCTGAAGTTGCTTATCAGCTTCAAAAGATTTTGGGCTGAGATGAAGGGGTTTTCTAGATATAGGATCATGTCATCTCCTGGAAACTACAGATGCTGGCAAGGCTGCAGAGAAATAGGAATACTTTTACATTGTTGGTAGGAATGTAAATTAGTCCAACCATTGTGGAAGACAGTGAGGCAATTCCTAAAAGACCTAGAAACAGAAATACCTTTTGACATAGCAATCCCATTACTGGATATATACCCAAAGAAATATAAGTCATTCTATTCTTAAGATACATGCATTTGCATGTTCATTGTAGCACTATTCACAATAGCAAAAAGATGGAATCAACAGAAATGCCCATCAATAATAGATTGGATGAAGAAAATGTAGTATATATATACCATAGAATACTATGCAACCATAAATAGGAATTATGTCATGTCCTTTGCAGGGACATGGATGGAGCTGGACACCATTATCCTCAGCAAAGTAACAAAGGAACAGAAAGCCAAAGTCTGCATGTTCTCACTTATAAGTGGGAGGTGAACAATGTGAACACATAGACAAAGGGAGGGTAATACATTGGGGTCTGTTGGTGGATGGATGTGAGGGAAGGAGAGCATCAGGAAAAATAGCTAGTGCACGCTAGGCTAAATACCTAGGTGATGGGTTGACAGGTGCAGCAAATCACCATGGCACATGATTATATATGTAACAAACCTGCACATCATGCACATGAATACAGAACTTAAATGTAAAGCTAAAAACTATTTTAAAAGTGTATTTTCTTTGTGTTCTCTCTGTCACCCAGGCTGGAGTACAGTGGTGCAATCTTGGCTCACTCCAACCTCCACCTCCTGAGTTCAAGCAATTCTTGTGCCTCAGTCTCCAGAGTAGCTGGGATGACGGGCGTGCACCACCATGCCCAGCTAATTTTTGTATTTTTAGTAGAGATGGGGTCTCACCATGCTGGCCAGTCTGCTCTCAAACTCCTGACTTCACTTGATCCACCCACCTCAGCCTCCCAAAGTGCTGGGATTACAGGGTTGAGCCATTGCAACTGGCCTATTAAAATCTTGAAGACAACTCAGAAGCTTTGGCCCAGGCAAATGATGTATGACTAAGACCTCAAAAGCAAGTTCAACAAAAACAAAATAAACAAATGAGAATTAAACTAAAAATTTCTGCACAGTAAACGCAATAATGCAGTGAACAGTTTACACCATGGGAGAAAATATTTGAAAACAATGGACTAATATCCATAAACCACAAGGAACTCAAACTATTCAACAATAAAAAAATGTAACCTCGCTAAAAATTGGGAAAAGAAGATGAACAGCTAGTGTTTAAAAGAAAACATACAAATGGCCAGGAAGCATGTGAAAATGCTGAACCTCATGAAGCATCAGGGAAATAAAAATTAAAATCACAACAAGATACTATCTTCCACCAGTCAGAATCAGTATTATTAAAAAGTCAAAGAATAACAAATGTTGGTGAGAATTTGGAGAAAAGAGAATGCTTATATACTCTTGGTGGGAATGTATATTTTTACAACCTCTATGGAAAACCATATGGCAATATCTCAAAGATCTAAAAATAAAACTAAAATTTGATCCAGTCATCTTATTACTGAATATCCACCCAAAGGAATATAAATAATTATATCAAAAAGATACTGCACTTGTATGCTTATCACAGCACCATTCACAGTAGCAAAGATGTGAAACCAAACTAAGTGTTCATCAATGGATGACTGAATAAAAAAATCTACAAATATACCATGGAAAAATGCCGAGCCATAAAAAAAGAATGAAATATCTTTTTGCAGCAGGGCAGATGGAACTGGAGGCTAAGTGAAATAACTGAGAAACAGAAAGTCAAATACTACATTTTTACGTATAAGTGGGCGCTAAATAATGTGTACACATGGACATAGAGTGTGTAATGATTGGCATAGGAGAATCAGAAAGGTGGGCAAGTGGGAGGGAAGTAAGGGATGAGAAGTTACCTACTGTATACAATGTACACTATTGAGGTGATGGGTACACTAAAAGCCCAAACGTTATTATATCTAATATGTTTATGTAACAAAACTGCACTTGTATGCCCTAAACCTATAAAAAATTTAAAATAAGAAAAATTATAAACCCAAATAGACTAAAGTACATATGAAAATATAAGAGGCAGCTAAAATACTTGGGTTAAAAGTAGATGAATACTTCTTGTGCAACAAGGGATCCATTTGGAAAATGACAAAATTACCTTCATGTCTTAGACTGAACATAAGAATAAACTCCAAACAAACTTGCAATTAAAATATAAAAAGTAAAACAGGGTCGGGCACAGTGGCTCATGCCTGTAATCCCAGCACTTTGGGAGGCTGAGGTGGGCGGCTCACCTGAGGTCAAGAGTTCGAAACCAGCCTGGCAATGTAGAGACCCCATCTCTAATAAAAATACAAAAATTAGCTGAGCATGGTGCCATGCAGCTGTAATCCCAGCTACTAAGGAGGCTGAGGCAGGAGAATTGCTTGAACCTGGGAGGTGGAGGTTGCAGTGAGCCGGGATTGCATCACTGCCCTCTGGTCTAGGTGTCAGAGTGAGGCTCCATCTCAAAAAAAAAAAAAAAAAAAAAAAAAAAAAAGTAAAACATAAAAATGTTAGAGAAAACAGATTAATGTCCATTAATCTTTTTGTCAAAATGTTTTTTTACAAACCTAGTTAGAACAAGTCAAAATCCAGAAGAAATAAAACTAAGAATTGATAAATTTGACTACCTTAAACAGTAAGTTTGTACAGGAAAACAGCACCATACACAAATCAAGAAACCACTGACAAAATGGGAAATAACATTCATAACATGTATCACAGTAAAAGCACTAGGATATCTAATTTGTAAAGAACTCACATGTTAAGGGGCTAAGGACAAAAACCTGGCAGGAAAAAAAAGGGAAAGTTAGGCAAACAGAAAATTAATTACGTAAGATATCAAAACAGTCACTGAACAAATTTAAAAAAATCGAGGCTGGGTGCGGCGGCTCATGCCTGTAATCCCAGCACTTTGGGAGGCCAAAGCGGGTGGATCATGAGGTCAGGAGTTCAAGACCAGCCTGGCCAAGATGGTGAAACCCTGTCTCTATTAAAAATACAAAAATTAGCTGGATGTGGTGGCAGGTGCCAGTAATCCCAGCTACTCGGGAGGCTGAGGCAAAAAAATTTCCTAATCCAGGAGGTGGAGGTTGCAGAGAGCTGAGATCATGCCATTGCACTCCAGCCTGGGTGACAGAGTGAGACTCCATCTCAAAAAAAAAAAAAAAAAAAATTCAAAAACATGACTTATAGAATGCAAATTAGAGCCAGGTGTGTAACACCTGTAACACCAGCATGTTGGGAGGTGGAGGTGGGAGAATTGCTTGTGACCAGGAATTTGAGCCAGCCTGTGCAATGTTGTAAGACCCTATCTCTACAAAATAATATTTAAAAACTAACCAGCATAGCACATGTCTTTAGTTCAAGCTCCTCAGGAGGTTGAGGCAGAATGGTTTGAGTTCAGGAGTTTGAGCCTAGCAGTGAATTATCACAGTGCCACAGCACTCGATCATGAGTGACAGAATGAGACTGTCTCTGTAAACATTTTTAAAAATAAAAAATGACATACAAATTTAACATATTTTACCTATTTGACTTACAAAATTAAAATATATGGAAGCATAGTCTCTGGTAAGGCTCTTGGCAAACAGAAACTTTCCTATGTTGTTAGTGAAAATAGAAATGCATATTGGTAAAACAGTGCTGGAGAAAAAACTGGGACTAAAATTTGCCCTCTGATCCAATAATTGTGCTGCTGAAAGTTTGTGGTAAACATATATCTCAATGATAAGGAAATACATAATGACAAAGATATACAGTACAGCAGTATTTGTATAATTGTATATTAAAACTACTCAAATGTTCATTTACAAGAGAGTAGTTGGATGAATTATAATACTTCCACACAATGGAGTACTTTATATCCATAAACAATAGTGAGAAAGATCTCTACTAACCAATCTGAAGTAATTTGAAAAATATACTGTTAAATGAACAGGATGTATAGTATGCTACCTTTCATGTAAGGAGGAAGGGGATGAAAAAATGTACACGTATCTGTCACATATGTAGAAGAAATACAGAAAGTATAAACCAGAAACTAAGGGGATAAGTTAGTTTCAGTGGATGGATGAGAAAGGAAGAGAAAGAAATAAGGAATAGTCATTGGGTAGTAGATATGAGTAGGGAGTGACACTTCTCTGTCATTTCTCCTTTAATGTTATATAATGCCCTTGTTTTTGTTGTTGTTTTTACTGTTGTTGTTTTAACAAATCTGTTGTATCTGATACTCCTTTCTGCTTTTGCTTTCCATTTGAGTGATTTATATTTTCCCATTCCTTTACTATGAGTCTGTAGCTGCCTTTAGCTCTCAATATAGGTCTTTTGCAGGCAGGAGATTGTTGGGTCTTACTTTTTCAATCCAGTTTGACACTTTATCTTTTAAGTGGAGCACTTAGGCTATTTACATTCAAGGTTAATACAGATACATGAGGTTTTGTTCCTGTTACAGTGTTAGCTAGTTGTTTTGGAGTGTCAATAGGATCTGTTTTGGAGTGTTTAAAGGATCTGTGAACTTTGTACTTATATATTGTTTTTATGATGGTGAGTATCATTCTTTTGTTTTCATGTTTAGAACTTCTTTGATAATTCCTTGTAGGCCTTTTCTATTGGTGATGAACTCCTAAGCATTTGTTTGTCTGGGAAATACTTTATTTCTCTTCCATTTATGAAGCTTAGTTTGGCAGAATATAAAATTCTTGATGGGGTATTATATTTTTCATTAAGGAAGATAAAAATAGCCCCTTTTCATTCTGGCTTGTAGGGTTTCTGCTTAGCAGCCTGCTGTTAATCTGATGGGATTTCCTTTATAAAAGATTGAAATTTCTCTCTCGCCACCCTTAGGATTTTTTCCTTCACATTTATGTTGAACAGTCTCATGACTAAATGACTTGGTGAGGTTCTTCTTGGAATTTATCTTCCAGGAATTCTCTGGGCTTCTTGTAGTCAGATGCCTAAATCTCTCCCAAAGCCTGAGTTTTTCTGAATTATTCTTTTAATTAGGTTTTGCATACTTTTTACTTTTTCTTCTTCTCCTTCTATAATATCTAAGTCATAGGTTTGAATGCTTTACATAATCTTATTTTCTGAGGCTTTGTTCATTGTCAAAATTCTTTTTTCTTAACTTTTGTCTGACTAGGTTAATTTGAAAGACATGTCTTTGAGTTCTGAAATATGTTCTCCCACTTGGTCTAGCCTATTGTTAAATATTTCAGCTGTATTTAGTAATTCCTTTCATGAATACACCCTAAGTTATTTTCATGATTTGTGTCAGTTTTTAGCTTTCTCTTGGATCTCATTAAGCTTTATTTATTTATGTATTTATTTATTGAGACAGGGTCTCACTTTGTCGTCCAGGCTGGAGTGCAGTGGCACAATCTTGGCCCACTGCAACCTCTATCCTCTGGGTTCAAGCAATTCTCCAGCCTCAGCCTCCTGAGTAGCTAAGATTATAGGTGTGCACCACCATGCCTGGCTTCTCATTGAGCTTTAAAATCAGAATTTTGAATTATCTGGTATTTCAAAGATTTCATTTTGGTTAAAATTCACTGCTGGAGAGTTAGTGTGATTCTTTGCAAATGCTGTAACACTCTTTTCTAAGTACACTTTTGGAGTTTTTCTTTGTTTCTCATCAGGATAATTTTTTTCTTTTTCTTTTTTGTATTCACTCTTGTTTGGCCAGGAATCAACTGTCCCTCATCCCCATCCCACCCTGGTCACACACACCCCTTTGGGAGGTGTCTATAATGTATGATGTTGTCTTTGACTTTGGTTCTGTGCTTTCAGTGGGAAAGTCTATACAAGTTGCAAGAGTATTCACTGTTCAATGTTCAGTCCAGTAGGTGGCACAGATAATAACTGTTGCCAGTGTAGATGTGTGCATACTCGATGCCTGTTTACTCAGAGAAACTCTCTATTGCCTCAGGCAATTGGCTGATCTGTGAAATGCACAGTGATCTGAGCTCCCTGCTTAGCCCCACATATGGGTTTGGCTGGCACAACATGGGCAGGGCTGAACCAGAAAGGCCCGTCTACAAGTCCCCCAATGACAGGCAAAAGCATTAGTTCTGAGGGGAAGGGGTTCTGCTGTACAGCTCCTAGTGGCCAGAGGTGTGTCTAGGCATGGAGTTGTGAAACCTCTGCTGCCCCAAGTTCTGCCCCAAATTTAGGCTGAGGTCAGCCTAAATTTATAATCTAGGAGTGGGTGCTCCAAGTGCCTGAAGACATGTCTTGGTGTCAAGTGAAGAGAGCTCTTTTGCACTGAGATCTTTGCAATGGAGGGAAGTTTTGGCCCATGCTCCCAATTGAGGCAAGCAGAAGTGGGGTCGGCCTCCCTCTCATTCTTCAGAAGTGGTGAGGCATGCTTTGCCCACAAGCCAGGGGAGTAGGCTGAGACATCTAGCAGTAACACAAACAGACAGGTTCCAGGTCACAAAGCTTTCCCTGGCTGCAAGTCTCTGCCCAGGAGAAACCTCAGCTTTTGCCACTCTTCTCTTGCTTCAGTTCTACAGCGGTGTCTTCGTCTCAGCCTTGGATCTGGAAAAATGCCTAGAGCTTTTCCTGGTGCCTCTTTCTTCCTCTCTGCCTCTCAACCTCTCCACTGGTTAACTCCCAGGCTTGGAAGAAACAAGGTGTTCTCCCTTGGCCTGAGATCCACAGATCCATAATGGAATAATAAGTCACAGAAGGGGACTCTCTGTCCTCACTGGAGCTTCACTCACTTTTATCAGCTGAATGCTGTCATTGGGTTTGGTTACCAACCCTTTCCTCTGCAGAATCTGTGGTGTCCTTCAGTGTATTCTGTTCTGGTGAATTATCATTTTCTTTTCCTTTTTTTTTTTTTTTTTTTGAGACAAAGTCTCACTCTCTTGCCCAGGCTATACTGCAGTAGCTCAATCTTCGGCTCACTGAAACCTCCACCTCTTGGGTTCAAGCGATTCTCCTACCTCAACCTCCTGAGTAGCTGGGATTACAAGAATGTACCACCATACCCAGCTAATTTTTGTATTTTTTAAGTAGAGACAGGGTCTCACTGTGTTGGCCACGCTGGTCTTGAACTCCTGACCTCAGGTGATCTGCCCACCTTGGCCTCCCAAAGTGCTGGGATTACAGGTGTGAGCCACTGTGCCTGGCCCTCATTTTCTTTATCATATTAAAGCTTACAGAATTTATATTTACACATGATTTTTGCTATTTCCAAGTGGCTGAGGCACGTTAAAAGCCTCTAATCTGCCTTTTGGGAAAATATCTGTTTTTCAAATTTTAAGAAGAGTTTAAGAAGGGTTGATGTAAATTTTTCTTTAAATATTTGGTTACATTCATCCATGAAGCCATGTAGTCCTGGGCCTTTCTTATTGTGAGTTTTTGATTACTGATTCCTTATTGGAATTAACTGAAGGACACCACAGATCCTGCAGAGGAGAAAGTTGGTAAGCAAACGTAATGACAGTAATCTTTTTGTTACTCTGTTTTTTTATGTCAGCCAGGCTGGTTACTCACGCCTGTAATCCCAGCACAGTGGAAGGCTGAGGCAGGAGGATCACCTGAGCTCAGGAGTTCTAGGGCAGCTTGAACATGTCCAATCCCACCTCCATGAAAATTAGCCTGGCACGTGCCTAAGCAAGACTGTCTCCAGGAAAAAAAAAGTTTCTAAGTTTTTATCATTCAATCTTGGTACTTTATGTGTTTATATAAATTTATCAATTTCTTCTATGTTATTTAGTTTATTGGCAAATAATTGCTCACTGCAGTCCCCTTTGATCCCTTTCATATCTCAGCCATTCATTGTGATGTCTCCTCTCTTATTTCTTACTTGAGCCTTTTTTTTTCTTAGTGTGGCTAAGAATTAGTTTTATTTTTCAAAAAGTTAACAGTTTTATTGATTCTTTCTATTCTTCTATTCTCTGATTTCTGGGTAAACTTTGTTATTTCAATTTATTATTGCTTCACTGCTAAGTTTGAACTTTGTTTTCTTCTGAATTACTCAGTATGTTGTATTTTCATTTTCATTTGTTTTGAGCTTTTTTCCCCACTTTTCCTGTTATTGACTTTTTGTTTCTATAGTGATCAGAAAATATATCTCACTATGTTCTCAATCTTCCTAAATTTTAACTTGTCAAGTCTTTTTTTTTTTAAAGTTTTCTGTGTAAATGTTGAACCCATTTTTGAGGGGTATTAAAGTCTACTGCTATTATTATCATTCTGTGCATTTTTTCTTCTGATCTCTTATCACTTGCTTTATGTTTAGAAGTTCTACACATACACACACCCCCCCACACATATATACATATGTATAAAGAAATATTTATATATGTAGATGCGTCTATATATCTATATGTACAGACAAGGATATACACATAAATAAGGATGTGTAAATATATGTATGTAGATGCTAAATATAGATATATAGATACTTCTACATACATGAAGGTTTCTTTAGGCTGAACTTAAAAAACATCATGAACAATCCTCCCACCACCTCCTCCTGAGTAGGTGAAATTAAAGAAATGCACCACAACGCCTGCCTAATTTTTGTATTTTTTGGTAGAGATGGGGGTCTCACTGTTTCCCAGGCAGATCTTGAACTCCTGGACTCAAGTGATCCACCTGCCTGAACTTCCCAAAGTGTTGGGATTACAGGCATGAGCCATTGTGCCTGGCCTAATTTTTTAAAAAAAACATATCACCAAATGGACAAGTTATCCCACTGTCAGATAACGTTATCACATTGTCAGAAAATGAAGGAGAGGAAAAAGATAACGAAAGGAAAACAGAGCTCATCTGGGTAACAGGAAGTAGAAGATATTTGCTTATAAAAGGAGAAACCGGGCTGTGCACAGTGGCTCACGGCTGTAATCCCAGCACTTTGGGAGTCCGAGGCAGGAGAATCATGAGGTCAGGAGTTCAAGACCAGCCTGGCCAATATGGTGGAACCCCGTCTCTCCTAAAAATACAAAAATTAGCCAGGCATGGTGGCAGGCGCCTATAATCCCAGCTACTTGGGAGGCTGAGGCAGGAAAATTGCTTGAACCTGGGAGGCGGCGGTTGCAGTGAGCCAAGATAACCACTCCAGCCTGGGTAACAGAGCATGACTCTGTCTTTAAAAAAAAAAACAACCAAAAAACAAAAAACAGGAGAAATCAGATTCAGAGAAGTAAAATACCATATATCCTTAACATTGCTGTCCTTGCCTTCCCCAGGGTGTTGCTGAAAATGTCAGACTCAAATTTGGATAGCAGCAAGAATTTCTCTGAGGGGGAAGTAGATGATAAGGAAAGTATGATTTTGACATTGGTGCCAGTTAAAGATGATCCAACTATGGAACAAATGAAACCAAGTTGTTTCTTCAATTTCTGATGTCAAACTGGAGAAATTTAAGAAATACAATCAAGGTCATCTACTTCAAACAAATGAACAATTTACAGTGCCACAAAAAACTAGATGAAAAATACTAGCACTTCCCTTGCCATTTTGCCTCCCATTAATAAGGTGTGTTGGGACCCTTTGTGGGATTGCTGTCAACAACTCAGTTTGAGTACTAAAGGCAAGAAAACAGAAGTTAGTCTGAGGCTCCATAGGCATGCTTACCCTGAACAACAGCAAGATATGCTTGAAATGTCACAAGACCAGATTACAGCAACGTTCGAGGAAACGCAAGGCAGTAACCGAGAGAGCACGGCTTCAGAAAAGTTATGAGGTGAATGAGAGAGCAGAAGAGAATAATACAGTTGAAGTGGTAACTTAAGCGCAGGGAGCCATATTGGCGTCAAGTTTTGGCCAATAAAAGGTGGCCAACTGTTCAAATTGTGTTCAAATAAGGCAAATGCTGAGCTGTGACCAATCCAGCTGTTTCTGTACCTCACTTCTGTTTTCTGTAAGTCACTTTCTTTTTCTGTCCATAAATCTTCTTCCACCACGTAGCTGCATTTGAGCATCAGAGCCTACACTGGCTAGGAAGACTGCTCTAAACTTTATGAATTTATTAATTGTTCTTTGCTCAGTTAATTGTTTTAAACACATAGGTAGGTACTTGTATTGCTCTTTTGTTGTTTTCTATTTTATCGTTCTTTTGACCCTCTTCTCTGGCTGTCTCTGTACTTGTTGATTTTTGGTGTGTATGTTTAGTGACATAAAGTTAATTCTTTTCCCTTTTTTCTTTCTGCATTTCCTATTGGTATTTTCTTTGTGGTTACTCTAGAAGCTTACATAAAACATCTTATATCTTAAGCTGATAACTGAACTATAATTGCATCAACACTTTTACCTTTCCTCTGCTTTTATTACATTTTACATTTTTATATGGTGTTCGTTCATTATTATGATTTATGTTAGAACATTATTATATATGCCTATATATTTACCTTTATCAAGGAGTTGTTTCAGTGTTGCTGTTTAGCTTCATTGGTTTCAACCTAATTCCCTTTAGCATTCCTTGTAAGGTAATTTCAGTGATGATGAATACCACCAACTTTTGTCTGAAACCTCTTCATTTCTCTTTTATTTCAGGACAGTTTTGCTGCGTTTCACATTATTGGTTGGCATTTTTCTCCCAACACTTTAAATAAATAATTCCACTATCTTCTGGCCTGCAAGGTTTCAGCTGACAATTCTATTGATAGTTGTATGGAGATTTCCTGCATATGACAAATTGCATTTTTCTTGCTGCTTTCAAATTTCTATTTGGTTTGGACTTTTGACCATTTAATGATAATGTATCTTGGTGTAGACTTGTGGTTCACCTGATTTGGTATCTTTTGAGTATCATGAATCTTGGTCCATTTCTTTCCCCAGAATGAGGAGTTTTGAGCCATGATTCCTTCAAATAAACTATCTTTTTTCTTTCTCCTTCCACGTAAAATTCTCATAATGTGCTATGTTGACTGGCAACGTAAGTGGTGTTCATGAGTCAGACACTTTCCTTAGTCTCTTCATTCTTTACTCCTTTTGCTCTTGGGTGGCTAATTTCAAATTTTATGTTTTAAGAGTTCACATTTCTTTCTTCTGTGTGATTAATTCTGTTGCCCACTCTACTTAATTCTTAAAATTTCAGTTATCGTATTTTTCAGTTCCAGAATGTTTTTTTTTCCTCATAACCATCTTTGTGTCATTCTTTTTGTGTAACACTTTCCTGATTTAATTATCTGTGTGTGTTCTCTTGTATCTCACTCAACTTTTTTACAATGACTATTTTTAATTGTCAGGCAACACATAGATCTCCATTTCTTTATTGTTGGTTGCTAGAGGTATGTTTTATTCTTTTTATTGTGTCTTATTTTTTGACTCTTCATGTTCTGTACAGCTTTGTGTTTGTGTGCATGCATTTGAAGAAACAGTTCTCTGTCTCGTTTTTTTTGACTGGCTTTCATTAGGAAATATATTTTTAAGTCCTCCCAATGAGAAGTTCTGGATCTTTCTCCCTATTTGCCCTGGGCATTCTTGTTTTGTTAGCTGTTTTCAAAAACCTGTAATATCTTCCTCTTAAAAACAATTGTGATTGCATTATACCTATCTGATGTGTGAAGTGAGACAGAAATTGAACTTTTAGTTGGCACAAAGGAATGCTTTGGGGGTATACACTGCTCCTTTCCCTTTCTGGGTAAGAACCCTCAGGCATGCATCACTTTCTAATTTTACATACTTATGCTAGCTGTAAAAATATGCCTCTCTCCTTAGCAGCCCTGGGCATCCATACTGTGTCAATTCTTTCAGTGCTCTCTGGGAGATAAGACAGAAGCTAGAACCTCAAAAAGTGTACCGAAAGACCAAGGACACTGAATCTGCCACAAACTCTCTTTTCCTTCACCCATCTATTTTTGCTGTGAGCTGTCCTGAAACTTGGAAAACAAGCTAAACTAGGTAAAAGAATACTGTTCTTCCTATTCATTTCAGTGCAGCTGGTATCAGTTTGTGATTGTCCAGGGTACTGCAAATGCTTAAAGGACTCTGAGCTTCTCAAAAAGGAATTTTGATAGTTTTAAATCTGTTTATGTGAGGGAAACAACATCTGAAACTTCCTATATTACTGTCTGGCTGATTTGACAATAATTTAAAATAAGGTATGTAAATAGTTTAACAAGCAATTACAAATCTCTTGAAATGAGTAATAAATTTCAGCAAAAAAATGAGTAATAAAAACACCTAATTTAACTACAGAAATAAAAAATACAGGAATTAGAATAAAAGTGTATTGGCTCAATAGTAGAATGTATAATACAGAGGAAAAATTTCAGTGACAAAGACAGAACTTCCTGTTTATTCTAGCTGAACATGAAAGAGAAAATAAGCTGAAAAAAGTGAAGAGAGTTGTGGGACCTGTTGTTTCAGGAACCTTATGGTGTTGCTTTTCTGGCCAGAAACCTCTGTGGGTGGTGGTGCTTTTGCCCAAGTTTTGCTCAGGCCTGCTGGGCTTGCTCCACCCACTCAGCCTGGAAGGCTACACTTGGCTCACATTACTGGCATGGATCCCAGGCCTGCCAAGGGCCAGCCAGATGTGGAGCGGCAAGGGGTGTTTGACCAAGCCAGTGTGGCGACTGGCTACTGCACATAGTCAAGCATGCTGGCTGCTGCACAAGGATGGGCAGCTGTAGGTGCCGGCATAGGCACCAGCTCTCTGTGAGGGTGCAGTTGAAGCAGGCACACCACAAGCAACTTCCACAGCTGCAGTGACAACAGGAAGCTTGGAGACTCCCGAAACCACAAGGTCCTGAAGAGAGATTCACAACCCTGGCTCAAGGAGCTCCCAGGTCTGGACTCTCTGAAGGGCTACAGCTCTTCTCTCCTCTTCACTCACAAGGTAGTGAGCAATGGGCGTGTTAGCCCTGTTTGTTTTACAGCTTTCAGCCCCACCATCCAGCAGCTCCCAAGTTCTTCTCCTTTGGCAGGGAAGAATGAGGAACGTGGACAAATGGAAGGAGAACAAGACAAAGAGAAGCTTTATTGAGTGACAGAATAGCCCTGGATCAGGAAGCTCCTCTCTGGATGCAGGTCTTCTGGTCATCTCTGCAGCTCTCAGCAGAGATGAGGCCCTGGAGTGGGTAGCTCCTTTCTGCAGCTGGTCACCTGATGTCTGCTCAGCTCTGCCTGAACCCAGGGCTTTTATGGGCCGCAGAAGGGAGGAAGTGAATGCCGACTGGTCCATGGGTGGCCATGGGGAGGCCTGGAAAAGGCACCACAAGTTCACATTGGGGTTTGCAGGACTGGCAGGCCAGTTCCCACCCTTCAGGTCCTCCCTGGCCTGAAGGTGGGGCCTCACCAGGGGCCCACCCCCTTGCACTCAGGAACATGTCTGCCTCCTGCTGCCTTTCATGGCACCCAGGATGTATATATCAAGGAACACCTGCAGGTCAGTGCAAGCTGCCCTCAGCCCCCCATCAGCTTCCCTCTTATGCTCATCAGTGCCCAAAGTTCAGAGTGGGCCAAGAAGGTGGAAGGCTGGCATGTCAGTGCTGCCTTGAGCATGAGCACAGCTGGCCGGGCTGACACAATGCCAAGTCTTGGCCCCAACCTTGCTCTGAGATCAGAATAGGCACTTGGGAGCTGGGAGAGGCCAGGCAGCAGGAGCAGACACCTCCAAGCCTGTGGGGGAGGGATCCTTCCTGGGCCCCTGAGAGTGCAGAGATGTCTGGCTCTGCAGCTGTGGGAAGGCTCAAGAGCACAGGGAGGCCCAGGTCCACAGCCATGACTTGGGTGGCTGCAGCTGCACTGGGAAACTCCCACCCCATCAACTTGGAAGTGGGAGGGCGGCGCCCCCACTTGTCCTCAGCTCCCAGTGGCCCTGTGGAGTGTGCAGCTCAGGCAGTAAGTAACTCAAACATCAACATTAAGACATAAGTCAAACATCAACAAATTTAAAAGAACTGAAATAATACACAGTGTATTTTCTGAGCAAAGTCAAACCAAAGTGGAAATCGGTATTATACAAAAATAAAGCCTCCCCACTCCCCACCACTTGGGAATTAAACAGTTCTAAATACATTGATCTAAGAGAAAATCCTAAAGGAAATTTTTAAAATACATAAAACTGAATAAAAATTAAAATACAACATATCAAAATATGCAGGCTATTAGCTGTGAAAAGGGAGTTATTTCACTAAATGCGTGTATAGAAAGAGAGAATTATTATTATTTGAGACAAGGTCCCACTCTGTTGCCTAGGCTGGAGGGCAGTGGCACAATCACAGCTCACTGCAGGCTCAAGGAAGCCTACTGCCTCAATTTCCTGAGAAGCTGCAACTATAGGCATACAACATCATGCCTGTCTAATGTTTTAGTTTTTTATAGAGTTGAGGTCTCATTATATTGTCCAGGCCAGTCCTGAACTCCTGGGCTCAAGCAATCCTGCTGCCTTGGACTCACAAAGTACTGGGTTTACAGGCATGAGGTATTGTGCCTGGTTGAAAACAGTTTAAATTAACTGAAGTAACTATAAAAAGTAACTAAAGAATGAAGAGCAAAACAAACTCAAAAGGGGCTGTGGGTGAGAGGGGGAAGAAAAATCGATGAAATGTGGGGAAAAACAGTAGAATAAATAAAAGAAAATTTTGCTTTAAAAAAACTTGTGAGTGAAATCACAAAATATCAATAAGGAATAAAATACATTACTGCAGATACTATACTACTGAAATTATAATAAAAATACCATGGGGAATTCTGTAACTTAAAAGAAACAATTCTTCAAAACTCACAATCTGGCAAGTCAATCAAGATATAAGAGAAAATCTGAATAGTCTGTGACAACTAAAGACAATGAATTTTTACTTTAAAAGTCCAAAAAAGAAGACCCAGAATAGTATGGCATCACTAGATAATTCGGCCAAGTATTTTAGGAATTAACATCAAGTTTACACAATGTCTTCAGAAACTGGGCAGAACACTTCTCAATTCAAAATAAGGCCTTTCTTACACTGACACAAAACTATAAAAAGACAATATAAACACAGAAAACATCAAGAGTACTCAGGTACATAGGTATAATAATCAACGACATTTTCACAAGCTAAGCTCAGCAAATACAAAATTAAATACGCATGCAACACAAACAGTTGGGATAAGGTTCATCTACGTAAAGCTACTTCAACATTGAAAATCAGTTAATGTAATCTAATAAAAAGAAAAGTCATATGGTTGTTATCAACAGATGCAGAAAAATGAGAGCACTTGAAAGTTTCAACACTCAATGGTAAAACCTGCTAGGAAACTAAGAATAGGATATTCTTAATAAAGAGCATTTCCTTATAAAACTACAGCTAATATCATACTGCTAAGAAATTTTTTTAAAAAAAAGATTGGATACAATAGAAAGCAAGAGTGTCCATTTTCATCATTCTTATTTAACACAATACTGGAAATTCCAACTGCTGTGATAAAGTAAGAAAAATAAACACATGAACAACATATAGAAAGGGAGGAAATAACACTTCTTTCTTGCAGACTGTACACATGGAAAATGTAAAACAATTTACAAAAATCTTTTTTGAACTAATGAATGAGTTCTGCATGATCAGAGGATATTAAATAAACAGAAAAAAGTCAATCATCATTCTGTAGACTAAAGATGAACATGTGGAGATGGAAATTAAAAACCCAATACCACTTACATCTCTCAAAAAGAAATGAAGAAGCCTTCATGATGGCCGACTAGGGGCATTTGCTTTCTCCAATAAGAGAACCAAAGTGAGTAATCATGCATGAACTAGATCATCCAAGAGAGAGCACTGGAAAAGAGGTGATACCTAAAGCAAACAAGAATTAGGTGAGGCAGCCTGCTTGGCCAGGATGGGCTGGGTGCTGAGAGACTTTCCAACAAGGTCAGGGGTCAGTGATCTCCAGGGATCCATGTTCATACCAGGTATCTCTGTAATTCTAGCCACTGGAGAGCTAACCCCACTCAGTGGGCCCTGAAACTAACATAGGGAGCTGCAGAGAGATAGTAGGATGGTACTGCCTTTAAGCATATAGCCTGTGCAGCATCCCTCACATTCCTTGAGACCTAAGCAGTTACAGCAAGGCACACTCTTTGGAACATCATCCCAAACAGACCAGGGACCATCTTTGAAGCCCACAGGAATCAGGGCTGAGGTGCAAGGAATGCATGTGCTGCTGACTCTGGAATTTAGGTATAACCAACCATGGGCTACCTGGGACAAAGGTATGTCCGAGATGCAAAGAAAGTGCCATTCTAGAGCCATGCCCCCAACAGACTCCCTACTGTTCTGGAGCCCAGCAGTGCTGGGGCTGAGGTGCAACAGAAAAGACGGCTGCTGTCCCCAAGACGTAGTTGTGAGCACTACCAGAGCTGAGGCATGAGTAGCACATGTGCTCCCAACATGTGAGCCAAAGCTGCTATCACTGAAACCAGTATTGCCTGCCTAGTGGCAGGGCAATGGCATGAATGCTGCCACCATTCACCTAAGCATTCTGCCAGTGGCCTGAGAATCCCTCTAACCCCTGCTTTCCAGGCCCAGCACATGTACACACTATCAGTCCTCAGGAAAACCCAGCCTGAGCAGGTTTAATCCCCTACCTATGCCCGAGGAAAGTCTGGATCTTGGGTGTGACCCAGCTCAGTCCACCAATGTTGACCCCTGAACACTCCTTGTGGGGGACTCAGGCTGGGTCTTATCCACCTGGTTGCTATAACCACAGCTGATACCTATATGTGTGTATCAGATGTAGGCCTGGAGACTGGCCTCATGAGCTCACTGCAGCCTGATACACACTGCTTGAGGCATCCTTCCACTGTCACTGCCAGCGCCATCATCCATGCCACATCAGGTGTCCAGAGGCCCAAGAACCTACCTACATGCCAAGCTCACAGCTGCCACTATCAGCATCAGAATAAGTCACCTGGGGGCCCAAGCACTGGCCTCCTTGGACACACTAACACTGGTGCCACTGCAGGTCACACTGAAGCCCAAAGAGACAATTGTTGAGTGCACTGCTGCCACCACTAGGGCCTAAAGATGGGCCAGTCTGGCATCCCAGTCCCAGGTAAAACTGCACTACAGCCTCCAATACTAACTGCACCCGCAGAGCCAGTGAAAAAGTCTCAGATACCACTGATGCTCTTTACAATCAAAGAAATCATACAGAGACTATCCTACTGCATGAACCCAGAATCAAAGCCAAAGTGCCTTACCCAACCAATGCCACAGATTCATCCTCAGAAATATGTCCTTCTCTATGAAAGGGAATTAAGAAAATTGGAAGTGATTGATACACCAGTTATGCAGATATCAATGAAAAGACACATGAGAAAGCAAGTTAATATGACATTTCCAAAGGACATAATAATTCTCCAGGAATAGATCCAAATAAAAAATATATACACAAAACGGCAGAACAAGACGGTAGTAATTGTAAAGAAGCTCAGAAAGAAGAACATTTTAAAACACATGTTTAAAAAATCAAAATCAAAAACAAGTCAGTTCATGAATGAGAAGTATACCAAAAAGACACGTCATTAAAAAGAACTAAATCAATTCTGGAACTGAAGAATTCTTTGAATGAAGTACACACTAGGTTTGGAAGCAGCAAGAATTGGCTAGATCAAACAGAAGAAAAAAAAACCTCAGAACTTGAAAACAAGTCTTTTGGAATCAGCAAACCAGGCAAACATTTTTAAAAGAATGAAAAAGAATTACAAAATCTTTACAATATATAGGACACCACAAAGTGACCAAATAAATAAATTACTGGTATCTCGGCATATGAAAAGATAACAAAAGGTTCACAACCTGTTTAGCAAAATAATAAATGAAACTTCCCAAGTCTAGCAAGAGATTTACATATCCAGATACAGGAGATCCCACGATCCCCTCAGATGCGACACAAAAAAAATCTTCTCCATGGCACATTATAGTGAAACTGTCTAAAGTCAATTACAAAGAGAAAATTCTAAGAACATCAAGAGAAAAGTGTCTCGTTATCAATAAAAGAAATCCCAGTAGACGAACAGACTGCTCAGCAGAAACCTTGCAGGAAAGGTTAGAATAAGACGATATAACCAAAGTAATGAAAGAAAACACCTGTCAGCCCAGAATGCTATATCCAGTTCAATTTTCCTTCATAAATGCAGGAGAAATAAAGTCTTCCCCAGATAAGCAAACACTGAGGGAATTCATCACCACTAGATGAATCCTACCAGAATTGCTCAAGGGAGTTCTAAATCTGAAAATGAAAGAACAATATTTGTCATCATAAAAACACATCAAGGTATAAAACTCAATTATAAGAAAACATACAAATAGGAAAGGACTCAAATGGTACCACTACAGATAACTGCCAAATCACAATAGCAATAAGAGAAAAGGAAAGAAATAGGAATACACAAAATCAAAAAACAACAGTATGACAGGTACAGAACCTCACATACCAACATATCAATAACCTTAAATATAAGTGGACTAAATTCCACACTTTATAAAATATATAGACTCTATGGATTAAAAAATATCATCCACTTATATGCTCTCTACAGGAAACTCACTATACCTGAAAAGTCAGCACACAGACTGAAAGTAACGGAGGGAAAATAGCATATGCAAGCCAGAAGTAAGCAGGAGTAGCCATACTTTAAGCCACAGGCAGGTAAAAAAAAAAAAAGACAAAGAAGGTCATTACATACATTATATAATGATAAAGGAATCAATCCAGCAAGAAGAAATAACAGTTCCATATACATGCAACCAGTACTGGAACACCCAGGTTCATAAAGCAAATATTAATTGATCTAAGGAGAGATATTTCAATGCAAGAACAGTGGGCAACTTCAATCCCCACTTGCATTAGACCAGTCATCCAGACAGAAAATCAACAATAAAACACTGGACTTAAGAACAGACATTGGACTAAAAGTACCTAACAGAAACCTACAGAATGGTTTACCCCAAAATTGCAGAGAGCATACTCTTTTCTCATCAGCACATGAAAGATCCTCTAGGACAGACCATGCTGAGCCACAAAACACTTCTGAAAAAATTTTAGAGAGCCAAAATCACATCAAGTATATTCTAGGACCACAGTGGAATAGAACAAGAAATTAAGATTGAGCTCAGTGGCTCATGCCTGTAATCTCAATACTTTGGGAGTCCAAGGCAGGAGGACTGTGTAAGCTCCGGAGTTCGAGACCAGTATGAGCAACATAGCTAGACCTTGTCTCTATTAAAAATTTAAATCAGCTGGGCATGGTGACTTGTGCCTATAGTCACAGCTGCTCAGGGAGCTGAGGTGGGAGGATTGCTTGAGACCAGTGGTCAAGGCTGCAGTGAGCCATGAATAACCCACTGCAGTCCAGAGCAAGACACTGTCTCAAAAAAAAAAAAAAAAATTAACATTAAAAAATTAAAAAGGCTGGGCATGGTGGGTCACATCTGTAAAGCTGGCACTTTGGGAAGCTGAAGTGAGATAATCGCTTGAGCCCAGGAGTTCAAGACCAGCCTCATAAGTGAGACGCTAACTCAATTTAAAAAACTGAAAACAAAAAACCATAAAACCACACAATAGCAACAAGAAAACCCCCACAAAAAACTAGAAATTAATAGCAATAGGAACTGTGGAAACTATACATACATGGCAATTAAATAACATTCTCTTTAACAACAACCACTGGTCAATGAAGAAATAAAGATTAAAATGAAAAAAATTTAAATGAATGAAAATGGAAACAACACACCAAAATATATATATATAACAAAGGCAAGTAAAAAAGAGAAATGTGTAACAATAAGTGCTTACATCAAAATAGTACAAAGATCTCAACTATGCAATCGAATGATGCACTTATTAGAAAAACAAGAATCAACCAACCCAAAAATAGCAGAAGAAAAGAAATAAAGGTGACAGCAAAACTAACAGAAAAAGAGACTAAAAAAGAATACAAAGGATCAATCAACACAAAGTTCGTTCTTGAAAAGACAAAACTGATAAACCACTAGCTAAGCTAACCAAGGAAAGAAGCAAGAAGACCAAATAAAATTAGAAGTAAAAAAGGAAACATTACATCTGATACTAGAGAAATAGAAAAGATCATGAGACATTATTATGAACAAGTATAAACTAATTGCAAAAACTTAGAAGTAATGGATGGATTTCTGGAAACATATAAACTAGCTAGGATGAATCAAGAATAGCGGGGCATGGTGACTCATGCTTGTAAATCCCAGTACTTTGGGAGGCTGAGGCAGGTGGATCATGAGGTCAGGAGTTCAAGATCAGCCTGGCCAAGACGGTGAAACCCTGTTTCTACTAAACACACAAAAATTAGCTGGGCATCTGTAACCCAGCTACTAGGGAGACAGAGGAAGGGAACTGCTTGAACCTGCGAGGCGGAGGTTGCAGTGAGCTGAGATCGTGACACTGTACTCCAGCCTGGGTGACAGAGTGAGATTCCATGTCAAAACAAAAACAAAAACAAAAACAAAAAACAATCAAGAATAAATAAAAAAACGCTGAAGAATAAAAAGTAGTGATATTCATTCAATATTCACAAGTATCTCAACAAAGAAAAGCCCAAGACTAAATGGATTCACTGCTGAATTCTACCAATTATGTAACAAAGAATTAACAGCAATCTTCCTATTTCAAAACACTGAGTAGGAAGGAATTACACTTAACGCATTCTATAAGACCAGCTTTATCTGATACCAAAACCAGAAAACACACAACAAAAATCTATATACCATTAACCTTGAAAAATGTATCCCCTGCTCTTGGCTCAGAGGAATTAATGTCCTTAAATTGAACATACCGCCCCAAACCAGAAAACACACAACAAAAAAGAAAACTACACACTATTATCCCTGATAAATTGCATCGAATTGCATCCCATGCTCACGGATCCAAGGAATTAATGTCAATAAATTGAACATTCTGCTCAAAGCAATCTATAGATTCAATCCAATCCCCACTGAAATATCAATGTCATTTTTCACAGACATAGATAAAACAATCCTAAAATTCATGTGGAACTAGTAACAAAACTGGCTGAATAGCCAAAGCAATCCACAGCAAAAAGAGACATCATACTACCTGACATAAAAATATATTACAGGCTACAATAGCCAAAAGAGCATACTATTGATATAAAAAGACACATAGATCACTGGAAGCAAATTGGATAACCCAAGAATAAATCCAGATATTTATGGCCAAGTGACTTTTTTTTAAACAAAGATGAAAATACATTTGAAAAAGGACACTATCTTTAGTAAACAGTGGTGGGAGAAATTGTAGGTCCAAATGCAATAGAATGAAACTCGATCCCTTTACTTAATGAATTAAAAAAATCACTTCCAGGCTGGGCACAGAGTGCAATCCTAGCACTCTGGAAGGCTGAGGTGAGAAGATCACTTGAACAGCAGTTCGAGACCAGCTTGGCCAACATGATGAAACCCCGTCTCTACTAAAAATACAAAAATTAGCCAGGTGTGGTGGTAGATGCCAGTAGTTCCAGCAGCATGGGAAGCAGAGGAAGGAGAACTGCTTGAACCCAGGAGGTGGAGATTGCAGTGAGCCACGATCGTGCCACTGTACTCCAGCCTGGGTGACTGGAGCAAGACTCCATCTCAAAAAATACAAAATAAAATAAAATAAAAAATATAAAAAATAAATAAAATAAAATAAAATAATAAAATAAGGTAAAATAACCTCCAGATGGATCAGACTTAAAGACCTAAAAGTATACTACTACTAGAAGAAACACAGGGAAAACACTACAGAACACTGACCTAGGCTAAGATTTTATGGCTAAGAGCTCAAAAGCACAGCCAACAAAAACAAAAATAAACAAATGGTACTATATTAAACTAAAAAGCTTCTGCACAGCTAAGGAAACAATCACTGGAGTGAACAGACAACCCACAGAAGGGGAAAAAATATTTGCAAACCATTCGTCTGACAAGAGACAAATAATATCCAGAAAATACAAGCTCATACAACTCATTTATAAAAACAATCCCATTAGAAGGTAGGCAAATTACATGAATGGATAATTCTCAAAGACATACAGACTGCCAAAAGGCATTTAAAACTGCTCAACATGTCTAAGCATGAGGATATTCAAATCAAAACCATAATGAGATTAAAAAAAAATCACAAAAATTAAATAATGTCATTTGGAGAAAATGAATGGAAGTGGAGTTCATTAGTTTACTTTTTTCGAGACAGAATCTTGCCCTGTCTCCCAGGCTAGCGGCAGTGGCACAATCAAGGATCACTGCATCCTTGACCTTCCAGGCTCAAGAGATCCTTCAACTTCCGCCTCCCGGGTAGGTGGCAATACAGACACACGCCATTACACCCAGCTAATTTGTGTATTTTTTGCAGAGGTGGAATTTCACCAGGTTACCCAGGATGATCTCAAATTCCTGGGCTCAAGTAATCCACCTGTCTTGGCTCCCAAACTGCTGGGATTACAGGTATGAGCCACTGAGCCTGGCCCAAGTATATTATGTTAAGTGAAACAACCTAACTGTGGAAAGGTAAACATTGCGTGCTCTCATTCATATGTGGGGGCTAAAAAAAAGATTTTGTAAAGGTAGAGAGTAGAATGATAGTTACCAGAGGCTGAGAAGGATAGATGGCTGGGAGGGAGCTGATAAAGACAAGTAGGTTAATGGGTACAAACATACAGTTAGATAAAATGTATTATGTTTTATCATTCAACAGCAGTATAGATGAATGACTGTAGTTAATAACAATGTATATTTCAAGGGAGAAATAGAAAAGGACTTGAATTTTCCCCAACTCATAGATAAGGTAAGTCCTGAAAGTAATGGACACTCAAAATATTCCGATTTAATAATTACACATTCTATATATGTAACAACATATCACATGTACCCCCATATATATGGGAAATATTATCAACTTAAAAAATAAAATAATCTGTAGGTATAAGATCTGTAAAGGATCTGCATACTGATCATTATAAAAGCTAATGAAAAAAACCAACAAGGACTTAAATAGAGAGAAACACCATATGGACTGGGATACTCAACATATTAAAGATGCCAATTTTCTTAATTTTATTAACCTGTTACTTACATTGCAAGCATATTTATGTAGATATGTATTCTAGATATTAGAACACTGTTGTTTATATAGTTAGCACAACATATCAAAATCATAATAAGGTTTTCTGTAGCCCTAGACAAGCTTATTCTAAAATTTATATAGAAAGGCAAAGACTCTACAATAGGTAAAACAATATTTAAAAAGAATAAAGAATTGCTTTGTCCAATATTAAGACCTATTATATAACCACAGTAATGAAGATAGTGAAGCACTGGCACAAAGATGAACAGATATAAAAATGAAACAGTCTAGAAAACACAAAAATCAACCAACACAAATTCACTCTACTGATACCTTTGAGTTAGAAACAAATGGTCCTGGAGCTTAGACACAAAATGTAAAAACAAAACAATATTGCTGTATGCCTTACGATTTATAGAAAAAATTAACTCAAAATGGATTATGAATATAAACGTAAAATCTAAAAAATTAATCCACAGGGAAATATCTTTGAGTTCTAGGTATAAGTACCTTATTTCACTGAAGCTGCTCAGGTTAACATCACAGCAACCTTGCACTAACCCGAAGAGATCTCTTTTTCTATCTTTTCAGAATAATATAGACATGGTTTTCAAAATATTTACTCTTCCTGATCTTTTAGCTCGTTTTCCCTCCCCTTTATGTGATGCCACAAGGTGGACTTGTACTCTCCTCACTTGTAGATTCACTAACTTGCATTTCTAAATTTGAGATTCACATATCCATCTGTTCCTTTCTAAATCAATTAACATCACTTAGATGTCACTATAATCTTCTGCTCTGTCCTTTCTGGATTGTGTCTTGTTAGAAGGACACTTCTCCACCAGGAAGATAATGGGATCTGTGAACTTTATTCCTTAAAATGTTTCCAAAATTTGTGCCTTTACTTCCATTCCACAAAATGAAAATTCCAAGTACTAAGCATTTCTTCCCTGGACTTTTAGTCTTAGATATATTCCCCTGGGATATGTGTAAAGAACAAATGCAGCATTGAAACAAATGGGAGTGTGACAGAAGAAAGATTTTGCAAACTTATTGATTCTTTTATATAAAACCAGTCAATAGCTCTGTTACTAACTACAAGAACAGTCAGAAAGTCTTAACATGACTGAGGAGTTTTGCACCATCAGATCCCTTCTCCAGTTACCTGTTTACGCAGCTAATGTCTTAGTTATGACAAAGAACGTGAGGTCCCCAAACATTCATGTTATGAAGTGTGAATGTAGATGACTTAATACTTTTCTTTTTTTTGAGATGGAGTCTCCCTCTGTCACCCAGGCTGGAGTGCAGTGGTACGGTCTCAGCTCACTGCAAGCTCTGCCTCCCAGGTTCAAGTGATTTTCCTGCCTCAGCCTCCCAAGAAGCTGGCAGTACAGGCATGCGCCACCATGCCTGGCTAATTTTTGTACTTTTATGAGAAGGGATTTCGCTATGTTGGCCAGGCTGGTCTCAAACTCCTGACCACAGGTGACTTCGGCCTGCCTCAGCCTCCCAAAATGCTGGGGTTACAGGTGTGAGCCACAGTGTCCAGACAACTCTTGAACACAAACTGTAATAGTACTCTTTTTGTTATTTATTTCCATGTATGTCCCATATTAGATGGTAAAAGCCTTGTGCATATGGAGTGTAGAGGACAAGTTCACATCTTTTCCATATTTGTCTATTAGGAGAAGCTAATTAGAACATGTCTTAAATAAAAATATGTCATAGTAACTTAATGGCTAACAAAAAGGCTCAAATATTTAGGAGGAATAGACTCTTTACACTAAAATTATGTAATCACAATCTTAAGTTGATATATACTAGTATCTTGAACATCCTAGTTTGCAATTTATTACTTTGGAAAAGCAGCCAAGGTTTATATTAAAATACAGAAGCATGCTGGGTGCAGTGGCTCACACCTATAATCCTAGCACTTTGGGAGGTTGACACGGGTCAACCTGAGGTCATGAGTTTGAGACCAGCCTGCCTAACATGGCAAAACCCCTTCTCTACTAAAAAATACAAAAAATTAGCCCAGTGGGGTGGCCTGTAATCCCAGCTACTCGGGAGGCTGAGGCAGGAGAATCGCTTGAACCCAAGAGGCAGTGGTTGCAGTAAGCCGAGACTGTGCCACTGCACTCCAGCCTAGGCAACAAGAGTAAAACTCTGTCTCAGGAAAAAAAAAAAAAAAAAAAAAAAAAAAGCAGAAGCCGAGATTTCTGGTAACAACCAGATTAAGCAAGCCACATTATATATACATGGCAGAAATGCAAATCAATCTAAGAAAACTTCATGTTTAATTGCTGAGAAAAAGGATATGGCTGTTTTCCACATAGTTCTTGTTTTCTTTTGGGAAAAGTATCTGTTTTATGCAACTACTGGATTATTTTCTGAACAATGTGTGTGCTATAAATTTCTTTTATTGAAAGGCATGTAGGTAGGGTCAGCTTGAGCAACTTCACACCTCCAGCAGTAAAAAGGACAACAAAAAGAATCTTTTTTTTTTAAATCTCCAAAATGCAACTTACAAAGGTGATAAATTGATTACAGTAGATAACAGAACTTCATTTATCTAGATTAATTCCAAACTAGTGATATATTTGATTTTCAGTTTTGGTTTTCTGCCTATTTAAAGAGTGTAAGCTTCTGAAAAGTATTACTCTCAATGGATAATCCAAATATGCATTAGAAAACATGTAAAAGGGCTAGGTGCAGTGGCTCATGCCTGTAATCTCAGCATTTGGGGAGACTGAGGAAGGTGGATCATGAGGACAGGAGTTCGAGACCAGCCTGGCTAATATGGTGAAACCTTGTTTCTACTAAAAATACAAAAAAAATTAGCTGGGTGTGGTGATGCACACCTGTAGTCCCAGCTACTCGGGAGGCTGTGACAGAAGAGCTTGAACCCAGGAGCTTGAACCCAGGAGGCAGAGGTTGCAGTGAGCCAAGATCACTCCACTGCACTCCAGCCTGGGTGACAGACTGAGATTCCATCTCAAAAAACAAAAACAAAAACAAACAACAATAACAAAAGAAGTGTAAAAGATAAACAGGTAAAGTCATTTTCATGACTAGGTCAATTCTGTAAATTCAACATATAGTAATCCTAGCCATAAATCATCTTAAAGAGTTAAGACATAAGATGTTACGTTAGTAATACAAAACAACCGGTTAAGAAAAGTTCAGGTATAGCTCTGGTATTCTAGATGTTTCCTGATGGTTGATCTGTAGTTTTTGTTTGAGAGGGGTAAAAAAAAGTCCTGAATTTTAATCTCAATGATTTCTGAACAAGAAAATTTACAAGAAAATTACAAAAATATCAGCATTTAAAATATCTAGAAGTACTTATGATTTTTCTTCCTTAATTACAAATTGCATTTTTTTTTCTGAAATTAGGTATGTGATGATTACTGCTAACAGATTTCAACTACCTAACTTAATAAAATATCTTCATGAGTTTTCTAACAACTATTTCTAGGAAGCCAAAATATTCCAAACTTGTCTGAAGAAAGTACTGCAATAATGCAATGATCAAGACATTTCACCTGATAAGACTATAACTTCCCTTTTGATATTTAAATAGCTTCTATTAAAGCATTCTATGATTCTTCACTAAAGTTCTCTGGAAAGCTGTTACAAAGAAGAATGTGATTAAATAAAAATGCTTCAGAAAGGAGAGGTAGAAAAGACAAGTATTATTATCAAATGAGTTAATATTAAATTAGCAAATTTTTCATATGAAATACAAGTTTTAATAGAACTTATTACAATTTACTAGCGATATAGATTTTTTAATACTTTCCTCCCCTTCACCCCAAACCATGTTGTACAAGCAGGACAGTATAGCATTTCAAAGTCATCTAGCTTTAAAAAAATAAGTCACTTATTTGTTCTCTAAAAGAGGTTATCATTCTGAATCTCTTTTCCATAAGAAACTCTTAATTATAAACAACATTTATCAAATCTATATAATGTTTCCTTTAAAATATTTACTTCACTGACTATATGTTTTCTACTGTTATAAAATACAATTTTCCAGCAATTATTTATGGGCTATCACTATGGTGACTACAACTTAATAAATCACACTAAAAGACATTTACTTTAAAAACAGCAAACTTCCGTAATACTTTATAATAGGCACCTCAAAAACTACCATAGATGTAAAAAATAAAACTTTTAAAATCTATACAATTATATATCGAGGTTTCTGTATATATTATACATGTGTGTACACATACACACACATATAAAATACATATAATCATTAGGTTTGAAAATGAACAAAAAGTGGATTTTTTCAGAAAGTCTTTTTTAAACTCAAACATTGGGAAACCCTTTAAACATTTAACAATTTTAATAAAAATTTCTGTATAATACTAAGCAGTTTTATCTACACATATAAAATGTAATAGGAGTAGTGTTTAAAACTACAGAACTCCTTAGTATTTAATGGCAGTTACGTCTGGAAAAAAACAACATTCCATTCACAAATATTTTCAGGCAATAAATACGTATTTATAAATAGTGTAAATCTGTATCAAGTTTAGAAACAAAAATCACAAATCTGAAGTTTATTTCTTTGTCTATGTGCAATCCATTATCTTTGTATATGGGCTATTAATATTTAAAAAAATTATTTTGGAACCACAAATGTAATCATCATGGCCTCAAAACACACAAAAACATAAAGCAGTAAAAAACTTCCTCAGATAATAGTACACATTTTTTAAAAGCTGATCGAGGAGAGATTTAAATTTGCTATCTTATGAAGAAATGACCAGCTAGGAAAGTGTTTTTAACTAAGGAAAATTCTGCAGGGTTAAAATACAAATGAATATTAATTCATCAGCCCAGAAATAGAGAAACATAAAAAAGGCTATCTTCAAATCAGTATTCTGTGTCACTTTGACAGTTTGTCATACGTACACAAAACATATGATTAATATTATTTTTCTGAAGTACAGCTGGATCAGCATGTTAAGTCCTGAAGCAGAGGCAGCACTGTGTCCAGTTGCTTGACATACTATTCTTGGAAGGTTGCATAGACATAGCTTTTAGTCAACAGTTTTATGAAACAGCTACAAAACCAGTGGTGCAGAAATTTCCTGAAGAGCAGAAATAATCTCATTTAATATTCATGGAACTATATCAAGATGAGGATGATAATGAAAGAGCCTAGAAATAAAAGTTAAGATTTTGTTATATAAATCCTTAATAGTGTTTGCTAGCTTATGACTATAAAAGACAGCCTTTTTATGAAGTGAGTTTACAAGATACATGAAATCTCAACAGTTTCCTAAGAGAGATGCTCTTTTCTTTTTTTTCTTTTTGAGACAGAGTTTTGCTCTTGTTGCCCAGACTGGAGTGCAATGGCGCGATCTCGGCTCACCGCAACCCCTGCCTCTTGGATTCAAGCAATTCTCGTGCCTCAGCCTCCGAGTAGCTGGGATTATAAACATCCACCACCTTGCATGGCCAATTTTGTATTTTTAGTAGAGATGGGGTTTCTCCATGTTGGTTAGGCTGGTCTTGAACTCCTGACCTCAGGTGATCTGCCCGCCTTGGACTCCCAAAGTGCTGGGATTACAGGCATGAGACACTGTGCTCAGTTGAGATGCTCTTACTTTCTTCATTAGAATCAGTTAAGAGTGCGGCGCTATTACCTCCATTTTTCATCATTTAGTGAACAACGTTTGGAATACTGTTAAAAGTTAACCAATTTTTTAGATTGCTAAAAGAAAAGTTGTGTGGAAAAATAATTTTAAAGTAAATTAAAATTTCACTAGCAATTGGCTTATGAAAATGCCACAGCTAGATGACACTGAACATATTTTTCATGAGGCTTATATATCATATAATCTAGTCAAGCAAGCTCCATCAAGTAGTGCTATCAGGCAAACTCTTCTGGAATCTTTAAACCACAAAGTACATGAAAAAAACCCACACATTTCTTTCAGATAATTACTACAGAAGAATTAAGTAACCTACATGTACAAAGGTTTTATAAGTTATGTAAGTAACATAAAAACTAAAAAATATTCTAAAAACATACAGACATTTACAAATGTAATTAGTGTAACTATTCTTTGGGGGCATTCTCACTGAGAAGCAAAAATGGTAATAAACAGTTTCATATAGAAAAACTAACGTGAAATACGAGGATGGCTACTAATATTTTTCCTTACAAAGTATATACTGCACCAATGGAAAATTTAAGTTTCTTCTTAACACATTTTTATCAGTTAGCAAAGTCAAAGACCATTGCTTTAAACCCACCTAATTAAGTGTACTCACGTGTTAATGACTTACTAGTGTAAATTGATCATAAACTTGGATTAGGTCCTCCATTTTGTACTGTTCGAGCACCACAAAATTTTCCAAACTTTTGCTTGTTTTTCGTGCACAATCATGGCAATGTACTATGTAGGTTTTTTGAGTATTGCTTTCATTAGTGACAAAAAGCAGATTAAAAACCTCCACCTATATTAAATAAATAAATAAACAAAAAGTATTGGACAGTGATATCTGAATTTATTTCAGCACTTTAACCATGGGGATTCTACTTCACATGGAACTGGACAATGATTTTTGGTTAAATCCAAGTACTTAAAAAAACAAAACAAGACTATGGTTGTGAGTTTGAGACACTAGGTTTTGTTTTGTAGCACACCCAGAGAAAAGGATAATGTTAGATATTTAGAGATTGTCTTTAAAGAAATTAAATAGTCATTATGACCATTCACTAAAGTGTAATTCAAGGTTTGATAAAGGTCAGTGTATTTTTATTTTACCAAAATACCAGTGCACCATCAGATAAAAGTGACCATTATTTGCTTTTCACTTTTCTGTGAGAGTACTCATAGTTGTTCTGTGTCTGAAGGACTGCGTTCCCCAAATGACTGAGTCCACAGTCATTCATTTTTGATGTCTAGGGCACATTATTGTGGTTAATTTTCACTGAAGCTAAAACTACAATTAAAAAAACTTGGAATATGCATGTAATGTGATATTTTTCAAGATAATGAAACTGATAGGTGAATAACAAAAAGTGTTTTAAGCCTCATATTAAAAAAAGTACAAACAAAAGTGTATTCATGAACATTAATCTAACAAGAGAAAACATGTCTTTCAATTTCTTAGTCAAGCATCTTCAGACTTCTGCTTGATTTCTTCAGTTAAAAAAGCCAAATTGGCCGGGCGCGGTGGCTCACGCCTGTAATCCCAGCACTTTGGGAGGCCGAGGCGGGCGGATCACGAGGTCAGGAGATCGAGACCATCCCGGCTAAAACGGTGAAACCCCGTCTCTACTAAAAATACAAAAAATTAGCCGGGCGTAGTGGCGGGCGCCTGTAGTCCCAGCTACTTGGGAGGCTGAGGCAGGAGGATGGCGTGAACCCGGGAGGCGGAGCTTGCAGTGAGCCGAGATCCCGCCACTGCACTCCAGCCTGGGCGACAGAGCGAGACTCCGTCTCAAAAAAAAAAAAAAAAAAAAAGCCAAATCCTCATTATCTTAAGTCACTTTAAACAGCTGTTAAAATTCCTGAGTTCATGAAGCTCTCTATTACTATCAACAGGAGTAACAGTGCTCTAGCAAGCTAGGCAGCAAATTTAGGATTCTTCTACTTGTCATAATTCCCAGATTGGATCAACTGTGCTGGTAATTTTACAACTTAATAAACACTTTTGAACATCTCCCTTTTTTTTACATTCTTAAGGTTATGTTCTAGTCTAGGACTTTCATTAATACCTCCTAAGACCATTCTAATAGCGTCCACACTGACTTGTTTGCTTTCTATCTCCACTCTATCCAATTATCAGCTGTTGGGAGCAGGATCCCCAAAATCTGGCCATAAACTGGCCCCAAAACTGGCCATAAACAGAATCTCTGCAGCACTGTGACATGTTCATGATGGCCATTACGCCCATGCTGGACGACTGTGGGTTTACAGGAATGAGGGCAAGGAACACCTGGCCGGCCCAGGGTGGAAAACCACTTAAAGCCATTCTTAAGTCACAAACAATAGCATTAGCGATCTGTGCCTTAAGAACATGCTCCTGCTGCAGTTAACTAGCCCAACCTATTCCTTTAATTCAGCCCATCCCTTGATTTCCCATAAGGGATACTTTTAGTTAATTTTATATCTATACAAACAATGCTAATGACTGGCTTGCTGTTAATAAATATGTGGGTAAATCTCTGTTCGGGCTCTCAGCTGTGGAGGCTGTGAGACCCCTGATTTCCCACTTCACACCTCTATATTTCTGTGTGTGTCTTTAATCCCTCTATATAAGCTGGGTTAGGGCCTCCCCAACCAAGCTGGTCTCGGCAAGTGGTGCCCATTCGTGGGGGCTCGAATCCAGGTTGAAGGGACGATGGAGTGATGGTCGCAATGGAAAACTAGCTGGAGGACACCCGAGTACTCTTAAAGCAATCCCCGTGGTGAGTATGAAGGGGAGCTTGGAAGTATCAGGGTAACAACGAGACAAGTGTGGGGTGTGGTTCATTCCACCTTGGAACTTTTTCACACTGATCATGAGGAGGGAGAGTATAGTGAAATAACAGAAGAGGTTACAGAGCATGTTTATGTACCAGCTAAAGCTAAAGCGGCCAAGGAAGGTGAGGTTCATCCCTACCCTTCTGCACCCCCTATTATCTTGAAGAAAAAGACCCTCCAGATCTTTCTTTTCCAGAGGACACTGGGTGAAAAGTAGTTGCCCCAGTGACTGTTTGGGCAGCGCCTTGAGCAACCGCTCTTAGTTCTATTCAGGCGGGAATTCAGCAAGCTAGATGAGAGGGTGATATAGAGGCTTGGCAGTTCCCTGTTAGAATGCACCCCCTAGATCAACAGGGAAATATTATAGCTACATTTGAGCCTTTTCCTTTTAAATTACTCAAAGAATTTAAACAAGCTATAAATCAGTATGGACCAGGTTCTCCTTTTGTAATGGGACTACTGAAGAATGTTGCTGTTTTTAAAGAATGTTGCTGTTTTCAGTAGGATGAAAACTACTTACTTGTCTAACTCCTTACTCGAGCTTGTCTTACTCCTGCTTAGTTCTTACAATTTAAAACTTGGTGGGCAGATGAAGCTTCCATTCAGGCTGCTCACAATGCCCCGGCCCAACCTCAAATTAATGTAACTGCAGACCAGCTTTTGGGGGTTGGTGGCTGGGCTGGTTTAGATGCACAACTGGTCATGCGGGATGATGCCACAGAACAGCTTAGAGGAGTGTGCATTAGAGCTTGGGAAAAAATCACTTCAGGTGGGAAACAATACCCTGCCTTTAGTGCTATAAAACAGGGACCAAGAGAACCATATGTGGATTTTATAGCTTGGTTACAGGAGTCTCTTAAAAAGATGATTGCAGATTTGGCTGCTCAGTATATAGTGTTGCAGTAATCAGCTTTCGACAATGCTAATCCCAACTGCCAGGCTGCTCTGAGACCTATCAGAGGGAAAGCACATTTAGTTGATGATATCAAGGCCTGTGACAGTATCAGAGGTAATCTGCATAAAGCTACTTTGTTGGCACAGGCAATGGCAGGACTGAGAGTGGATAAAGGAAATACTCCATTTCCTGGAGCTTGTTTTAACTGTGGGAAGCACGGTCACACTAAAAAACAATGTAGAAAAAAATCAGCGAGTCAGGCTGCCAGACGGGAAAAAAGATAACTGCTGATCCTGAAATATGTCCAAAATGTAAAAAAGGAAAACATTGGGCTAATCATTGTCACTCTAAGTTTGATAAAGAAGGGAACCTGATTTCGGGAAACGCCATGAGAGGCCCATCCCAAGCCCTGTTCTAAACTGGGGCATTTCCAGCTCAGGCCATTCCCTTACCCCCATATAACGTCTGTCCCCCGCCACAGCTGGTAGTACTGCAGTAGATTTATGCTGCACAAAAGCTGTGAGCTTTCTGCCTCGGGAACCCCCTCAAAAGGTCAATAGGAGTCTGTGGACCCTTGCCAGTGGGGATAATAGGATTCCTTTTAGGAAGGTCTAGTTTAGGTTTAAAAGGGGTACAAATACATTAGTCATTGATTCAGATTACTAAGGGGAAATTCAAATTGTTATACCTACTTCTGTTCCCTGGAAAGCAGAGCCAGGAGAGCGTATAGCACAGCTCCTGATTGTGCCATATGTGGGAATGGGAAAAAGTGAAATTAAATGAACAGGAGGATTTGGAAGCACAAATAAACAAGGCAAAGCAGCTTATTTGGTGAATCAAATTACTGATAAACGTCCTACCTGTAAAGTAACTATTCAGGGAAGAGAATTTAAAGGTTTGGTAGATACAGGAGCGGACATTTCAATCATTTCTATACAGCACTGGCCATCCACGTGCCCAGTTCAAACCGCTCAATTTAACATAGTTGGACTTGGTAAAGTCCCTGTAGTATATCAAAGTAGTTATATTTTGCATTGTGAAGGGCCCGATGGACAACCTGGGGCTATTCAACCAATTATAACTTCTGTACCTATATATTTATGGGGAAGAGATTTATTACAACAATGGGGAGCACAAGTTCTAATTTCAGAACAATTATATAGCCCTCAAAGTCAACATACAATGCATAAAATGGGTTATGTCCCTGGTATGGGACTAGAAGAAAATTTGCAAGGTTTGAAAGAACCACTTCAAGTGGAAAGACAAAATTCTTGCCAAAGATTAGGAAATAATTTTTGATAGTGGCCATTGTTAAGCCTCTAGAACCTATACGTTTAAAATGGTTAACAGATAAGCCAATTTAGATAGAACAATGGCTGCTAAGTAAAGAGAAACTGGAGGCTTTAGAGAAATTAGTTACTGAACAATTAGAAAACAGGCACATAGCTCCAACATTTTCCCCTTCGAATTCTCCAGTTTTCCTAATTAAAAAAAGATCAGGTAAATGGAGAATGCTGACTTAAGAGCCATCAATTCAGTTATACAACCTGAGAGCATTACAGCCAGGATTGCCTTCTCCTGCTATAATTCCAAAAAATTGGCATTTAATAGTCACAGATTTAAAAGACTGTTTCTTTACTACCCCTTTAGCTGAGCAAGACTGAATGGTTTGCATTTACAATTTCTGCGGTAAACAACCTGCAGCCTAAGCGTTATCACTGGAAAGTGTTGTCACAAGGCATGTTAAACAGTCCAACAATTTGCCAGAAGTATGTAGGGCAAGCAATTGAACCTACTCGTAAAAAATTTTCAGTGTTATATTATGCACTATATGGATGATATCCTTTGTGCTGCCCCCACTCGAGAAATATTACTCCAATGTTATGATCACTTGCAAAATGTGATTTCTCATGCTGGCTTAATTAATAGCTCCTGACAAAATTCAGACTACTCCCTACTCCTACTTGGGGACCTTAGTAAATGACACTACCATTGTGCCACAGAAAGTAACCATATGTAGGGATCAATTTAAAACATTAAATTACTTTCAAAAATTACTAGAGGACATTAATTGGATACAACCTGCTCTAGGCATTGCTACCTATGCTATGAGTAATCTGTTTTCTATCCTTAGATGAAATCCTAGTCTCACTAGCCCTCAGCAATTAACAAAGGAGGCTGAGACAGAGTTACAAGTGACTGAGAAGCAAGTCAATAAAGCTCAAATAAATAGAATAGATCCAGAGAAGACTCTATATTTACAAATGTTTTCAACTCGGCATTCACCTACTGGTGTTATTGTCCAAGAACAGGACTTAGTAGAGTGGCTTTTTCTTCCACTTTTTCTTTCCATTTAGGAAAATGTCAATAATTTTCCTAAAACAAAGCTGTTTCAGTTTTTGAAATTAACTAATTGGATTCTCCCTAAAATAACTAAATTTAAACCAATTGAAGGTGCTGAGAATGTTTTCACAGATGGGTCTAGTAACGGTAAAGCTTCTTATTTTGGATTAAAAGGTAAAGTTTTCCAGACGCCCTATACTGCAGCTCAAAAAGTGGAGCTGGTAGCGGTAATTGAGGTATTGACTGCTTTTGATATGCCTGTTAGTATGATTTCTGATTCTACATACGTGGTTCATTCCACACAGTTAACTGAAAATGCTCAGTTACGACTTCATACAGATGAACAACTGATGACTTTATTTTCTCAACTGCAAACAGCAGTTAGAAGTAGAATGCACCCTTTTTACATCACTCACATTAGGGCTCATACGCCTCTTCCAGGACCTTTGAAGGGAATCAAATGGCTGATCACCTAGTTGCTAATGCAATATCTAATGCTAGACACTTTCACAATTTAACCCATGTTAATGCCTCTAGTCTCAAACACAGATACAGCATTACCTGGAAAGAAGCTAAAGCTATTATCCAGCGATGCCCAACTTGCCAAATGGTACATTCTTCATCTTTTACAGGAGGAGTTAATCCTTGAGGATTGGAACCTAACTCTCTTTCGCAAATGGATGTCACATGTTCCCTCGTTTGGGAAGCTAGCTTACGTACATGTATGCATGGACACCTTTTCTCACTTTGTCTGGGCTACATGCCAATCAGGAGAGTCTTCTGCCTGTGTTAAACGTCATCTTTTGCAGTGTTTTGCGGTGATGGGCATTCCAGCTTCTACTACAACAATAATGCCCCAGGTTATACTAGCCAAGCTCTAGCTACATTTTTCTCTATGTGGAATATTAAACGCATTACTGGTATCCCATACAATTCTCAAGGACAAGCCATAGTGGAAAGAATGAATCTCTCCCTAAAACAGCAGTTGCAAAAGCAGACTGAGGGAGACAGAGAATATGGAACCCCACAGATGCAACTGAATCTAGCATTATTAACTTTAAATTTTTTGAGCCTGCCCAAAGGCCAGATGTTATCAGCAGCTGAACAGCATCTACAGAAACCAGCTGTAAAGACAGAAGCAGAACAACTGATTTGGTGAAGAGATCTGATTACAAAAAGTTGGGAAATAGGTAAAATAATAACTTGGGGTAGAGGTTATGCTTGTGTTTCTCCAGGCCAAAATTACAGCCAATTCTGACACCATCAAGACACCTGAAACCTTATCATGAGCCAGATGCCGAGGAAGAGACTCCGGGAGGATCCTGAGGATCCCCCGGTTACAGCCATGTTGAGACTGACACTGAGGAGGACCCCAACTGTCATGAGCAACACCCGTCGAACACAGCCAACCCCCTGGGGACAGACCAAGAAGCTGTCATAGACGGCAGAAGAAAACCTGGGGAAAGCAGGACAACCAGTCACAATGAGTAATTTAATGGTAGCTATGATAGTGGTTATCATCACTGCTGTGAGTATTCCTTCAATAATGGCTGACACAGAGAACAATTATACTTACTGGGCATATTTATCAATCTTGGCTGGCAATAATGCCTGGATGCAATCACTCTATGACACAGTTACACACGCTTTCTGATCTCAGTATTTACCATAATAAATGTGCTCCTATAATTGAGGCATACTGCCCCCAAAAACTTATTTGTAAACACAATTGGATCTTGCCAGAAATAATGAACATACTTGTTTGGGAAGATTGCACTGCAGAACAGGCAGAGGTGCTGCACAACAATTCCTATGGAATCATCATTGATTGATCCACTGAGGGGATGTTTAGCTTGAATTGCACCTCTCAGTCTGTGTGCCATGGCCACACTATGTTCAGCTGGTCTGAACAAAACGGTCAGATGGTAGTGATGATAAGAAGTACACCAAAAGTTCCTATTATCTGGAACTATGGCAGTATAGTGGCACCTCAACCTCAAATGATATGGCTCATTGTAGGAGCTAAACATAAGGATTTGTAGAAACTATTAATAGCTCTTAATAAGATCAAAATTTGGGAAAGAATAAAAAAGCATCTAGAAAGACACTCTACAAACTTGTCTTTGGATATTGCAAAATTAAAGAACGAATATTTAAAACATCCCAGGCACACCTGACCTTAATGCCAGGAACTGGAGTGCTTAAAAGCTGCAGACAGATTAGCAGCTGGTAACCCATTAAAATGGATCAAAACACTGGGAAGCTTTGTGACTTCAATGATGATTATGCTTTTAATCTGTGTTGTTTGTCTTTGTCTAGTCTGCAGATGTGGATCCTGACTCCTGCGAGAAATAGCTCACTGTGACAAAGCTGCCCTTGCTTTTATTGATTTGCAAATCAAAGGAGGGGGACATGTTGGGAGCAGGCCCCCTAAACCTGGTCATAAACTGGCCCCAAAACTGGCCAGAAGCAGAATCTCTGCAGCATTGTGACATGTTCATGATGGCCACAACACCCACGCTGGAAGACTGTGGATTTACGGGAATGAGGGCAAGGAACGCCTGGCCCACCCAGGGTGGAAAACCGCTTAAAGGCATTCTTAAGCCACAAACAATAGCATTAGTGATCTGTGCCTTAAGGACATGCTCCTGCTGCAGTTAACTAGCCCAACCTATTCCTTTAATTCGGCCCATCCCTTCGTTTCCCATAAGAGATACTTTTAGTTAAGTTAATATCCATAGAAACAATGCTAATGACTGGCTTGCTGTTAATAAATACGTGGGTAAATCTCTGTTCGAGGCTTTCAGCTCTGAAGGCTGTGAGGCCCCTGATTTCCCACTTCACATCTCTGTATTTCTGTCTGTGTGTCTTTAATTCCTCTATGTAAGCTGGGTCAGGGTCTCCCCAGCCGAGCTAGACTCGGCAATCAACCACCGTTTTTTCTGAAACACATAACATAGTCCTCTGCTCAGAAACTTAAAAGTTTTCGTTTATGTCAGGATATATATCATATTCCTTAAAATGAATCAAGATGATTTGCAAACTACAGACACAGCCTACCCTGATGGACTTTAAGAATTTGCCATCTACTTTCCAGCCACATTGAAATAATTAATTACCCTTTACTGAATACACTACTCCTTTTCCCATCCAATGTTCATAAAGCCTAATGATGTTCTATAAATCTCCAATTATTGCTATTTTTGTCTGCTGCAATCAGAATATTCTTCAAGAACTCAAATGTTAAGTTTGTGTGCTTGCAAGGAGAAAAACAGCAGAAAAATAATTTTCCTCAGTGTTTCTGTAGTAGTTTGTATTTATATTTAACCTCATATTCATCAGTTAGATGTGCATTACAATGTGTTGTTTATAGTTTGCCTCTGCAAGCAGAATGTAAACTTCTCCAGGGCAAGCAACACATGCTTATTCTGCACATCTTGTAAGCCTTAGTCAGAAGAGAAAAGTCAATAATGATTTATGAAATGAACCAGAAAGGACTTCATCCTGATCTGCCTGAATATTGAATTAAATCCTGTTTGTAGGCATCTGTGTACTTGCTATAGACTCTTCCTAGTTTAAAGTGAGATGATTATCATTTGGATAAGGATTTACTAAATAAATTCTTTATTTAGTAGATCTCCTTTATTTAGGAGATACTTTTAATAGATCTAGTTAGTGAAATATTGTATCAGATGAGAACTTAGCCTAATAGTTTTAATAGTCAATTTCAATCAAAAGCATTACATAAAAGTATAGGTAAATTTAAAATAAAGCAACAACAATTCAAAACCTAGAGAATCCAAAACAAAACAACTATCAGTAGAAACAGTTACTCACCTCACAAATGCTACAGTAATGAGCTGGTTCATCATTTGTCCGCCCATGCCATATAACCTCTTTTCCTGCTGCAACAAGAGCTTCTCTCAATGTCTGATATTGCTTCAGAATTTTCAAAAGACAATACCTATTGTGGGAAAAAACTATTTGTGAGAGTAACTACTGAATATTTTACATAAAAGGTATACCAATTAGAAATAACTTTGTGAATCTGGGTTCTAAAGTCTATTCACATGGTAATTTTTCTTTTCCTCAAATTTTCAAATGTGCATGCTGGACGATGACAATATTAAAATATTTAAAGTTGAGAATAACTGACATTTGACTATAAAAATGCAATGATCATAATCTACAATAAACTCATCCCTAATTAAAGATATATTATTTATTTGGGCTCTAATTTGGACAAGTAAAATAACTTTTGTAAGAGTCAACTTCTTCATCTTTGAAATAAAAGTTCAGAATTACAGGTTGGAATTTTTATGATTATAGAAAGGCAAGAAGGTTGCCTATACCCTCACAAGCAGTTATATAATAGATTTTAAAACTTTGGCACCACAGCAGATAATTATCTATGAATATGGTCACTACAAGATACAAAGTTAGTTCCAATATAATAACAAAGAAAAAAAAGTATTACTTGCTGAATTTTAATTTGAAAATGGTATAGTAGAATCCTTCATTATTATTCACACTGACTTTTCTTATAATTTATACCTTTCCTACACATACTTGTGAGGATAACAATATATTGCAAACAATTACAAATACTGCTGATTTTCCTGTAATTTGCTGTCACTGCTCAAAACTGCCTGCTAAAGTTTCTGTGAATCTAAGTTTTTCAAAGCAGAGGTGGTATAGGTGATACTCTAAGGCACATTTCAACTCTAAACTTATCTTAGAAAGCATGATATGGGTTTAATAAAAATGCCATTAACACCTTTTGTAAACATATAACCTCCTGGAATCAGGAGAGTCTGAGCTAATTTGGAGCTTGTTGCTCTGTTACACTACAGATACGGACTTGAAATTATCAGTATATGGATTACATACCAAATATTTGGGGGGAAAATGATCATATTATCAGTATGTAAAATTATTTTCCACATCTGTTTATTATCTTTCTTTCCCATGAGTGTAAGCATCATGAGCATGAGGCTTTATCTGTTTTAGTTTTGTAAACTGTTGTGGGACTAAATAACAACAGTTAAATTTTACAATATACATTAAGTTTTATATAAATTTAAATTTACGTAAAATTTTACAATATACATTAATGGCAGTTTTAATTTCCTTCATTTATATTTTCTTGCCATTTGTTACTTGCCAGGTTAAACTATTACTTGTTATGTTTCTTTTCCTTACTTTTTAAATCAGAATTCCTCCTATAAGTAACCCTGGGGCAAAATCATTAGGGATATTACATACAAAATATGCTAACTTATTTTAAAACATAAGTACAGCAATATAAGCCTAATGTGGCACGACAAATTCCTTAAGTATCATATAAAATACATAATTTTCAGTTTGCCTTTAGCAATTATGCCTACTTAGAAACAATGCCATATTTCTGTCTATATTTGAATTTCACCAGGAAAGTCTTATTGTGAGTTTTTGTGTGTATGAAAGATGTGCCAGGGGAGACAAGTAAAAAATTCAGTTCCTGTCAAAAAGTAAGAATATAAACCACACTGGATCTGTGGCACCTACTGATGTCTTCCTGCCATCCCTCTTCTACATGATTTCACTTCTGGGTATAGGGATATTACTGCATATGTTTTCAAAATAGTGCTTCAAAACATGTCATATTTCACAAGAAAATAATGCCTCAAATTTTATGAATTTGTGTTTTTGCAAATTCAACCGTGTTTCCAAATGAGAAAATAAACTGCCACAAAGAGGCAGCAATCATGAAGGCTTAGTACCATACACAAGACATGGAATTGGTACTTTACATTAGATATGCCACACAATTCTCGTAACAGCTCAGTGCAAGAAGCATCCATACCCATTTTACTAAGTGGGAAATGTGGGAGTCAAAAAGGTAAAGTTTGCATGATGTTACAAGGCTATTTAATTAGGGATTAGGGATTTCCAAACTAAGTAATTTCAGGCTTCCTCTTACTATGTCTTCCATACTCTCTTCTGCTCACCATCTGTCAATTTTTGTACCTACTCACCCCACCACCCTGTGCCATTGTCATGAAGATAAAATCCTTGGGGCTAAAACAACATTACGTTCCCCCAAATAATGAGGGTTAGTTTTTTCTTTTTTTAGATGGAGTTTTTTTTTTTTTTTTTTTTGAGATGGAGTTTCGCTCTTGTTACCCAGGCTGGAGCGAAATGGCGTGATCTTGGCTCATGCAACCTCTGCCTCCTGGGCTCAAGCAACACTCCTGCCTCAGGCTCCCAAGTAGTTGCGATTACAGGTGCCCGCCACCATGCCCAGTGAATTTCTGTATTTTTAGTAAAAACGGGGTTGCACAATGTTGGCCAGGCTGGTCTCAAACTCCTGACCTCAGGTGATCTGCTTGCCTTGGTCTCCCAAAATGCTGGGATTACAGGCGTGAGCCACCATACGTGACCATAATGAAGCTTATTCTGTGCAATCAGTTTGGTTCTATTTGTTTCTCAACAGATGAACTTTCATTTCCAGTAATTCTCATTATTTTGACAATTACATCACAGTTTTTATTGTATTACTTTATACTCAGTTTTGAAATTTCATATAAAAACGAGGCAAAACACTACAAAGGAATAGCGCTTTGTTGCTAGAAGTAAACACTAAGAATGAATAGTATTTCTATAGACACTACAGAAACAAATAGCTGAATATTACTAATATAAAATAATAATATTGTCATTATATATTACAACAGCCATTCCAGAAGGAGACTCTCTGGAATGATGGTGGAGAATTATAAGACCCAAAAGTGAAATCTTAAAAGCTGACTGCTGTTATATTAACAATATTGAATAACTCAATTGTGATTGCTCCATGTTCTGATGTATTCTCCTTCAAAGAAATTTTTATTGCTTACCAATTCAGAAGGCAGCAGTAGGAAATGAATAAAGAACAACAACAATTTTGAGAGGTAGAGGCTTTTAAGGAGACCACATAAATGAGAATCTGATTCAATTAAAGGGCATGGAAGAATACATAGAAAGTAATAGTATTAAGGGAAAGAATATTTAAAAGATTCAAGATAAATTTCAAGACTTGTTTTAACATAAACTGTCTGCTTTGGCTAATCCTTGAAACAGATTTCATCTGAAGAGAACTGAATGGCTTATAAAGAGTCACAAAAATGTAGTGTTGACATTTCTTCCTTTTGCTCAATTTGAATAGATTTACCCTATAACAATTACAAATTCAATTTAAAAAATATAAAGGAAGGGAAATGAATAGGCATATTGTGGCCTTCTGTTAAGGCATAACACACCAGGAATACTGAGACGCCTAAAAGGCCACAGGATTTAGACAAAATCACTTTGTTAAAGTTATATATTTTACAATAATCTGCTCTGAAGAAAAGTGGGAAAAAAATAGAAGCTGGCTGGTTACATAGGTACACACATGCCATGGTGGTTGGCTGCACACATCAACCGGTCACCTACATTAGGTATTTATCCTAATGCTATTCCTCCCCTAACCCCCCACTCCCGACAGGCCCTGGTGTGTGATGTTCCCCTCCGTGTCCATGTGATCTCAATGTTCAACTCCCACTTAGGAGTGAGAACACGCAGTGTTTGGTTTTCTGTTCTTGTGTTAGTTTGCTGAGAATGATGGTTCCCAGCTTCATTCATGTAACTGTAAAGGGCATGAACTAATCCTTTTTTTTGGCTGCACAGTATTTCATGGTGTGTATGTGCCACGTTTTCTTTATCCAGACTATTATTGATGGGCATGTGGGTTGGTTCCAAGTCTTTGTTATTGTGAACAGTGCTGCAATAAATATATGTGCATGTGTTTTTACAATAGAATAATTTATAATCCTTTGGGTATGTACCCAGTAATGGAATTGTTGGGTCAAATAGTATTTATCATTCTAGATCCTTGAGGAACCACCACACTGTTTTCCACAATGGCTGAACTAATTTACACTCCCGCCAACAGTATAAAAACGTTTCTATTTCTCCACCTACTTGTGAGCATCGGTTGTTTCCTGACTTTTTAATGATCACCATTCTACGCGGTGTGAGATGGTATCTCACTGTGGTTTTGATTTGCATTTCTCTAATGATCAGTGATGATAAGCTTTTTTTCATGTCTGTTGGCCACATATCTTTTGAAAAGTCTCTGTTTATATCCTTAGCCCACTTTTTGAAGTTTTTTTTTCTTGTAAATTTGTAAAGTTCCTTGTAGATTCCAGATATTAGCCCTTTGTCAGATGGATAGATTGCAAAAATTTTTCTCCCATTCTGTAGGATGCCTATTGATTTTGCTGTGGAGAAAACTCTTTAGTTTAATTAGATCCCATTTGTCAATTTTGACTTTTGTTGACATTGCTTTTGGTGTTTTAGTCATAAAGTCTTTGCCCATGCCTATGTCCTGAATGGTATTGCCTAGGTTTTCTTCCAGGGTTTTTATGGTTTTTGGTCTTACGTTTAAGTCTTTAATCCATATGAGTTAATTTTGTATAAGGTGTAAAAAAGGGGTCCAGTTTCAGTTTTCTGCATATGGCTAGCCAGTTTTCCCAACACCATTTATTAAATAGGGCATACTTCCCTTATTGCTTGTTTTTGTCAGGTGTGTCAAGATCAGATGGTTGTAGATGTGAGGCGTTATTTCTGAGGCTTCTGTTCGGTTTCATTCATCTATGTATCTGTTTTGGTACCAGTACCATGCTGTTTTGGTTACTGTAGCCTTGTAGTATAGTTCAAAGTCAGGTAGTGTGATGTTTCCAGCTTTGTTCTTTTTGCTTAGGATTGCCTTGGCTATGTGGGCTATTTTTTGGTTCCGTATAAAATTTACAAGTAGTTTTTTCTAATTCTGTGAAGAAAGTCAGTGGTAGCTTGATGGGGATAGCACTGAAGCTATAAATTAATTTGGGCAGTATGGCCATTTTCTCAATGTTGATTCTTCCTATCCATGAGCATCGAATGTTTTTCCATTTGTTTGTGTCCTCTCTTATTCCGTTAAGCACTGGTTTTGTAGTTCTACTTGAAGAGGTCCTTCACATCCCTTGTAAGTTGTATTCCTAGGTATTAAATTCTCTTTGTAGCCGTTGTGAATGGGGAGTTCATTCATGATTTGGCTCTCTATTACTGGTGTACAGGAATGCCTGTATTTTTGCACATTGACTTTTCTTTCCTGAAACTTTGCTGAAGTTGCTTATCAGCTTTGGGAGATTTGGGGCTGAGATGATGGGGTTTTCTAAATATACAATCATGTCATCTGCAAACAGAGACAATTTGACTTCCTCTTTTCCAAACTGAATACCCTTTATTTCTTTCTCCTGCCTGATTGCCCTGGCCAGAACTTCCAACCCTATGTTGAATAGGAGTGGTGAGAGAGGGCATCCTTGTCTTGTGCTGGTTTTCAAAGGGAATGCTTCCAGTTTTTGGTCATTCAGTATGATATTGCTCATTCAGTTTATCATAAATAGCTCGATTATTTTGAGATACGTTCCATCAATACCTCGTTTACTGGGAGTTGTGAAGGGGTGTTGAATTTTGTTGAAGGCCTTTTCTGCATTTATTGAGATAATCATGTGTTTTTTGTCATTGGTTCTTTTATGTGATGGATTACGTTTATTGATTTGTGTATGTTGGCCGGGCGCGGTGGCTCACGCTTTCAGAAAGAATGGTACCAGCTCCTCTTTGTACCTCTGATAGAATTTGGCTGTGAATTTGTCTGGTGCTGAGTTTTTTTTGGTTGATAGGGTATTAATTACTGCCTCAATTTCAGAACTTGTTATTGGTCTATTCATGGATTCGATTTTCTTCCTGATTTAGTCTTGGGAGGGTGTATATGTCCAGGAATTTATTCCTTTTTTCTAGATTTTCTAGTTTATTTGCATAGAGGTGTTTATAGTATTCTCTGATTGTGGTTTGCATTTCTATGGGATCAGCGGTGATCTCCCCTTTATCATTATTTATTGCATCTATCTGATTCTTTTTCCTTATTAGTCTGGATAGTGGTCTATTTTATGGATCTTTTCAAAAAATCAGCTCCTGGATTCATTAATTTTTTGAAGAGTTTTTTGTGTTTCTATCTTCTTTAGTCCTGCTGTGAAGTTCCCGCCTTAGTTACTTCTTGTCTTCTGCTGGCTTTTGAATTTGTTTGCTCTTGCTTCTCTAGTTCTTTAATTGTGATGTTAGTGTGTTGAAGTTAGATTTTTCCTGCTTTCTCCTGTGGGTATTCAGTGCTAAAAATTTCCCTCTATACAACGCTTTAGCTGTGTCCCAGAGATTCTGGTATGTTGTGCCTTTGTTCTCATTGGTTTCAAAGAACTTCTTTATTTTTTTCCTTAATTTCGTTATTTACCCAGTAGTCATTCAGGAACAGGTTGTTCAGTTTCCATGTATTTGTGGGGTTTTGAGTGAGTTTCTAAAACCTGAGTTCTAATTTGATTGCACTGTGGTCTCAGAGACTGTTAAGATTTCCATTCTTTTTCATTTTCTGAGGTGTGTTTTACTTTCAATTATGTGGTCAGTTTCAAAGTAAGTGCAATGTGGTGCTGAGAAGAATGTATATTCTGTTGATTTGGGGTGGAGAGTTCCATAGATGTCTGTTAGGTCTGCTTGGTCCAGAGCTGAGTTCAAAGTCCGGAATATCCTTGTTAATTTTCTGTCTTGGTGATCTAATACTGACAGTGGGGTATTAAGGCCTTCCACTATTACTGTCACTACTATTATTGTGTGGGAATCTAAGTCTCTTTGTAGGTCTCTAAGAACTTACTTTATAAATCCAGGTGCTCTTGTATTGGCTGTATATATATGTAGGAAAGTTAGCTCTTCTGGTTGCATTGATCCCTTTACCAATATGTAATGCCCTTCTTTCTTTCTTTTGATCTTTGTTGGTTTAAAGTCTGTTTTATCAGAGACTAGGATTGCAACCCCTCCTTTTATCTGATTTCCATTTGTTTGCTAAATCTTCCTCCATCTCTCTCTTTTTTTTTGATCCTAAGTGTGTCTCAGCACAGGAGATGGGTTCTCCTGAATACAGCACACTGATAGGTCTTGACTGTCTATCCAATTTGCCAGTCTGTGTCTTTTTAATTGGGACATTTAGTCCACTATCATTTAAGGTTAATATTGTTATGTGTGAATTTGATCCTGTCATTATAATGCTAGCCCATTTAGTTAATGCAGTTTCTTCATAGTGTCGATGGTCTACAGAATTTGGTATGTTTTCGCAGTGGTTAGTTCCAGTTGTTCCTTTCTATATTTAGTGCTTCCTTCGGGAGCTCTTTTAAGGCAGGCCTGGTGGTGACAAAATCTCTCAGCATTTGCTTGTTTGTAAATGATTCTGTTTTCTCCCTTGCTTATGAAGCTTAGTTTGGCTGGATATGAAATTCTGTGGATATGAAATTCTGTGAAAACTACTTAAGAACGTTGAATATTGGCCCCCACTCTCTTTTGGCTCATAGGGTTTCTGCAGAGAGATCCAATGTTAGTCTGATGGGATTCTCTTTGTGGGTAACCTGACCATTCTCTGTGGCTGCCCTTAACATTTTTTCCTTCATTTCAACCTTGGTGAATCTGATGATTATGTGTCTTGGGGTTGCTCTCTCGAAGAGTATCTTTGTGGTGTTCTCTGGGTATTTCCTGAATTTGAATGTTGGGCTGTCTTGCTAGCTTGGAGAAGTTCTCCTGGATAATATCCTGGAGAGTGTTTTACAACTTGGTTCCACTCTCCCCCGTCACTTTCAGGTGTATCAATCAAATGTATGTTCGGTCTTTTCACATAGTCCCATATTTCTTGCAGACTTTGTTTATTCCTTTTCATTCTTTTTTCTCTAATCTTGCCTTCACATGTTATTTCATTAAGTTGTTTTCAATCTCTGATATGATTTCTTCCACTTGATCGATTCAGCTATTGATATTTGTGTAAGCTTCACGAAGTTCCCGTGCTGTGTTTTTCAGCTCCATCAGGTCACTTATGTTCTTCTTTAAACTGGTTGTTCTTGTTAGCAATTCGTCTAACCTTTTTTCAAGGTTCTTAGCTTCCTTGCTTTGGGTTAGAATATGCTCCTTTAGCTCACAGGAATTTGTTATTACCCACCTTCTGAAGCCTACTTCTGTCAGTTCATCAAACTCATGCTCTGTCCAGTTTTGTTCCCTTGCTGGTGAGGAGCTGTGATCCTTTGGAGGAGAAGAGGTGTTCTGGTTTTTGGAATTTTCAGCCTTTTTGGGCTGGTTTTTCCTCGTCTTCACTGATTTATCTAATTTTGATCTTTGATGTTGGTCACCTTCAGATGGGGTTTCTGTTTGGATGTTCTTTTTGTTGATGTTGATGCTATTCCTTTCTGCTTGTTAGTTTTCCTTCTAATATTCACCTCTGTTGCAGGTTTGCTGGAGTTTGCTGGAGGTCCACTCCAGACCTTGTTCACCTGGGTATCACCAGCGAAGGCTGCAGAACAGCAAAGACTGCTGCCTGCTCCTTCCTCTGGAAGCTTTGTCCCAGAGCGGCACTCATCAGATGCCAGCTGGAGCTCTGCTCTATGAAATGTCTGTCAATCCCTGCTGGGAGGTGTCTCCTAGTCAGGAGGCATGGGGTTCAGGGACCTACTTGGGGAGGCAGTCTATCCCTTAGCAGAGCTTGAGCACTGTGCTGGGAGATCTGCTGGTCTCTTCAGAGCCAACTGGCAGGGAACTGTTTAAGTGTGCCACCCCTTCCCCCAGGTGCTATGTCCCAGTGAGATGGGAGTTCTATCTATAAGCCCCTGATTGGTGTTGCTGCCTTTCTTTCAGAGATGCCCTGCCCAGAGAGGAGGAATCTAGAGAGGCAGTCTATAGCGGCTTTGTCGAGCTGCAGTGGATTCTGTCCATTCTGACCTTTCCAGAGGCTTTGTTTACGCTGTGAGGGGAAAACTGCCTACTCAAGCCTCAGTAATGGCAGACACCCCTCCCCACACCAAGCTCCAGTGTCCCAGGTTTACTTCAGACTGCTGTGCTGGCAGCGAGAATTTCAAGCCAGTGGATCTTAGCTTCCTGGGCTCCATGGGCTCTGCTAAGCTAGACGACTTGACTCCCTGGCTTCAGCCCCCTTTCCAGGGGATTGAACTGTTTTGTCTTGGTGGCCCTTCCAGGCTCCACTGTGGGCATGAAAAACAAAACAAAACAAAACAAAACAAAACAAAACAAAACAAAACAAAACAAAACAAAAAAAAACTGCAGCTAGCTCAGTGTCTGCCCAAATGGCCGCCCAGTTTTGTGCTTGAAACCCAGGGCCCTGGTGGTGTAGGCACCTGAGGGAATCCTCTGGGTCTGTGGGTTGAAGATTGAGAAAAGCATAGTATCTGAGCCAAGTGCATGATTCCTCATGGTACAGTCCCTCACGGCTTCCCTTGGCTCAGCAAGGGAGTTCCCTGACCCCTTCCCGGATGAGGCAACGCCCCACTCTGCTTTGGCTCCGCCTCTGTGGGCTGCACCCCCTTTCTAACCAGTCCCAGTGAGATGAGGAGGGTGTCTCAGTGAGAAATGCAGAAATCTGCCTTCTGCATTGATCTCACTAGGAGTTGTAGACCAGAGCTGTTCCTATTCGGCCATTTTGCCAGCCACCTCCTAGAGTCAAATCAATTTTATTTTTTAAGACTTTTTTTTAGTTGTTTGGATAAAAGAATATATGAAAAGGCGTGGAATAAAAATGGCTTCTGCATTGAAAGAAAAGAACAAATAAGGTTTTGCGGCAAAATAAGTAATCAAGGAAATGACTGTGTTCTTGGCATGCTGCTTCAACAGGGATGATCTTATAGCCAACACAATAAGCCTTAGCATTTGCATTGTCACTGGGCTCATTCAACCTAAGCTATCTTCAGTAGACTTTCCCCTCTAAAGAGCACGTACATTTTGATTTTACCTATCCTCATAATGACCATTTGCTCATTTTAATAGGAAAACGCACACCCGTGGGTAGGGATTTAAGATGCTAATGAGACATATGACATATGAACAAGTATCTTGAGGACCCAGAGGACCACCCACAACATGCTTACTAGGAACATCTTTCTGACCTCCTTACAAATAATCATGTAAGATTCCCATACAGGGAGTCTCCCTCAGGCCAGTTTCATACCTATAAGCAGCCCATCCTCTCTCAGGGTGTCATCTCTCTTTTTCTCAGGGTGTATTCTCTCTATTCTGTACCTAAATTTCAACATACTCTTTTTCTTTTGCAAAGAATTACTCTATGCCACACCCCTTTTGCTGTGTGTCTCTTGTTTACATTATTTTAATCTAAGAAGACAAAAACCAAGGTATCACAATAACCATCAACAGTTTCACTAAACATTTGATAACCCTGACAATTCTATTTGAAATACATTGTGCATTCTATTCTACATAGTGTACATGTCTGGGTGTGGTAGCTCACGCCTGTAATCCCAGCACTTTGGGAGGTGGAAGTGGGGGTATCCCTTGAGCTCAGGAGTTTGAGACTAACCTCGGCAACACAGAAAAACCCTTTGTTTACCAAAAATAAAAAAAATTAGCCGGTGTGGTGGCAGGCACTTGTGGTCCCAGTTACTTGGGAGTCTAAGGTGGTAGGATTGCTTGAGCCTGGGAGGTAGAGATGGCAGTGAACCAAGATTATGTCAGTGCACATAAGCCTGGGTGACAGTGAGACCTTGTCTCAAAAACAAACAAACAAAAAAACCTCTAATCTACATAGGGTACACAGTGTATTCTAACTTAATCAATAACCTATTTGTACAATGATAAGACACTTAAGATGATGAGGACTGTGGATAGCAAAGACAACAGGCTAGAGAAATGAAGGCTTCTAAAAAGAGATGCTTTAGAGTTGGATTTTATTCAGAGTAGAGGATAAAATATACTTGAAATAAAATACGCTTGTAATATTAGAATAAGGAAAAGTATTGATTAGAAATAAAAATATCAAAATAAAACAACTTTAAAATGTAACAATGAGGGGCTTTATTTTCCTGGGCAATTGATGCACACTACAGATTTATAAATAAATATGTTAGGAAATGAGGAAATTCAGGTATACAAAAAAGGAAGCTGAGATTTAAATACAAACAGTATGGCTCTAGTGTCTATGTATCCATTACTTTGTAGTAAACTAGTTTCTTTGGAGCAAATCCTGGGCCTGAGTTTCCTCACCTATAAAAAGAGAATAATGACACCTATTTTATAATAATACTATGAAGAGTAAGATAATAAGAATGAGAGTGTTAACATACATACAGTAAGCAGAATAACAACTACATCCACCTCCCTAACAAGGATGTCCACATCTTAATTCCCATAATCTGTGATTATGTGATGCAGCAAGGCAAAGGAAATTAAATTTGCAGATGAATTTAAGGTATCTCATCAGCTGACCTTGAAATCTGACAATTATCCTGTATTATCTGGCTAGGTCCAATATAATGGCAAGGGGCCATAAAAATAAAAGAGGGAAACAGAAGCATTAGTGTCAGAATGATGCAATGTGAGAAAGACATGATCAGACTCTGCAGGTTTCAAAGACAGAAGGGGTCCATAAATCAAGGAATGTAGACAGTCTCAAGAAGCTAGAAAAAGCAAGCCAACAGATTCTTCCTTACAATTGCTTCCTAGATCTCTAAGATAATAAATTTATGTGTTAGGTCAGGAAATCTGTAGTATTTTGTTAAAGTAGCAATATAAAACTATTATGATATGCAAAAGGTTTAAAAATTTGTACTCAATAAATGAGAAACATATTATCTGAACTCAGTATGAAAAATTCCTAAACACAGTTAAAATAATTACAATTATTAAAGTTTAGTTTTTGACTTTGAAAAAGTTGTGGCATAAGTGCCACCTGAAATTTTAGTAGTTCACACATTGAAAACATGTTTAGACCATTCTCTACTATCAGGCCCAAATAATTTCTGAAAAATCATGTAAGATATTGTTACTATTTATTACTTTTGCAGAAAAGGAAGCTAGAATTATAGAAGTTTAGTAACTGGCCATGAGACTCCAAGACAAAGAAGTGAAGAAACCAAGATTATATGCAGATCGGACTCCAGGGCTTGGATTTCTCACCACTGTTCTATTCTGTTCTCCTTTTAACACTTTTTTGTGACATTAAATAGAACATCTCCCAAGTCTACAAAGTTAAAGACAGACAAATAACAGTTGTTACATCATAAGAAGCATAACGAACGAAAGTACATTTACGTTTAAGACAGCAAATTTTAAAAGTGAAATATAAGTAATGCTTTAAATGATAGTCAAAGGATATGTAACAAACGAACTTTATGTTGATTTCTTTGGAATTGAACTGTTTAAATTTCCGAAAATTAATTAATTAATTAATTTATTGGCATAGTTTCACTCTGTCATTGAGGCTCAGTGCAGTGACTTGGCTCACTGCTGTGACCTATACCTTCTGGGCTCAAGTGATTCTCCCTTTTCAGCCTCCTGAGTAGCTGAGACCACAGGTGCACAGCACCACACCTGGGTAAGAAAAATTACTTTTTAACTACTAGTTTGTGTATTTTTAACTACTAGTTTGTGTTACTTTTTAACTACTAGTTTATGTATTGAATTCTACAATACATAATTATTTGGGGGATCACTAAGGATGGATTTTTAAAACTATGTATTCTAAAAAGAATGATTTCTACTTTAATTCCTGTCTGACATACTCCCCTGAATTAAAGATTTCCTAAAGTTCAACTTTTCAGAAGAAAATGTGATACTTACTATTGTTTTGGATGGATTTCCAAGTGGCCTCATATTTATCATGGTGCTTTAAATAGCAAAAAACAAACTAACCTATTGTTGCATAACCCAGAATTAATAATGTGGTTAACTGATAATAAGGTTAGTTAACCTCCCTCTAAAGTTTTTATTTTTTACTATGCTTCTCACAGCTAGTCTTATTTATTATTGTAGCAGATCACATCTGCCATTTAACTACACAAAGAAGGTCCTTTTAAATTACACTGAAAAATCTAACCAGTACCTGCAGCCTTATCACTTAATTCCTTTCAAGGATTCTGTTCAAAGAAATGCTTTTAATAGTAAAGCATAATGAATACACAAGTCTCATGAAAACGAAAAGTCACAGAGCTATATAAAGAATACACAGACCAAAACAATACATTTCAAGTATCTGAAACTATCAATAAGTTGCAAAAAGTGAGGATTTCCTTTCACTTTCGATAAAGTCATTTTAAAATTAAAATCAAGAGTAGAAATCTTTATTTTGATGAACACAGATAAAGGGCAGGAACAAATACCTTTTCACTAATTTTTTTAAGCTTTAAGGTAAATTTAGTAACATCTCATAATACAAAATGAAAATTATATACTATATGTAATAAACATTTTTATCACAGCAATATTATAGTTTTATTTGCCTGATTATATCACAGCAATATATTATATATAAAATTTTAAATATTTAAATATATTTTTATAAAAAATATTATGTACATAAAAATATATTTATATATGACACAGCAACATTGTATCACAGCAACTGTTGTGGATACAATCAGGAAAATACTACACTGCAACATTATTTCCACTACTTCAAAAAAAAAAAAAAGTCTAACCTGTATCAAATACAAGGAAATGAACCAGATAGATAAAAAAATAGGGAACATTCTAAAAACAACTGGCTTGTTTCTTTTAAATCTGTTTCTTAAAGAAAGAATGTATTAGAAAGGGTTCTTACATACTTAAAAAAGACTAAACAGATACAACAACCGAGTACTAAATTTAATGGGAACCTTAAGTAAACCTGAACTGAGAATAAGAATGGATTCTGAAAAGAAGCAAGATCTTTATCAGGTATTTTTCCTAATGCTATCCCTCCCCTAGCCCCCGACTCCTTGACAGGCCCTTCCCTGTGTCCATGTGTTCTTACTGATTAACTCCCACTTATGAGTGAGAACATGCAGTGTTTGGTATTCTGTTGTTGTGTTAGTTTGCTGAGAATGATGTAGATGACAGGTTCACGGGTGCAGCAAACCACCATGGCATGTGTATACCTATGTAACAAACCTGCATGTTCTGCAGATGTACCTCCAAACTTGAAGTATAATAATAAAAAAATAAATAGGCCAGGTGCAGTGGCTCCCAGCACTTTGGGAGGCTGAGGTGGGCAGATCACCTGAGGTTGGGAGTTCGAGACCAGCCTGACCAACATGGAGAAACCCCGTCTCTACTAAAAATACAAAAATTAGCTGCCAGGCATGGTGGTGGGCAACTGTAATCCCAGCTACGAGGGACGCTGAGGCAGGAGAATCACTTGAACCCAGGAATCGGAGGTGCGGTGAGCTGAGATCACGCCATTGCACTCCAGCTTGGGCAACAAGAGCAAAACTCTGTCTCAAAAAAATAAATAAATAAATAAATAAATAAATAAAAATAAAAAAAATAAGTGAAGAAGCAAGACTTTTAAAAAGGCCGTTTTTTAATAGGGTGTAAATTTTATCTAGATATAATATAATGTTTTTAATTTTCTTAGGTATAACAATGGTATGGTGGCTATGAAAGGAAATTACTGTATTAAAGATGCAGAGATGAATTATTTGGGGTCGCATACAATATATGTAATGTAATTTCACCTAGTTCACCTAAACATGTTTATGTGAGCATATTAATATAGAAAGCCTACAAATAAACACGGCAAAAACTTAACTGATAAAAGCAGGTGAATGTTCTATCAGCATGCAGCGTACTATCTCCCTAACTTTTCTGTAGGTTTGAAAAATTCCAAAATACAATATCTGGGGGAAAGTATTCATATGTATATTGGGAAAGTGTAGCTATTGGCAAATTTGATATATTTAAAAATGCATCTTAATATAGAAAAACTGTAGGAGTTGAATAAATTAAAACGAGGTTAGTCAATCTACTAATGTAGTACTTAATGCAGTCCTTCCATGGTGTTATGAAAATAGCTAAGAGTTCAGAAACGTCAGTATTCATCACCTTATCAACAACTATTTAGTACTCTAGCCTATATTTCAGACTCCTTAAGCAATAGATGTGTACATAAACCTGATCTTTTAACAGAAATTTTTACTTAAACATTCTTTGAAGATTTAAATTCTACATGTCTAAAAGCCAAGATGATAAGTACTACTCTCTACAACTAACTCATTTGTCTTCCTTATCCTTTAGCTTCAATCTCAGTGACAGGCATAAACGATGCCTGAGTGAAGCACGCCAAAGTCCAGCAATTCTGATTCCTCATTTTTCCTATTCTTTAACAGAAATACTCTTTCAGGTTCTGTTCCTCACTAAGATTTTCTAATGTTTTCTCTCTCTCAGGGCAATTACAAACTAGTACACGGAATGCCTCAGTTAGCTTCCTCCTTTAAATCTGAAGTTCTGCATTTCCAAAGCTTTTTCTAACATCAGTATCCAACTTCTCAAAGTTGTCACTGTCTTGAACTGAAGTCATGTGTCACAATTATTAAGAAGTGTTTTCATATTAGAAAGATATATTTTTAAATACTTTGTCTCTAACTAGGTACATGATATAAGGCTACAATAATTGAGATAAGGCTGGGTGCAGTGGCTCAAGCCTGTAATCCCAGCACTTTGGGAGGCTGAAGCAGACAGACCATTTGAAGTCAGGAGTTTTGAGCCCTGTCTTGATGACATGATGAAATCCTTTCTCTACATAAAAAAGAAAAAAATTGCTGGGCATGGTGGTATGTTCCTGTGGTCCTAGCTACTAAGTGGGGCTGAGGTGGAAGGATCACTCGAACCTGGGAGGTTCTGGCTACAGTGAACCCTAATCATACCACTGCACTGTAGCCTGGGTAACAGAGCAAGACCCTGTATCAAAAATGAATGAATGAATGAATAAATAAATAAGTAGAGAAAGGAAGAAAGATATAAAACTTCCCCAAACTGCAGAAGAAAAGCATATTCGAATTCATTATGCCCAAAAACCCCAAATAAACTAAGCATCAAAAGATCTTTGCCAGGACACATTATTTAATTGCTTAAAATCAAAGACAACGGCTGGGCGTGGTGGCTCACGCCTATAATCCCAGCACCTTGGGAAGCTGAGGCGGGCGGATCACGAGGTCAGGAGATCGAGACCATCCCGGCTAACACGGTGAAACCTCGTCTCTACTAAAAATACAAAAAATTAGCTGGGCGTGGTTGCAGCCCAGCTGCAACCTGTAGTCCCGGCTACTCTACTCGGGAGGCTGAGGCAGGAGAATGGCGTCAACCCGGAAGGCAGAGCTTGCAGTGAGCTGAGATCCCGTCACTGCACTCCAGCCTGGGCAACAGAGCGAGACTCGTCTCAAAAAACCCCCCCCAAAAAAAACAAAGACAAAGAGAGTTTTGAAAATAGCAAGAGAAGAACAAACCATCACATTTAAGGGAATCAGCAGAAACTTTACAAACCAGAGAAGACTGTGGTAATATTAAGAGTAAGAAAAAACAAAACAAAAACAAAAACAAAAACAAATCTGCCCTCAAAAAATAATATGCTCAGCAAAATTATCCTTTAAAATTAAAGGAGACGTAAAGTCTTTCTCAGACACACAAAACTGAGTGAGTTAGCAGTAGATCTGCCTTAACAGAAATGCTTAAAGAAGTTCTTCAAATTGAAACAAACACATGCTAAAAAGCAAAGCAAAAACACAGAAAAACATAACTCTGAATATAAGTTCATGAACACATAAAAATTAATGCAACACCGTACAAGTGGTGAACAAGGTTATTCTTAACCTTAATACAAGAGTTAGAAGATTAAAATGTGTTAATACAATGTTAAAAGAGGCAAACTAATTTTAAGAGCATAAAATGTGTGTTATCTGCGGGCAGTAAAAATGTTGTGTTTTGTACGTGATTCAAATTAAGTTGTTTTCAATTTAAAATAGAAGGGTTAACTACAATATACTTTAGAAGGGAACAAGAGGGCCATAAAGGACACTCCAGTTATCATCACCCCTGCAGGAACACCAAACTGATCAACTATTTACACACGAAAGCACCTTCATCAGAAGCAAAACTCAGGTAAGCAATCACCGTACCTAGTTTTGACACAATATTTTTTAAAAAGCACTGAAGGAGGTAGAAAAGACACTTTCGAATCACTGACATCACCCATCCCCAAACCCCGTCAGTGACTGTGTTGAGCAAAGAACGTGTGCATGGGGGAAAGAGAGCTGTGACTGCTGGACTTTGCATTGAAACTCTGTGCTGCCTTGGTTCAGTGAAAAGCAACATGAGGAAAAATTCTGCTGGTACCCACTGGGGGAGCATTTAGACCAGATCTAGCCAGAGAACTGTCCTTCCCAGCAGTCAGAACCTGAGTTCTAGCTAGTCCCATCACTACGGACTAATGTGCTCTTGGGTACTAAATGAACATAAAAGTCAGTATCTGCCACAAAGACTGTAGTTCTCAGGCAAGTCCTAGTGCTGTACCGGGCTCAGAGCCATTGGACTTGAGGTGCATGTGACCAAGTGAGAGACCAGTGAGGGAAGCCAAGGGAGTAACTGTGTCACCCTTCCCCAGTTCTAGGCAGCACTGCTTGCAGCTCTTGGAGAGACTCTTTCCTTTCATTTGGGGAGAAAAAGGTGAATAAAGAGGACTTTGTCATGCAACATGAATACCAGCTCTGCCAGAGTAGAACAGGGCGCCATCATGCAGAGTCCTGAGGCTCCCTTTCCAGGCCATACTTCCTGGATGACATTTCTAGACATACCCTGGGCCAGAAAAGAACTCACTCCTTTGAAGGAGAGGAGAAGACCCAGTTCTGGCAAGATTCAACATCTGCAGGCTACAGAGGCCTTGGGTCTTGAAGTATCAGCCATACCTTGACAGTATTTGTCACAATCCTTAGCTGAGACCTCGGGCCATGCTGGCTTCAGGTGTGACCCAGTATATTCTCAACAGGGGTGGCCATGAGGAAATATTCCTTCTGTTTGAGGAAAGGAGAGGGAAGAGGTAAACGGGACTTTGTCTTGCAGTTTGGGCACTAGTGTGGCCACAGTTGGGTAGAGCACAAAGCAGGTTCCTGGGGGCCCCCAATTTCAGGTGTTGGCACTTGGATGGCATTCTGGACCCACTCTAAGAAAAAAGGAGCCTGCTGGCCTAAAGAGAGAGATCCAAATCTGACTGCATTCAGCATAAGCTGACTGAAGAGCCCTTGGGCCTTCCGTGAACTTCGGTGGAGCCAGGCAGAACTTTCTGTGACTCTGGGAGTACAGAAACCATGTGGACAGACTACTTCTGCAAGAAGTAGAGGGAAGAGTGGGGCAGACTTTGTCTTGTAAGTTTGGGTACCAACTCATACTCAGTAGAAGAGAGCACCAGGTAGAATCCTAACATTCCAGACTCAAGGCCTTGTCTCTCAGGTGGCATTTCTAAACTCCCCCTTGGCTGGGGAGAAGCCTGATGTCTTCAAAGGAAGGACACATTCCTGGCTGCATTCACCATCTGCTAATTGATGTAGGTGGGGAAATAACAGAAGGAGCCAGGCAGTGGTCACCCTGGGGCTTTGGGTTAGAGCCAGTGCGCTGTGCTGGGTTTGGGTCTGAACCAGTGCAGTCCCTGTGGTGATGGCCACAAGGGTGCTTGTGTCACCTGTCCCTCAGCTCCAGGAGTCTCAGCATGGTGAAAGTCTAGAGTTAAAATGGTGAAAGTCTCTGCCTCCATTTGTTTGAAGAAAAGTAAGGGAAGAGAACAAGAGTGTATACCTGGTAATGCAGAGAATTCTACTGAATCATTCCCAAGACCATGAAGGCAGTAACTCTATGAGTTCATAAAAATCACAGTGTTACTGGGCTTGGGGTGCCCCTTAGGCAGATACGGCTGCAGCAACCAAAGATTTTTTTCTTTAGAGATGGAGTTTCACACTGTTGCCTGGGCTCGAGTGCAATGGCATGACCTTGACTCACTGCAACCTCTACCTCCCAGGTTCAACCGATTCTCCTGCCTCAGGATCCCCAGAGTAGCTGGGATTACAGATGCCCACGACCATGCCAGGTAATTTTTTTATTTTTAGCAGAGATGGGATTTCACTATGTTGGCCAGGTTGATCTCGAACTCCTGACCTCATGATCTACCTGCTTTGGACTTCCAAAGGGCTGGGATTACAAGCATGAGCCACCATATCCGGCCTGACCAAAGATTTAGATTACAACATCAAATCGCCTTTGAATACCTAGAAAACCTTCCTCTAAGAAAGACAGGTAGAAGCAGTCCCAGACATGAAGACTACAATAAATAACTCCTCAATGCCCAGACATTGACAAACATCCACATCTGCGACAATCCAGAGAAACATGATATATCCAAATTAAGTAAGGCACCAGGGGTCAGTCCCAGAGAGACAAGAGATCCATGACCTTTCAGACAAATAATTCAAAACAGCTGTTTTGAGGAACCACAACTGTATGTAACATAACAGAGAGAAGGAATTTTCTATTAGATAAATTTGACAAAGAGATTAAAAAGAGTCAAGTAGAAATTCTAGAGTTAAAAAAATGCAACTGACACACTGAAGAATGCATCAGAGATTTCTAATAGCAGAATTGATCAGAAGAATCAGTAAGCTTGAAAACAGGCTATTTGAAAATATACTATCGGGGAGACAAAATAAAAAAGATTAAAGCACACCTACAAGCTCTATAAAGAGTGTTAAAAAGGCAAATCTAAGAGTTATTGGCATTAAAGAGGAGATAGAGGCCAGGCATGGTGGCTCACAGCTGTAATGCCAGCACTTTGGGGGCTGAGGTGGGCAGATCACCTGAGGTCAGGACACCAGGCCTGGCCAACATAGTGAAACCCCATCTCTACTAAAAATACAAAAATTAGTTGGGCATGGTGGCATGTGCCTGGAGTCCCAGCTATGTGGGAGGCTGAGGCAGGGGACTCACTTGAACCCAGGAGGTGGAGGTTGCAGTGAGCTTGGATTGCGCTACTGCATTCCAGCCTATGCAACAAGAACAAAACTCTGTCTCAAAAAAAAAGGAGACAGAGAGCAACATCAGGGTAGAAAGTTTATTGAAAGGGAAAATGGAGAACTTCCCAAAGCAAGAGAAAGGTATCAATATTCAAGTACAACAACGTCACAGAATACCAAGCACATTTTTTGGTTTTTGAGATGGAGTGTCACTCTGTTGCCCAGGCTGGAGTGCAGTGGCACCGTGTTGGCTCACTGCAACCTCCGTCTCCTGGCTTCAAGCAATTATCCTACCTCAGCCTCCCAATTAGCCGGGATTACAGGCGCCCACCACCACGCCCAGCTAATTTTTGTATTTTTTTTAGTAGAAATGGGGTTTCACCATGTTGGCCAGGCTGTCTTGAACTCCTGAATTCAGGTGATCCGTCTGCCTTGGCCTCCCAAAGTGCTGGGATTACAGGCATGGGCCACTACACACAGCCAACCAAGCAGATTTAACCCCAATAAGATGATCTTAGGCCTTTAAGAATAAAATTACCAAAGATCAAAGACAAAGGAAAGACCTAAAAGCAGTGACAGGGGAAACAAGTAACATACTTAAAAAAAAAAAAAGCTCCAAAACGTTTGTCAGCAGACTTCCTGGTGAAATCCCTAAAAGCCAGGAGAGAGCAGCATGACATACTTAAAGTGCTTAAGGAGAAAAATTTCCAGAATAGTATATCCAGCAAAAATATCAAACACAAAGGAGAAATACTTCTGACAAACAAAAGATGAAGGATATCACCAATACCAGACTCGCTCTACAAGAAATGCTAACAGGAGTTCTTCAAGTACCAAATTTAACTACAAAAAGTTTTCAAGATACAGACAATATAGTAAGATATAAATAGAAACAACAGAAAGTTTAAAAGGGGGATGAAATTAAAGTGTGAATTCCTTTAGTTTTCTCTTTGCTTGTTTTTGCAATCAGTGTTAAGTTGTCATCAGTATCACCAGAGAAAATCACCTTCATAAAAAGGGAGACAGCAAGGAAAGAAAAAACACAGAATGATGAAACAAAAATACAGTTACAGGAGTAATTCCTTTTCCATAACATTGAATGTAAATGAACTAAGCTCTCCAATCAAAAGAAATAGAGTGGCTGAGTGCAGAATTAAAAAGATGCAACAACATACTGTCTACAAGAAACTGAAACTACAGAGACTGAAAAGAAAGGGATGAAAAGAGATATTCTATGCAAACAAAAATGAGCAAAGAACAGGAGTGGCTGTATTTATGCCACAAAACTGATTTCAAAATAAAACCTATTAAGAACAAAGAAAGTCATTATATAATGATAAAGGGGTCAATTCAATAAGAGGGTTTAACAATTGCAAACATATATGCACCCAACACTGTAGCACACAGATATACATATATGTATATATATGCAAATATTATGAGAACTAAAGGAAGATATAGATCCCAGTACAACAATGGCTAGAGACTTCAACACCCTGCTTTCAGCGTAGGGCAAGTCAGATCATTCAGACAGAAAATGAACCAAGCAGCATTGGACTTAGTATGCATTATAGACCAAATGGACCTGACATATATTTACAGAACATTTCATCTAATGGCTGCGGAATACACATTCTTCTCCTCAGCATATGCATCATTCTCAAGGCCAGACCACATGATAGGCCAAAAAACAAGTCTTAAAACATTAAAAACAAAATGAAACAATATGAAATATCTTCTCTGACCATAATGGAATAAAACTAGACATCAGTAACAAGCAGAACTTTTGAAAGTATAAAAGCAACTGGAAAATTTGTTGGGGAAAATTTTTCAACTGGAAAAACAATTATAATTTTCCAATTGTTTTTATAGTTTCAAACATTCTAGAATGGACAGAAGGCCAATAAAGAGATTAAGAATAAAATTTAAAAACTGCTTCAAACAAGTAACAATAAAAACACAACATAATGAGGGAAGAGAGAGAGACCCTCTCATATTGTTTTATACTCAGTACTTATTTAAAAAACAAAAAAAAACAAGGAAGTAAAATCAAAGACAGGCAGCCTGGCACCAGGCCTGAAACCAGGCCTGGGCCTGCCTGGCGTAAACCCAGTAGTTAAAAATCAACTCATAACTTAGAAACTGATGTTATTCATAGATTCCAGACATTGTATAGAAGAACACTGTGAAACTCCCTGCCTTGTTCTGTTTCTCTCTGACCACCGGTGCATGCAGCCCCTGTCATGTACCCCTTGCTTGCTCAAATCTATCATGACCCTTTCAAGTGAAATGCTTAGAGTTGTGAGCCCTTAAAAGGGACAGGAATTGCTCACTGGGGGAGCTCAGATTTTAAGGCAGTAGCTTGCTGATACTCCCAGCTGAATAAAGCCCTTCCTTCTACAACTCGGTATCTGAGAGGCTTTATCAGCGGCTCATCCTGCTACATTTCTTGGTTCCCTGACCGGGAAACATGATAACTGACAGACGGCCGAGGCAGCCCCTTAGGCCTGCCCTGCGGAGCATCCCTGCAGGGGACTCCGGCCAGCCTGAGTGACGCAATCCAAAGAGCGCTCCCGGGAAAGAAATTGCCTGGGTGGAACGCCTAGCCAAAGCAGCGCGTAGCAGGCCCCTGCAGAGGATCAGCACAGTGGCTGAACACCAGGAAGGAACTGGCACTTGGAGTCTGGACATCTGAAACTTGGTAAGACTAGTCTTTGGAACTTGCCACACTCCACCTGAGTGGAAGCGTGGCCTCATCACCCATGGTGTGCCTGTATTAGCACTTTTGTTCCGGTTTTGACTTGGCTTGACTTGGTAAGACCAGTCTTTGGAACCTGCCCCATTCCATCGGAGTGGAAGCATGGCCTGATCACCCATGGAGTGCCTGCATTGGCACTTTTGTTCTGGTTTTGACTTGAGTTAGATTGCATGATACTTTGGTTTTGGTTCTGATCTGGCTTGGATTTCTAGATACTCTGATTTTGGTTTTGATTTTGGTTTGGTGTAAACTGCAAAAGTGTGTGTGTGCCCTTTTTACCTGTTCTTTGTTTTGTGGTGTGCATGTGGTGTCAGCTTAGTGTTTTGTCTTGAAGAAGCATAGGCCAGGCACAAATAAGACCACCCCACTAGGAACTATGTTAAAAAAATTTTCAAGAAAGAATTTAAAGGAGATTACGGTGTTACTGTGACACTAGGAAAACTTAGAACTTTGTGTGAAATAGACTGGCCAGCATTAGAGGTGGGTTGGCCATCAGAAGGAAGCTTGGACAGGTAGGTCCCTTGTTTCAAAGGTATGACACAAGGTAACCTGTAAGCCAAGGCACCCAGACCAGTTTCCGTACATAGACAGTTACAGCTGGTTTTAGACCCACTTCCCCGGCCCCTAACAGTAGTTAAGAGAACAGCAGCATAAGCGGCTGGCAGAGGCAAGGAAAAACCAGCAGAGAGAAAACGAGGCCATCTATATCAATTCTAAGTTAATTTAGACTAAACAAGGTCTAGCAAAAGATAATTAAAATCTCAAACTTACAAGGTTTTCAGTAAAAGTGAAGTTTGCTAAAAGTTAACAGTATAACGTATCATGGTAACTTCTAATCTTGTGGCCTTAGACAGTCTAGTCCAAAGACATAAAGAAAGTTTGCTTTGAAAAAAAGGGGTGGAGGCAGAATTTATGTAAGAAGAGTGTTATATACTAAATTCTTGTCCCGAAATAAATTAACTGGCTGTTTAAAGAAAAAAAAAGTTTGTAATAAGTGAAAGTTGAGACATGTTGAAAAATTGTCTGTGAAAGTTGTGAAAGACAAAAAAGTTATAAAAAAATTTTTATGCAAAAAATGTTGTATAATTTAAAAGTAATAAGGCCTCCTGAGTACTACTGAAGAAACAGTTTATGTGCAAGGTGTATAAAAAAAGTAAAATATACCTTTAGTAAAAAGATTAAAAGGAGGCATAAGAATGTAGATTTTTACCTACATTAAAAGGTTAAAAAAATTATTGTTTTGAAAGTTTAAGCAAGTTTTAAAATGTTAATTATAAAAAAAATTCTGTGTGTAACCATATTAGCTAAAGTTAAAAAAGTATCATCCAGTTTCTCTGTGAACTACACATTAAAGTAAAAATGCAACAGGTTTCTCTTAAAGCATCAACCTGCTCTTTAACAAAAATTATAAAAGGTTAAAAAGAGTCTATAAAATCTTACCTTATGGTCAAACATAAAAAATTGGATAAATATGTCTACAAGGTTTTATTAAAATTAAGTTTAACATTAACACACTAATATAAAGGTAAAATTCAGCTTATCTGGTATAAAAGTCATACAAGAAGCATTATTAAATATAAAATGGTGTTTAGCTTTCTTTGGTCTAAAAACTAATAAAAATAGGTGCTAAAGGAAACATTCATTTTACTAGAGGATCATAGAAGTTAAAGACTTAAAATGAACTTTGGCAATTAAGACAGCATACCAAGATGCAAATGCCTAGCTGAAATAGATCAAATATTCCATCTGCACATTAAACAAAAGCAGTTGTTATGCTTGTGCACATGGTAGGCCAGAGGCCCTGATTGTCCCCCTTCCGCTAAGGTGGTCCTCCAGTCGACCAGGTGTGGGCTGCATGGTAGCTCTTTTACAGAATTCTACAGCCTGGAGTAATAAGTCATGCCAAGCTCTCTCTGCTATATCCCAGAATCCCTGCGGGTCTGCCCCTGAGGGCCATCCAGCTTCTGTCTCCCAACACTAAGTTCACTTCTTGTCTCTCATGGCAAGGAGGAGACTTAGCATTCCTTGGAGACCTGAAGGGATGCAGTGAGCTTAACAATTTTCAAGAGCTTATCAATCAGTCACCCCTTGTTCAACCCTCAGTGGATGTGTAGTGATATTGTGGTGGACCTTTACTGGGCACTCTGCTGAATAACTAGAGTGGCACTTGTGCATTAGTCCATTTAGCTATCCCTTTTACCCTGGCATTTAATCAACCAGAGGGAAAAAAAAATAAGACATCATAAAGCGAGAGAAGCCCCTTATAAGTCTTTCAACTCTCGCATCTATTTAGATGCAATTAGAGCCCTGCAAAAAATACCAGATCAATTTAAAGCTTGAAATCAAATAGTTACAGTATTTAAGTCAATATTTTAATAGATGACAGTCGATAAAAACGTAAATTAGATAAACTACATCTTTTACAACAAACAGCAACAAGCTTTTCACGAGTTAAAAAGAGGAACTCATGTCAGCCCCAGCCCTGAGGCTACCTGACCTGACAAAACTCTTTACACAGTATGTGTCAGAAAGAGAAAAAATGGCAGTTGGAGTTTTAACCCAGACTGTAGGGTCCTGGCCAAGGCCAGTGGCCTACCTCTCAAAACAACTAGATAGGGTTTCCAAAGGCTGGCCCCCATGTCCAAAGGCCCTGGTAGCAACGGTCCTGTTAGCATAAGAAGCAAATAAGCTAACTCTTAGGCAAAACCTAAAGTTCCCCCATGCTGTAGTGATTTTAATAAATACCAAAGGACACCATTAGCTAATGAATGCTAGACTAACTAGATACCAAAGCTTGCTCTGTGAAAATGCCCGCATAATCACTGAAGTTTGCAACACCCTAAACCCCGCCACCTTGCTCCTGGTATCAGAGAGCCCAGTTAAACATAACTGTGTAAAAGTATTGGACTCAGTTTATTCTAGAAGGCCCAACCTGCAAGACCATCCTTAAACATCAGTAGACTAGGAGCTGTACATGGATGAGAGCAGCTTCGCCAGTCCCTGCAAAGTGACTCTGAAAAAGACGACTAGCCCTGCTCCAGTCACACCCGGAAGCTGACTGGTCTACGCAGAGCCAAGGCATGAGGAAAACTGTCCTAGGACTTATTTTCCTTATAACATAGACCTGTGTAGTAAAAGCTTCCACTGCTTCTTCCCACACAGGCGACTGCCTTCAGTGCATACATCAGGCCACTGAGGTAAGAGAAAAGATTGCTACAGTCCTATTATTTTATGGTTATTATAAGTGTACCAGGACTCTAAAAGAAACTTGTTTATATAATGCTATTCTATCCAAGGTATGTAGCCCAGGGAATAACCAACCTAATGCATGTTATGACCCATTTTAAGCCTCCCATGATCACAGTTTTTAAAATAAAATTAAGGACTGGTCCTTTTCTAGGTGACACAAGTAAGGTAATAGCTAGGATAGAAAAAAGAAAGGTCCCCAAAAATGTAACCTTAAAATTTGACACTTGGGAGGTGCTTGTGTGCCTGGTGCGGGAGCTATGGGGCCCAGGGATTGTGTTTGAAGTAGTGCTTCTACCAACATGTCCCATGGTTCCAGCGCTGGTTTTGACCGCCACATTACCATTTTTTCACCCGAGGGTCGGCTCTACCAAGTAGAATATGCTTTTAAGGCTATTAACCAGGGTGGCCTTACATCAGTAGCTGTCAGAGGTTAAGACTGTGTAGTAATTGTCCCACAGAAGAAAGTACCTGACAAATTATTGGATTCCAGCACAGTGACTCCCTTATTCAAGATAACTGAAAACATTGGTTGTGTTATGACCGGAATGACAGCTGACAGCAGATCCCAGGTACAGAGGGCACGCTATGAGGCAGCTAACTGGAAATACAAGTATGGCTATGAAATTCCTGTGGACATGCTGTGTAAAAGAATTGCCGATATTTCTCAGGTCTACACACGGAATGCTGAAATGAGGCCTCTTGGTTGTTGTATGATTTTAATTGGTATAGATGAAGAGCAAGGCCCTCAGGTATGTAAGTGTGATCCTGCAGGTTACTATTGTGGGTGTAAAGCCACTGCAGTGGGAGTTAAACAAACTGAGTCAACCAGCTTCCTAGAAAAAAAAGTGAAGAAGAAATTTGACTGGACATTTGAACAGACTTTGGAAACTGCAATTACATGCCTGTCTACTGTTCTATCAATTGATTTCAAACCTTCAGAAATAGAAGTTGGAGTAGTGACAGTTGAAAATCCTAAATTCAGGATTCTTACAGAAGCAGAGATTGATGCTCATCTTGTTGCTCTAGCAGAGAGAGACTAAACATTGTTGTTAGTTTACCAGATCCGTGATGCCACTTACCTGTGTGTTTGGTAACAACAAACAAATATCATGGAGGTCCCTGGATTGAAAAAAGAGCCTCTCCCACTCCTCCTACCACCGAAGTGGTTAGGACTCTATATAAATAAAAACAAGGCTTTTGGAAAAAAAAAAAAAAATTTGACACTTGTGCTGCTACTGATAGTAAGCAGCATAGAATAAGATGCGGTGCTCTAAATCACACACACACAAAAAAAGTTACACAGTAAAAAATAAGTATATCTGTCAAGAATCATATTTATGTAAGATGTGTGTAATTACTAGTCTTGTGTCATCTAGACTTAGAAAAAAGATGAAAAAGATCCTTAGCTGCAAAAAAAGAGAAGGCAGCCCCTCCTGCATGAATAGAGGCTGCAACCCCTTGAAATTAATAATTACAAATCCCTTAAACCCAAGGTAGAAAAAAGGAGAACACATATCTCTAGGCATCAATAAGAAAAGACTAAGTCCTAGCATAAACATCCTAATAAAAGGAGAGGTTCAAAGATGCTCTCCAGAACCAGTATTTCAGACTTTCTATGATAAACTAAATGTGCCCGTACCAGAGACTCCAAGAAAAACCAGAAATTTGTTTTTGCAATTAGCCGAGCATGTAGCCCAGTCTCTAAATGTCACTTCATGTTATGTTTGTAGAAAAACTAATAAGAGATCAATGGCCATAAGAAACCCAAGAATTAGTGCCTACAGACCCAGTTCCTGATGAATTCCTGGCCCAAAAGAATCACCCTGATCATCTCTAAGTTCTAAAAGTCTTAATTATTAGACAATATTGCATAGCTAAAAACGAAAAGAATTCACTCATTCTGTAAGGTGACTTAGTTGTGTAAGGCAAAAACTGTATAATAGTACCGCAAAAAAAAAAAAAACCCACCAAAAACAGTTACATGGTGGAGTTCCAATTACACAGAAAAAGATCCATTCAGTAAATTTCCAAAGTTGCAGACTATTTAGGCCCACCCAGAATTCCACCGGGACTGGACGGCCCCCACCAGGTTATACTAGATATGCAGACACACAGCTTATGCTAAGCTGCCTGATCAGTGGACAGGTAGCTGTGTATTTGGCACCATTAAGCCATCTTTCTTCTCACTGCCCATAAAAACAGTGAACTTCTAGGCTTCCCAGTCTGCTTCCTGAGAAAAATGAAGCATAGCCATAGGTGATTAGAAAGATAATGAATGGCCCCCTGAATCATACAATACTATAGACCCGTCACTTAGCATAAGATGGCTCACGAGGATATCGAACCCCATCTACATGCTCAACCGAATCATAGGGTTACAAGCTGTTTTAGAAATTATTACTAATAAAACCGATCAAGTCTTGACTGTTCCTGCCCAGCAAGAGACTCTGATGAAAAATACTATCTATCAAAATAGACTAGCTCTTGACTACTTGCTAGCAGCTGAAGGAGAAGTTTGTAGAAAATTTAACCTTACTAATTGTTGTCTACACATAGATGATCAGAGGCAAGTAGTTGAGGATATAGTTAAAGAGATAACAAAACTGGCACATGTACCTGTGCAAGTGTGGCACAGACTCAATCCAGGAGCCATGTTTAGAAATTAGTTCCCAGCAATAAAAGGATTTAAACTCTAAGAGTAATAATAGTAATAAAAACCTGCTTACTGCTCCCTTGTTTGCTACCTGTACTTCTTTAAATATATAAAAGCTTCATCGCTACCTTAGTTCACCAAAATGCTTCAGCACAAGTGTACTATATAAATCACTATCAATCTATTGCACAAAAAGACATAAGTAGCAAAAATAAAAGTGAGAACTCCCACTAATAAAAAAGTGAGATTCTCAAAGGGGGGAAATGAGGGAAGAGAGAGACCCTCTCATATTGTTTTATACTCAGTACCTGTTTTAAAAAACAAAAAAGTAAAACCAAAGACAGGCAGCCTGGCGCCAGGCCCGAAACCAGGCCTGGGCCTGCCTGGCCTAAACCCCGTAGTTAAAAATCAGCTCATAACTTAGAACCAATGTTATTCATAGATTCCAGACATTGTATAGAAGAACACTGTGAAACTCCCTGCCTTGTTCTGTTTCTCTCTGTCCGTTGGTGCATGCAGCCCGTCATGTACCCCTTGCTTGCTCAAATCAACCACAACCCTTTCATGTGAAATCCTTACAGTTGTGAGCCCTTAAAAAGGACAGGAATTGCTCATGCAAGGAACTCGGATTTTAAGGCAGTAGCTTGCCAATACTCCCAGCTGAATAAAGCCCTTCCTTCTACAACTACGTCTCTGAGAAGTTTTGTCTGCGGCTCGTCCTGCTACCATAACAAATCCTACGGGAGATAAATCTAAAACTGTCTCTAGACAAAGAAAGGTCATCACCTAGTAACAAGTGGGTCCATTCAACTGGAAAGTGTAACTATCAGAAATATATCTGGCACCCCAACATCAGAGTACCTACACATATATAAAGAAAATATTGACAGATATGAAGGAGGATGTTTATGGCAATACAAAAATATAGTAGGGGAATTCAACACCTACTTTAGAATAATGTATAAAGCACCCAGACCCACCCACCTGGCAAAAAAAAATAAAAAAAAATAAATAAAAAAAACAATAGCTGACTTGAACCAGTACTAACAGGAAAGTTTATGACTATAAGTGCCTACAGCAAAAAAGAAAAACTTCCAATGAAACAACCTAAAAATGCATCTTAAACAAGTAGAAAAAAGGAGCAAATCAAACCAAAGTTAGAAGAAAAATAAAGATTAGAGTAGAAATAAATGAAGAAAACAAAATAAAAGATCAATGCAACAAAAAGTTCATTTTCTAAAAGGACAATATTGACCAACTCTTAGCTAGACTAACAACAACAAAAAAAAAGCAGGAGACTCAAATAAATACAATCAGAGAGGATAAAAGAGATATTACAACTGATAAATGTAGAATTACAAAGAATCCCTACAGGCTATTACTGGCAACTATATATACCAATAAATTAGAAAACCTGTAAGAAACAGACACATTACATATACAATTACAACTTGCCAAGACTGAACTAAAAGAAATACAAAATCTGAACAGACCAGTAATAAGTTAACAAGAATGAAGCCATAATAAAAAGTCTCACAGAAAAGCCCAGGACCTGATGGCTTCACTGTTAAAGTTTTTTGTTTTTGTTTTTTTTAGGTGGAGTCTCACCCTTGCTCAGACTGGAGTGAAGTGGCATGATCTTGGCTCACCGTAACCTCTGCCTCCTGGGTTCAAGCAATTCTCCTGCCTCAGCCTCTCAAGTAGCTGGCATGATAGGCATCTGCCACTATGCCTGGCTAACTTTTGTATTTTCAGTAGTGACAGGGTTTCACCATGTTGGCCAGGCTGGTGTTGAACTCCTGACCTCAGGCGATACACCTACCTCAGCCTCCCAAAGTGCTGGGATTACAGACGTGAGCCACCGTGGTTGGCCTCACTGCTGAAACTTACATAATTTTTTTTTTTTTTGAGACGGAGTCTCACTCTGTTGCCAGGCTGGAGTGCAGTGGTGCGACCTTGGCTCACTGCAACCTCCGACTCCCGGGTTCAAGCGATTTCTCCTGCCTCAGCCTCCTGAGTAGCTGGGATTACAGGCACGTGCCACCATACCTGGCCAATTTTTTTATTTTTAGTAGAGCCAGGATGCTCTCCATCTCCACCCGCCTCAGCTTCCCAAAGTGCTGGGACTGCAGGTGTGAGCCACCGCCCTCGGCTGAATTTTACCAAACATTTAAAGAACTAACACCAATCCTACTCAAACTGTTCTGAAAAAGAGGAGGAAGAGATACTTCTAAACCCATTGTATGAGGCCAGTATTACTCATATATCAAAACCAGACAAAGACAATTAAAAAGAGAAAGTACTGGGCAGTATAAACACAGGCCAAAATCCTTAACAAAATATAAGCAAACCAGGTTCAAAAACACATTAAAAAGACCATTCATCATACTATGCAGCCATAAAATGGAACAAGATAATGTCCTTGCATGGACATGGAATCCATTATCCCCTGCCAACCAATGCAGGAACAGAAAACCAAACACCACATGTTCTTACTTATAAGTGGGAGCTGAACAATGTGAACACAGGGAGGGGAACAACACACACTGGGGCTTTTTGGAGGGCGTGGAGAAGGGAGAGCATCAGGAAAAATAGCTAATGCATGCTAGGCTTAATACCAGGGTGACGGGTTGACAGTTGCAGCAGATCACCATGACACATGTTTACCTATGCAACAAACCTGCACATCCTGCACATGTACTCAAGAACTAACATAAAATAAAATAAAATAAAATAAAAACTATTCATCATGACCAAGTGGAATTTATCACAGGGATGCAAGGATAGTCCAATATATGCAAATCAATCAGTATATCATATCAACAGAATGAAGGACAAAACCATATGATCATTTCAAATAATTCTGAAGACACATTTGATAAAATTCAACATCCCTTCATGATAAAAACTAATGAAAAACTGGATATAGAAAGAACAGACCTTCGACATGATAAAAACCATATATTAATACAACAGACACAGCTAGTAGCACACTGAATAGGGAAAAACTGAAAGCCTTTCCTTTAAGAGCTGGAACACAACAAGGATGACCACTTTTACCACTAACAAAACTAAGAACCAGTCTTTTAAATCCATAAACAAAACTGACAAAGAAAAAAAGAGAGAAGACTCCAACAAAATTAGAAAAGAAGACATTATAAAAGATATTCAGAAACAGGCCGGGTGCGGTGGCTCACATCTGTAATTCCAGAACTTTGGGAGGCCAAGATGGGCTTCAAACACAAGGTCAGGAGTTCGAGACCACCCTGACCAACATGGTGAAACTTGTTCTACTAAAAATACAAAAATTAGCCAGGTGTGGTGGTGTGCGCCTGTAGTCCCAGCTACTCAGGAGGCCGAGGCAGGAGAATTGCTTGAACCTGGGAGGTGGAGGTTGCCATGAGCCAAGGTCACGCCCCTGCACTCCAGCCTGGGTGACAGAGGGAGACTCTGTCTTGAAAAAAAAAAAAACAAAAACAAAAACAAGAAAAGAAAAGGAAAAAGATATTCAGAAATATAAAGCATCAAAGGGATTATAATGAACAATAATATGGCAAAAACTAGATAATCCAGAAGATATGAACAAATTCTAAGAAACACGCTATACCTAGCAAATCTGCATCAAGAAGAAATAGGAATGCTGAACAGACCAGTAACAAATAAGGTGCTTTAATTAGTGATTAAAATTCCCCTAACAAAGAAAAGCCCAGAACCAGATGGCTTTGTGGGTGAATTCCAATAAACATTCAAAGAAAAATACCTATTTTCCAAAAAATAGAAGAAAGAAGACTTCTAAACTCATTTTATGAGGTCAACACCACCATAATATCAATGGCAGACAAAGATGTTACAAGAAAATAAGATGATAGGCCAACATTCCTATTGAACACTGGTAGAAAAATCCTCGGTAAAATACTAACAAATAGAATTGAGCAGCATATTAAAAGGATCATAAACCCTGAAAAAGTGAATTTATCCTCGGGAAATAATAATGGTGTGACATAGGCAAATAAATGTGATATACCATACTAACAGAAAAAAAGGTAAAACTACATGATTATCTAAACAGATCTAGAAAACGCATTTGACAAAGTTCAAACTCTATTGATATTTAAAACTTTCAACAAAATAGGTACAGAAGGAATGGATCTCATGGTTAATGCTGTATGGAAAAAGTACACAGCTAACATCATAATCACTGTGGGCAGAAATGAAAAGCTTTCCTCCTAAACCCTAAGTAAGAATGCTCATTCTTGGCATCTGTTTAGAATCTAATACTGTATGTTGTAGCCAGACAATTAGATAAGAAAAATAAATAAATGGCATTCAAAATTTTTTTTTTTGAGGCGGAGTCTCACTCTGTCCAGGTTGTAGTATAGTGGCATGATTTTGGTTCATTGCAATCTCTGCCTCCTGAGTTCAAGCAATTATCCTGCCTCAGCTTCCCAAGTAGAGTAGCTGAGACCAAAGGCATGCACCACCATTCCCAGCTAATTTTTGTATTTTTAGTAGAGACGGGGTTTAACCATGTTGGCCAGAATGGTCTTGATCTCTTGACCTCGTTATCTGCCCACCTTGGCCTCCCAAAGTGCTGGGATTGTAGGCGTGAGCCACCGCACCTGGCCATGGTGTTCAAATTTTAAGTGAAGAAGTATAATTACCTGTATTTGCAGATACCAATTCTCTATGTAGAAAACTGTAGAGACTCAACAAAGAAAACTGTTAGAATTAATAATTCAGAAAAGATTCAGGAAACAGAATTAGCATGTAAAAATCAACTGCACTTTATATAGAAAAATCAAACTACTAAAAAGAAAAAAAAATGAAGAAAACAATCCATTCATAGTAGCAACAAAAAGATATCTTGGTAATAAACGTAACCAAAGAAGTGAAACATTTGTACATTGAAAACTACAAAACACTGATACGGAAAATTAAAGGCACACATAAATGAAAAACATCTGTACTCATGGTTTGAAAGTATTAATATAAATACTGTTAAAATGTCCATATTACCCACAGTAATCCACAAATTCAATGTAATCTCAAGCAAAAGGCCAACTACATTGAATCTGTGGATTGCTGTGGGTAGTATGCAATTTTAGAAGAGAGAAAGTCTTCTAAAATTCACATGAAATCACAAAAGACTTCCAACAGCTAAAGTAATCTTGGGGAAGAAAAACAAAGCTAGAGGCATCAAGTGACCTGATTTCAAAACGTACCTCAAAGGTATAGCAATAAAAACAACAGGGTACTGGCATAAACACAGATATACAGACCAAAAGAAAAGAACAGAGACCTCAGAAATACATAACTATGAACAACTGCTCTCTGACAAGGGTACCAAGAATAAACATGGGGAAAGAAAAATGTCTTCAATAAACTGTAATGGAAAAACTGCATTGTTTGATACAGAATTATAAAACTCAACTGTCATCTCATATTATACACAAAAACCATCTCAAAATGGCTTAAAGGCCAAGACTCAAACTGAAAAAGTACTAGAAGAACACAGAGAAAAACACTGCTTACTTCAGGTTAAATGAAATAAATAAGACTCAGAAAGGCAAACACTTCATTATCTCACTTTATGCATGTACAATCTAAAAACATCAAACTCACAGAAGCACAATGTTGAACGATGACTGTAAGGAAAGAAATATGGAAAGATGCCGGTCAAGTGGTCCATGTTTCAGTTATGCAGAAAGAATAGGTTCAGGGTATGTAACATACAAGATGATGACTGTACCAGTCTGTATAGTATTGCTATAAAGAAATACCTGAGGCTGGGGGCCCTGGCTCACGCCTGTTATCCCAGCACTTTGGGAGGCCGAGGCAGGTGGATCGCCTGAGGTCAGGAACTCAAGACCAGCCTGGCCAACATAGTGAAACCATGTCTGTATTAAAAATACAAAAAAATCAGCCAGGCATGGTCGTGGGCCCCTGTAATCCCAGCTACTTGGGAGGCTGAGGCAGGAGAATCACTTGAACCCGGGAGGCAGAGGTTGCAGTGAGCCGAGATCCCGCCATTGCACCCCAGCCTGGGAAACGAGAGTGAAAACTGTCTTAAAAAAAAAAAAAAAAAAAAGAAATACCTGAGCTGACACTGGGTAATTTTTAAAGAAAAGAGGATTATCTGGCTCACAATAGTGCAAACTATAAAAGAAGAATGACACTGTTATCTGGTTCTGATGAGAGATTCAGATAGCTTCCACTAATGGCAGAAGGCCAGGAATGGGAGGAGAGAGCAGAGATCATATAGCAAGACAAGGAACAGAAGAGCAGAGGCAATGGGCTCTTTTTAGTAACAACTCTATCAGGAACTAACAGTGTGAGAACTCACTCACACCCGCAGCTACAGAGAAGCATTAATTTACTCATGAGAGATCCCTCCCCATAACCCAAACACTCCCCAGGAGACCCCCACTTCTAACACTGGGATCAAATGTTAGCATTGAATTTAGGGGAACAAACACTGAAACTATAGCATTATCTCTGTGCCCCCACTCAAATTTCATGTACTTTTCAAACCTAAAATACAATAATTACTTTCCATTAGTCCCGAAAAGTCTTAACTTGTTCCTGCACCAACTCGAAAGTCCAGTCTCACCTGAGATGCAAGGCAATTTCCTTATAGCTGTGAACTTGCAAAATAAAAAATGAGTTATTCACTTCCAAGATATAATTGAACAGACATTGGTTAACAATCCTTTTCTGAAAAGGATCAATAAGCCAAGAAGGGAGTAACAGCCCCTATGCAAGCCTGAAAACTAGCAGGGCACACATTGAGTCTTCAAGCTTCAAAGTAATTTTTCTTGACTCCATGTCCCATATATTGGACATACTGGTGTGAGCAGTAGGCTCCCAAAGCCTTAAGCTGCTCCACTCACGTGGCTTTGCTGCGCACAGGCCATATGACTGCTCTCATGGGTTAAAGTTGAATTTCTGCAGTTTTTCCAGTCTGGACTTGTGGGCTGCCACTGGCATTATCAACCTGATGTGTGTAGAACTGTGGCCCTGCTCCCACACCTCCATTGGGCAGTGTCCTACCAGAGGTCTCTCTGTGGAGTTTCTGTTCCTGTGGTAGGCTTCTGTGTGGCAGCATCCAGGTTTCTAATATATCCTCTGAAATCTAGGTAGAAGCTGCCAAGGTTCCATGGCTCTTGTACTGTAGGCAACACAGACTTAACACCTGTGGAAGTCATCAAGGCTTAAAGTTTAAGTTCTCTGCAGTGGTGCAGGATGGGTAGAACAGCATCCTGAGGTGGCTCAGGGCAGCAATGCCCTGGCTTGTCCCTCCCTACTTTCCACGCCTTTCTGTTCTCCCCAGTCTCCAGGATTGTGAGGAGAGGGGCAGACTTCAACATTTCTGAAATGCTTTTAGGGACTTTTTCCAATGGGCTTGAAGATTAGCACCTGGCTCCCTTTTAGTCATGCTAATCTCTCTACCAAGTGCTTGCTCTCAGCACCCTTGGACTCCTTTCCTGAAAATGCTCTTTCCTATTACATTTCCTTTCCAAATTTTACAATCTGCTTGCCTTTTAATTGTAATTTCCACCTTTAGTTCATTCATTTGCTGCTGGTTTAGATGGTAAGCTGTTAAAAGTAGCCACGTAACTTATTCAAAGTTTGCTGCCTAGAAATTTTTTCTGCCCCCTACCCTAGGTCATCACCGTTAAGTTCAGCTTCCCACCAAGCCCTAGGGCAATGGAAACACAGCCAGGTTCTCTGCTGCAGAGTAACAAGGGTGACTTTTGCTCCAGTTCCCAGTAAGTTCATCATTTCCATCTGAGATCTCATCAGCAAGTCTTTTACTTTCTCTATCAGCATTTTGGCGAGAAACAGTTTACCAATCCCCAAGAAGCTCCAAACTTTCCCTTGTCTTCTGGACTTGTGAGCCCTCATCAGAATCACCCATTCATTACAATACAAACTTTTCCTAGCCTGGTCCTTCAACTCTTTCAACCTCTGCCTATTACCCAGTTGCAAATCTGCTTCTGCATTTTCAGCTATATTTGGCAAAAAGTGGTATCCCATTTTTAAATAATGATTTTCTGTCTCAGTCCATTTAATGTTGCTATAAAGAAATGCCCAAGGCAGGGTAATAATATAAAGGAAAGAGGTTTATATGGCTCACAGTTCTGCAAGCTGTACAAGAAATATGGGACCAGCATCTGCTTCTGGTGAGGGCTTTGGAAGGGGAAGGGGAACTGGTACATACAGAGATCATATGGCAAGAGAAGCAAAGAGAGGTGCCAGTACTTTCATATTCATATATATGTTTATCAAATCATCAGGCTGTACATCTTAAATGTATACAATTTGCACTATAAACTATACCTTAATATAAACATAAAAAATAAGCAACAAAAATTATTTTAAAATAGTAAAACAAGTTGTCCTGGGAAATCAGTTTTATCAGAATTACGAGAAAATAGAGAGTTGTAAATTTACCAGTGTATATTCATGTACATCTTTATTCCTCTCTAAATTGTAATAAACACAAGTGACTATCTGTAAGGGAAGGCAATATTTTAATCTTATGAGATTTTATAACACTTATGAATATATAAGATTATTTACATCTTATTACATTTTGCCAAGACTTCTGGACTGCTGATATCATTTAATGTCAACAGAATTCTTTTGAAAAAAATACTGAATGGCTACCAATACCCCCAAAGAGAAACTGCAGCAGTTTCAGAAGGCACTTACTTAATCATTTCAAAAAGCTTTGGATCTGAGACTTTGATATTTCGTGCCATATTCCAGGAAAGATGCACCATGGGTACTGGTGACTTCACACTTTTCAATTTGTTCCATTCATACCGTTCCACTGCCAATTTATACTGGCAGGCTAGAAGGAAAAAAGCAACAGTCATAAAGTAACCCAAAGTAATAGAACACATGAAGATAACCATCATTTATCACCTCTCAGGTGACAACTGCAATACCAATTCTGAAAACCTTGAAACACCGTAAGACTATTATGTTTTGTGATAACTTTGGTTAAAAAAAAACCTAACGTAAAGAGCAGTCACAATATGCGAGACATTGTGCTAGGTTCTTTTAACATCTTATCTCATTTTATCCTTTCAAGGCCTTCATTTGGTAGAAGAAGAAAGTGGTTTGGTAGAAGGAAAAAGTGAAAGCCTGAGAGAAAAACAAAAACAAACAAACAAACAAAAAAATAAAACTTGCCCAAAGTCATAAAGTTAGCAATGTAGAGACATGGTCTATTTCAGGTCTTTCTAGCTCTTAAGGCCAGATTATTTATTTATGTATATTAAATACTATGACATTTTAGGGCTGCACATATGCTATATTACATAAACTGAAAATTCTAATGAACAACTACAATACTTTACTCAATAAAGGGCTTCCTTTACAAAAACAAAATCTAGCACTCTAAAATATAAAAAGTATATCTTACATTTCTGCAAAGAAAATCATTTATATTTTTAAAAAATCTGTGTTCTTGGGCTGGGCACAGTGGCTCACGCCTGTAATCTCAGCGCTTTGAAAGGCCCAGGTGGGCGGACCATGAGTTCAGGAGATCAAGACAATCCTGGCTAACACGGTGAAACCCTGTCTCCACTAAAAATACAAAAAATTAGTTGGGCGTGGTGGCAGATGTCTGTAGTCCCAGCTACTCAGGAGGCTGAGGCAGGAGAATGGCATGAACCCGGGAGGTGGAGCTTGCAGTGAGCCGAGATTGCACCACTGCACTCTAGCCTGGGCGACAGAGTGAGACTCCATCTCAAAAAAAAAAAAAAAAAAAAAAAAAAAAGTGTTCTTGGATTGCCATTTTTGAGCTGAATTTAATTTCTGTATTAAAAATTGGTATTTTTTTCCTACAAGAGATACTATTTCTATTTTCAGTGAGTTATTTTCTACTAGTAAAATAATACCTACTAGGTAATCCTTTAAAATATAAACCTTGTTGGTGTTATTATTCAGAATACCTGTAAGTGGACCAACATTCCAGGCAATGTTATTGCACCAGCCAACAGCTTGAACCCAATGCACAGTGCCTGCATTTATCCAGACCAAATCTCCAGGTCGCTGAATAAATCTATACACAGGGACATTTGCTTCATAAAGATCTTCAAGGTTGGGCCACCAAGAACTCATTAAAAAATTCAAATTATTTCTGAAAAAGAAAATAATGAAAATCAGGTTGAAAGGTGTTTTATTTCTGAAAAAGAAAATAATGAAAAATCAACTTGAAAATTAATCAAGTTAAAAAAAGATTTAACAAGAGTTAAAAAAAATGCTTCAAGTTTTTATTCCATTAATACTTTGTATCACAGGGCTAGGTGTGGTGGCTCACACATGTAATCCCAGCACTTTGGGAGGCTGTGGCAGGCAGATCACTTGAGGTCAGAAGTTCGAAACCAGCCTGGCCAATACAATGAAACCCTGTCTCTACTATACAAAAAAAAAAAAAAAAAAAAAAAAAAAAAAGCCAAACACTGTGGCACATGCCTGTAATCCCAGATACTCGTGAGGGTGAGGCACGAGAATTACTTCAACCTGGGAGGAGGAGGTTGCAGTGAGCCAAGATTGCACCATTGCACTCCTGCCTAGGCAACAGAGAGAGACTCTACCACAAACAAAACAAAAAACAAACAAATTAAAAAAGACTTTGCATCACAAAAGCATTGCAACATGAATTGCCTCTTTCATTTCCGGTTGGAGGCTTGGGCTAGGGTCCTGAGAAAAATTAATTGCAGGTGAATAGTGATAGACTTATCCAAAGATCAACTACTATCAGCTTAAACTTACTGTTCAAAAGTCTACAAATTAATATTTAAATTTCTAATTACAGTTAAACATACTGATTTTTAATTTTTTCAATAAGAAATATTTTGACTCATCTTTTTTTTTTAACTAAAAAAACCTCTTAATACTCTGAGATCTCTAAAAAGGAAAACTCTAGTTAGAAATCACATGAAGTCATTTAAAATCTTAATCATAATTACTGTGGCAGATATAAGAACCAGGACCTTCTCTCAATTCCTGAGTCAGGGGTGAGAAGGAGAGCAGAAATCATCCTCTACTGCTGTTCTGAATCCTAGGCAGGAAAGGGGAGTAAGGACAGAATGTCTATTTGCATAAGCTTTTAGGAATTAGTTGACTTAAGGCAGCTGAAAAAACTACCAGAAGAAGCCATATACACATATACAAACCACCACTGGCACCAATACAAACAGACAAAATTATGAAGTTTTAATATAAAAGTCTCATTTTTTTGTTACTCTCCTTCACCAGATTTTCCGTATTGTTGCCCAGGTGTGGTGGCTCACACCTGTAATACCAGCACTTTGGGAGGCCCAGGAGGGAGGATCAGTTGAGGTCAGGAGTTCAAGACCAGCCTAGCCAACATGGTGAAACCCTAGCTCTACTAAAAATACAAAAATTAGCCGGGGGCTTGGGGCAGGGGGCGGGGTGTGCGGTGCTGCATGCCTATAATCCCAGCTACTCAGGAGGGTGAGCAGGAGAATTTCTTGCACTTGGGAGTCGGACGTTGCAGTGAGCTGAGATCGTGCCACTGCACTCCAGCCTGGTGGGCAGAGCAAAACTCTGTATCAAAAAAAAAATTTTGTTTTTTTCAATATTGTGATGTACTGCACAGTAACTACATTGTTTTCTATTAAGAATTTAGTAAAATATTTCAAATTAAGTTTTCTCAAGAGGAAGAAATTCACATAGTAGAAAATGTTTCAGATTTAAGAACTGATTTTGCTTTGTTTCTATATTTTATCTTTAAAAAATGATAACAATCTGGAGTTGTCTATATGAAATCTTACTCCGTTTCATTTTATTCTCCTAAAATTGCTTTTGACTTTAGCAGAGGTTAGCAATTCAAGGAATAAAAAATTACAGTTTTCCATAACTTTTTTTTTTTTTTTATGTGGAGACAGAGTCTTGCCCTTTTGTTCAGGCCAGAGTGCAATGGTGCAATTTCAGCTCACTGCAACTTCTGCTTCCCGGTTCCAGCAATTCTTCTGCCTCAGCCTCCCAAATAGCTGGGACTACAGGTACACATGACCATGACCTGCTATTTTTGCATTTTTGTGGAGATAGGGTTTCACCATGTTGACCAGGCTGGTCTTGAACTCCTGACCTCAAATGATCAGCCCTCCTCGGCCTTCCAAAGTGCTGGGATTACAGGCATGAGCCACTGTGCCCAGCCCGTTTCCCATAAACTTTAAAAAGCTTGCCAGTAAATGGGAAGCAAAATGAAAAAAGAAAGGAAAAGGAAAAAATTATAAGCATAGCACAAGTCTTACCTTATCTTACTCGTATACTACCAATATAAAATTAGAGAAAATTTTGTATTAAAAAAAAAGCAGCAAAGCCAATAAAGGCAGACAGTATCTTTTTCAAAAGTTCAGAACAACAGTTAATTATATATAGGGTGATACTTTATACAAAATAAAATTACAAGGAAACTGCAAAGAGGACTGCAAAGTTTTTGAATCTTAGGATAAATGAATCATTTTAACTTCATATTTTTATTATTTCCAATCTTTAACTTTTTAGATATCACATTTTTTTCCCCAACAATCATTAACCTAAGGTCACTTCTCTGTTCAGAAAGGAAAAAAGCTAAATCCTGAAAATGCCAGTTCCCACTCAGGAAAAATGAACAAAAGTCATTATATTTAAATGTAATAAGAACTGCAATATACATCCTCACAGTTTTAAGAAAAAAATTCTTTATGTAGCACGATAGGGATTCCCCTGTATAGATTTCTTTTTCCCTTGTTTGCCCCTGCTGTTTCTGTGTATTTGGAGTTTCCTAGGTTCAGAACAAAGAGTTCAGATGAAAGTGTTACTGATAAGTTTTAAATGTTAAAAAATTCCATCTTTGCTATGCTGAGGAAACCTTTTGCATTAGACAACAAAGGCAATAAAAAGGGATTATTTCTTGCCAGTAGGTAAGAAAATTAACCTTATGTTTTTAATAAGATGAACTTTTTACCAAATAAAATGTAAAGACATTCCAAAAGGTTAAAGTAGAAATTACTTTGTGAAACATGCATATTAACTGATTAAAATGTAAACCTCATATATAATTCTCTAGGAATTCTATTTTTTTACAGTATGTTTTAGTATGTAATACAGTTCCAGTTATGTCTGTATTTTTCCACTAATATCTTTACCAACTCTAAAAAACAAATTCTGTGATTCCTTTGTTATTGATATTTTTAGCCCAAATTACAAAGATACACAAAATTGAGTTACTAGGCTCTAAGGGTGCCTTATTTTATAATTCCCCATAATTTCTAAAAACAATCGTAAGTAAAATTTTTCTTTAAGGCACACTTGTCAAATCTGGAAAAATGCATAAATTTTTTACATTAACATAAAAAACAATTTACTCTCTTATCAATTCACACCTATTACCACGGCAGAGACTAGTTCACGGCATCTTTCAGTTTGCTTCTTTGTTTTGAGACAGGGTCTCACTCTTGTCACCTACGACAGAATGCCATAGCATGATCATGGCTCACTGCAGCCTCAACCTCCGAGGCTCATCTCAGTATCCTGAGTATGAAGAACTATAAGTGCAGGCTAATTGTTGTGGTTTTGCCACGTTGCTTAGGCTGGTCTCAAACTCCTAGGCTCAAGACATCCATCTGCCTCAGCATCTCCAAGTGCTGAGATTGCAGGCATAAGACACTGTGCTTAGCATGACATCTTTTCATTAAGTATTTAGATAACATAAAAGATTTGAAATCAAATCATTTTAAAAAAATTCTGCTGAGCAGTAAGTAAAAACTGATAGTTTCATGAAGAAACTCAGCTTTGCACTTTGTCCTTTATGCCTATTTTCTCATAGTTACTTAAATGAAAGTTTAGTTCAGAAACCTACTTTTCACAGAAGTCATTCAGAACACCCCAATAATCTTCAGGTACAACAAACCATTCACAATCTCCTGGACCAATATTTATGTTAACAGAGCAGAAGTTGTTATTTTCTTGGTGACCTGAAAAGTAAAAGAAAATGTAAGTCACAATTGTAGCATAAATTAAATGGAGAAATGTGCCTTTAAATTACTGGATAGTTTTGAGGACTGAGCGAAAAATACATGCTTAGAACTTTGAACAGAACATAATATGCAATACATATTAGCTATAGTCATTAGTAGTTCCTTCTCTATAAACGACTTCTCAATTCTCGCAAATAGTAGCAGAAACCTTATTAAGAAAGGTATAGTGTTCAAAATGTAACCTGTCTCCTACCACTCTTGGCTCCTACCACATGTCAAATGTTAGCATATAATGTAAAGAATCATAACTCTTCCACAATGAGTAGGTGGATGGCACTGCCCATGGCAAGGGCTTTAAAAATACAAATTAGAAATACTAGGACACCACAGGCACCTACCCATGGTGAAAGAGTTAGAAACATTTACATTACATACCATATAGATAATCTTAGCTTATGATCTATCAGCAATCCCAATATTTTAGAACACATTAAAGATCATATCAGAATATGAAGTGTATTATAGCAGGCATCATTTATACTAATGTAATACTGGAATAAAATCTACCTATACAGAAATTCAGAACAATGTTTCTTTAAATTATATCTGGCAAACAAAAACATACTACATTTCCTCTAAGGAATTCCTTAACAGTTCCACAGGATACTGTTGAAGTACTAATGTTATACAAAGAAACAAAAAAACCCAAACACTTGAGAGACAAAATGACAAGGAGATAATCTATTAAAAGTTTGGTTATTCCCCTGCTAGATTTTAAAAGAAAAATGACATTTTTCATTTCATGCAATTTATTTCATTTTCACTGTGAAAATGTAAGGTGTTTCAATATCTATGTTCATTTGTATTGTATTATTCATTGGCAGACTTGTGAAAAATATCTTATCATATGCCAGTCTCATCAACCTGTTGAACATAAGTTCCATGAATTTTGTCAGAAACAGAGACTGAATATCCTCACTTGTCTAAAAAAAGCAGGTCAATGATTTAGATATGATGAAGCTGTATTGCTATTTTTAGAGCTCTGAGTTGAGGTGGAAATTTTTCTGAAGAAGTACCACCTTCTGCCACTGTTATTGACCACTTACTGGCCACGGAAATTTTGCTGCAGGCTTCAAAACATTTCTTGATAAGTTCAACCTAAAAATTACAAAGCAAAGAGAACTTACCTGTGAAACTTTTAGGATAATAAATCATTCTGAAGACAAAAGAAATTTTTTGAATTGCAAATAGTATCAAGCTGCTTTTATATGCTACTTCTTAAGCTACTAAAAACAAGTAAGAAGCTACATCTCCAGTACCATACACATTTGCAAATATGTACTTCTTTAGGTTCAAAATATAATTACAGCAGCATTTTCCAAATCTCAACAAAAGTGCAGGAAAATGTGCTTATTTCAAAAGCCATTTGTACTACTGTGAGGTTTTCCAACTAAAGGTGCAACTGACCTTCAATTGGAAAAAATTAATCTGCAATGTAATGAAACCCAAAAAGAAAATAACTCAAAAGGAAAAAAAATCTAACTCTATAAGTGCCTTTAAGACAATTAATATACTCAAGAAAATATGCTCAAAGTTTGACATCAGTACATGGCAGTATTGATCCACTTGAAAAGACATTTTTGAAGATCTCACTACCACAGAACAACTTTAACAGATGTACATTTGTAGTTAATCTTGATGACACAAGAACACAGTATTTGAGCCCCAATGAAGTGGAGTATTATTTCCTCCAAAATAATTCCATTCTTTTAACTAGTAAACAAAAAAAATGCATCCGTTATTTATTATGATTTTCATCAATAAAAATCCATAAAAAATAGTTTTTTTTTAATAGAATACCTACAAAATATCGCCAATTGAACCTCTCGGCTTGCATAGTTTAAAATATTTAGTATCTAGCCCTTTAAAGAAATGTTTGTAAATAAATGACGCATGAAAAAAAAAAAAGAAATGTTTGCTTAAAATTAGACAGTTTTTGGATTACATTTTCTAAAAAAAAAAAGCGCATCACGTTTTCAGTATTGTCAATGAAATTTTTATTATACATAACTTCAGTAAACTGGTTCATAATACATTGTTCTCACTGTAATTGTGGTGAAAACCTCTGAAAAACATTGTTAACCTGTTGTCATTCCTACAACTCAGAAACTTAGAGTCCCTTTCCCAGTTTACATTTTTCCGATTGTTTTTTCATATAAAAATGATGGAAAAACAATACCCTGAGCTCAATTTTAAGAGTAATATGAACATTTTCACCTATAATAAAGAATTTTAAAATCTTTTTGGCTTTAGAAGTATAAATGACAATGTGCTCTCTATGCCTGCTCCGCATGATAAACTCAATTTTTTCAATCATGTAAGATATGTTAGTCATTAAAATCACCTGGTGTCCGACTCCCTGGAACTTTCATATACAGTTGTACTGTATTCATGCCCAGAATGGTATGCCCAACATGGGTTAGAAGATTTCCTGCTGACACCACACGCGCAAAAGCAGGAAGTTTAGTCAGTTCATGTAACTGCAACTTCCACCTGCAATAAATTAACAGATTAAGAGTAAAAACTCGTAAGAATCACCACATCCTCAAAAACCCTGTGATTCAATCAGAAAAATACTTAAATCAATAAATATTTTACCTGTATAGTCAGTAGAACTAAAGCGTTTAACTTATTCCAAAAATAAGTCTTAAGACAAACACAGATTACTGAAAAAAAAAATCATAAATTGTATAACCTACTAAATAAAAGAAACAATTTACTTTCTATTTATAAAGTTGTATTAATAGAGAGGGTACTTTGGTTTTCTTAAGAAGAATAACATTCTAATTGTAAAACTTTGTCAAAATGATTTCAGAATTTTAGGGTTATTAGGTAAAACTAACATGTCAACATAAAAAAACAAGAAACAAAGAGAGAGAGATAATTAGGAATAGAAAAAAAACAGTTCTCTAGACAATTCCCAATTCTGCAATACCCTCATTGATTCAGTTCATGGAAATAGCACTAGGGCAGGGAGACTTACTTTTTGTTATCAGAGAGGTCAATGTTGGTCCCAAATTTTATGGTTTTAAAAGGTCCTTTCCTTCTCCTTCCAGAACTTAAAAAAAGAGAGAATATGAAATCCATGTATTTTAGACAGAAATGTTGAGTGGGTGCTAAAAGTTACTTACTTCTCTGAAGATGTGGATTCGTTATCTGAATGATCTTTGTGTTGTGTTCTTTTCTCATTTTCTTCCTTCAGGTTAAGAAAAAAATATTCATACTTAGTATCCTCTAACAGGCTATCACTTCTATTATACAAATTATACTCATCTACATGAGCAGTATTGACTATTTTTGAGAAATAAGTTTTTACAGGCACATTTCACAGAAAATATCTTCTATAATCACATTAAATTAAGTCACAGGAAAAGTCAAAGTCCAGTTCACGGTACTCAACATCCTCCATCATCTACAAAATTAATATGAAATTCAGGTATTATACTAATTTATAAGAAAAGCATGTATTCATTCATATTTTACTTTGGACCAAGGAATTTTCTAAATGGTAAATTAATTTCATTTAAAATGATATCAAGAGAATATGAGAGAGAACTAAAAATGAAAACAAGGACAACATACAAAAGCTTACTAATTATATATTAAAACAAAAAAAGATGTAAGAAAGCACTTAAGAAGACAGAATTCTTCCTTCTTTTTTTTTGAGCCGGAGCCTCACTCTGTTGCCTAGGCTGGAGTGCAGTGGCGTAATCTCAGCTCACTGCAACCTCTGCCTCCTGGGTTCGAGGAAGTTTCCTGCCTCAGTCTCCCTCCGATGCCTCAGCCTCCCTCCAATTCTCTTTTGTAATAAAGAAAAAGCGTTGTTTTGTTTTTCCCTGTAGACACTGTTTTATGAGAAAGAATCTGTAGATTCTTATACTTGGGCCAAAGACAAGATAATGAAGAAAAACCTGAAGCCAAAAGTACTGAGGGGTATAACTACTAATGTTAATTATAAGTGCCAAGTAGCAAAGCCATGGCACATATTCTAAACTGGCAGAAATACATTTGCATCCATATGAAAATATGTACAGAGTGAGCAATGTTAAGATCCTCTATCTCTGATTATAGTATCATATTTAGTTACCCTGGCTTTCTCTGTGGGTGAATCACATTAACAAAACTAAGGGCATATGGACGAAGTTCTTCACAGGCTAAATTTTCAATGCAAAGAGTTCTATATAAATAATAAAACATTTTCACATTTTTATTTAACATTTGTAATAAAAAATTAAATGCTGAACTTAAAATGTTTGTTATTCTCTCCAGAAATATTTCAAGAATATGCAATGAGAAAATGTTTCTGGGAGGACTGGAAATCCACATGTAAAAGAATGAAGTTGGACCTCTATCTCATAATGTACAGAAAAATTAACTCAAAATGAATGTGACCTAAATATAAGATATCACACAAAACTCATGCAAAAAAAAAAAATTAGTACATCTGTATAACTATGGGTTAGGCAATAGTTTCTTAGCAATGACAAAAACAAATGAAGTCCAAGAAATGCAAATAATTAAACTCTATCAAAATTAAAATTTTTGTACTTCAAAGGACACTAACAGAAAAAGTGAAAGGACTACTCACAGAAAAGAAAAAAGTATTGACACATTTAATACTTGAGAAGGAATTTTTAGCAAGAATAAGCATGCATATAATTTACGGTTCAATAATAAAAAGAAAAATAGCCAAATTAAAAAATGGGCAAAGGAAATAAACATGCATTTCACCAAAGAAAATATACCCATTAACAATATGTTAATGAAAAGATGCTTAACAAATAACCATTTGGGAAAAGACAAAATGAAATATTACTTCAAAACTAATAGTATGGTTAGAATCAAAAGGAGATGGTATATAAGCATCAGAGAAGATGGAGAAATGGGAAACTTATAAATTAAGAATAAAAATGTAGGCCAGGCACAGTGGCTCATGCTTGTAATCCCAGCACTTTGGGAGGCTGAGGTAGGTGGATCATATGAGGCCAGGAATTCAAGACAAGCATGGTCAACATGATGAAACCCTGTCTCTGCTAAAAATACAAAAAACAATTAGTCAGGCATGATGGTGTGTGCCTAAAATTCCAGATACTTGGGAGACTAAGGCAGGAGAATTGATTGAACCCAGGAGGCAGAGGCTGCAGTGAGGTGAGTTATCACCATTGCACTCCAACCTGATGACTCAGTGAGACTGTCTCAAAAAAAAAAAAAAAAAAGAAAATGTAAAATGATGTAGCCATTTGAAAATTAATCTGACAGTTCCTTAATAGAATAAACAATGAGGCCGGGTTCGGTGGCTTACACCTGTAATCCCAGCATTTTGGGAGGCCAAGCTGGATGAATTATTAGAGGTCAATAGTTTGAGACCAGCCTGGGCAACATGGTGAAATCTTTTCCCTACTAAGAACACAGGAATTAGCCACGCGTGGTGGTGCACACTTGTAGTCCCAGCTACTCAGGAAGCTGAGGGAGGAGAATTGCTTGAACTCAGGAAGTAGAGGTTACAGTGAGCCAAGATAGTACCACTGCACTCCAGCCTGGGCAACAAAGTGAGACTGTCAATAAAAAACAAACAAAAACCCCCCAGAGTAAACAATGAGTTATTACACCACATAATCTAGCATCTATACAAGGGAAATGAGGGTATATGTTCCCACACAAATACTGTTTATAAGTATTCATAATAGCATTACTCGGAATACCTACGAGGCAGAGCAGAAACAACCTAAATGTTCATAAACTGATGACAGAGTTCCTCCACCAAAAACGGTTTATACCCAGACAATGTAATATTGTCATTAAAAGAGAAGTGGTTTAGTGATACATGCTGCAAATGAATAGACCTTGAAAATCTTATGCTAAAAAATAAAAAAGAAACCAGTCAAAAAGACATGATATCATCCCATACACACACACACACTCAACACAGGCAAATCTACAGATATAAGCAGGCAGGTGGTTGCTTGAATTCTTGGAGTTGGGGGAAATGTGACTGTGGATGGTTATGGGCTTTCATTTGGGAATAAAAAAAATTTGTAAAATTTATTATGATAATGATTGCACACCTATGAGGTACGCTAAAAACCACTGAACTGTATACTTTATATGTGTAAACTGTATATTATGTAAATTATCTTGATGAAGCAGTATAAAAAGAAATAAAGGACAGGTGACATGAGCCCAAATGGTCAATGAAGAAGCCCCAAGCCCTCACACTTCCCTATGTAAAAAAATTTAAAACTACCTAATGTAGGGGCTGGGTGTGGTGGCTCACGCCTGTAATCCCAGCACCTTGGGAGGCCGAGGCGGACAGATCACGAGGTCAGGAGATCAACACCATCCTGGCTAACACGGTGAAACCCCGTCTCTACTAAAAATACAAAAAAGTTAGCCGGGTGTGGTGGCATGTGCCTGTGGTCCCAGTTATTTGGGAGGCTGAGGCAGGAGAATGGCGTGAACCCGGGAGGCGGAGCTTGTAGTGAGCTGAGATCACGCCACTGCACTGCAGCCTGGGTGACAAAGCGAGACTCTGTCTCAAAAAAAAAACCAAAAAAACAAAACAAAACTACCTAACATAACCTGATGGAATCTATGGAAAACAATCACAGATCTACAGCATCCAGGTAAACAACTTAGAAAAAGTCACACTCAAATCAGTGGGAAATACTATAGTGTTTTTTACTTGTGCTTGCCTCACTCCATCAAAGGCCTGGTACAGTGTTGCTACAAAAGAGGTGTCAATTTCGTTCCTAATTTGTTCCCTCAAAAGAGAGAACCTTATCTGTAACATTCTAATTCATCTAAGGACTGTCTAAAATACTGGTCTCTGTTTTGCCTAATACTAATGCTTCTCAAAAACTTTTTAAAAATTCAATTTACTGACTGGGCGCAGTGGCTCACACCTATAATCCCAGCACTTTGGGAGGCCGAGACGGGCAGATCACGAGGTCAGGAGATCGAGACCATCCTGGCTAACACAGTGAAACCCCATCTCTACTAAAAACACAAAAAATTAGCCAGGAGTGGTGGTGGGCACCTATAGTCCCAGCTACTCGGGAGGCTGAGGCAGAAGAATCGCTAGAACCTGGGAGGCGGAGCTTGCAGTGAGCCGAGATCATGCCGCTGCACTCCAGCTTGGGTGACAGAGTGAGACTCCATCTCACCAAAAAAAAAAAAAAAAAAAATTCCATTTATCATGCTCAGAGCCTAGATTTATCATGAGACCCTGGACAAAGACACTGTAAGAACACAACAATGTATCTTATAAATAGTAACGCAAAAATAATAACGAAATATTAGTAAGATGAATTCAGAAACACGTTATAGAAAGTTTGTATGTAATGAACTAGTGGGTTTTCCTCCTGAAATTCTTGAATGATTAACAACATATTAAAATCAGTCAATTTAACACACATTAATAAAATGAAGAAAAAACTCACATGATCATCTCAACTGATAAGAAATACAATTTCACAAAATTCAATATCCTTATATATGAGAAAAATATTCTACAAACTAGGCACAAATGGTAAGGTCTTCAACATAATAAAGGCCATATATGAAAAACACATAACTTTGAACCTAGGAAGGACTGACAGCTTTTCTTCTAAGATCAAGACCAAGATAAGGACTTACAGTTTGGAAAACTAAATACTGTTAACATGTCAATATTACCAAAAGTGACCCACAGATTCAATGTAACCTCTATCAAAATACCAACAACAATTTTTGCAGGATTAAAAAATTCATCTTGGCTGGGCACAGTGGCTCACGCCTGTAATCTCAGCACTTTGGGAAGCCAAGGTGGGCAGATCATGAGGTCAGGAGATCCAGACCACCCTGGCTAACACGGTGAAATCCCGTCTCTACTAAAAATACAAAAATATTAGGTGGATGTGGTGGCACAGGCGGTAATCCCAGCTACTCGGGAGGCTGAGGCAGGTGAATGGCATGAACCCAGGAGGCAGAGCTTGCAGTGAGCCGAGATCGCACCACTGTGCTCTAGCCTGGGCGACAGAGTGAGACTCCGTCCCCAAAAAAAAAAAAAATTAATCTTAAGGAAGTTCAATAGAAAAATGATCTTGAAAAACACTACTTGACTTAAAACCATACTATAAGGTTACATACAGTAACCAAAACAGTATGGTACTGCTGTTTTGACACATTGTCAGACCAACTGAGCAGAACAGAAAACACAGAAATAAAGCCATAGACCTACAACTGTTAATCTTCAACAACACCGATAAAAATGAGCAATGCGGCCGGGCGCGGTGGCTCACGCCTGTAATCCCAGCACTTTGGGAGACCGAGGCGGGCGGATCACGAGGTCAGGAGATCGAGACCATCCTGGCTAACACGGTGAAACCCCGTCTCTACTGAAAATACAAAAAATTAGCCGGGCGTGGTAGCGGGCGCCTGTAGTCCCAGCTACTCGGGAGGCTGAGGCAGGAGAATGGCGTGAACCCGGGAGGCGGAGCTTGCAGTGAGCCGAGATCGCGCCACTGCACTCCAGCCTGGGCGACAGAGCAAGACTCTGTCTCAAAAAAAAAAAAAAAAGAGCAATGCAGAAAGGACTCCCTATTCAACTAACAGTGCTGGGTGGAATAACTTGCTAGCCACACACAGAGAATGAAACTGGATCCTTACCTTTCACCACATATAAAAATTAACTCAAGATGGACTAAATATTTAAATGTACGATGTCAAACTATAAAAAAAGAAAACCTAGAAAATACCCTTCTCAACGCTGGTTTTGCAAAACAATTTTTAACTATGTCCCTAAATGCAACTGCAACAAAAATGAAAATTGATAAGTGGGACCCAATTCAGGTATGGAGCTTCAGCACAGCAAAATAAACAAACAAAAACTATCAACAGAGTAAACAGACAAGCTACAAAATGGGATAAATTATTGGTGAACTATGCATCTGACCAAGGTCTAATATCCAGAATCTACAAAGAACTTAACAAATCAACAAGCAAAAAACAAATGACCGCACTAAAAAATGGACAAAGGTTATGAAAAGGGTATGTCTACTAAAAAGAGGACATTACAGGGCCGGGCGCGGTGGCTCACGCCTGTAATCCCAGCACTTTGGGAGGCCGAGGCGGGCGGATCACGAGGTCAGGAGATCGAGACCATCCTAGCTAACACAGTGAAACCCCGTCTCTACTAAAAAATACAAAAAATTAGCCGGGCGTGGTGGCGGGCGCCTGTAGTCCCAGCTACGCGGGAGGCTGAGGCAGGAGAATGGCGTGAACCCGGGAGGCGGAGCTTGCAGTGAGCCGAGATCGCGCCACTGCACTCCAGCCTGGGCGACAGAGCGAGACTCCGTCTCAAAAAAAAAAAGAGGACATATAATTTGTTTTCTGCTAGGAGAAAAAAAAAAAAAACATACAAGTGGCAGCCAAAAAATGGGAAAAATGTGGCTGGGCATGGTGGCTCATGTAATTGCAGCACTTTGGGAGGCTGAGGCGGGCGGGTCATCTGGGGTTGGGAGTTTGAGACCACCCTGACCAATGTGGAGAAACCCTGTCTCTACTAAAAATACAAAATTAGCGGGGTGTGGTGGCACATGCCTGTAATACCAGCTACTCGGGAAGCTGAGGCAGAAGAATCGCTTGAACCTGGGAGGGGGTTGCAGTGAGCTGGAGATCGTGCAATTGCACTCCAGTCTGGGCAACAAGAATGAAAGTCCGTCTCAGAAAAAAAAAAGGAAAGTGTTCAATCATCACTAATTATCAAAGAATTGCAAATCAAAATCGCAATGAGATACTATCTCACATTAGTCAGAATGACTACTATTAAAAATAGCCAAAAACAAAAACAAAAACAAAAAAACCCAACACATGCTGGCGAGGATGTGAAGAAAATGGAAGGCTTATACGCTGTTCATGGGTATATAAATTAGTTTAGCCACTGTGGAAAGCAGTTTGGAGAATTCTCAAAGAACCTAAAATAGAGCTACCATTTGACCCAGCAATCTCATTACTGGGTATCTACCCAGTGGAAAACAGAGCATTCTACAAAAATAGACATGCACTCTTTTGTTCATCATCATTGCGCTATTCACAATAGCAAATGTGGCAAGCCAGGTCTCATTAACAGCTGAACAGGCAGGCCTCCATCACAACTGTTTCAGCACTGACTGAGTGGTTAATTTAAATGTTAAAAGCTGAAAGAGTCAGTGCCCTCACATAAAGGCTGGAATGTAACAAAAGTCCATCAAGAGTTTTGCCCAGGCCTTTTCTGGGCCTTGTAGATAACAAGATAACAAATTCTTAACAGAATCTGTTTAGGATTAAATGAGTTTTGATTGGGGATCTGAAGAAACTCCCCAGACCTACACAAACAAGTTTTATTGGTGGTCTAAAGAAACTCCCTAAACCTCCACGATTTAGCAGGAAACAGGATAAAGGTCTTCAGCACCTGGACACATCTAGATTAAGTAAATTTACTGAGGCTCCAGAGGAAGGTCTTCAAAACTGAGACCCCTCGGTTATAAATTAGAAGCTGTTGATCACTTATGAGTTTAGATGAATGCACACTACACATTGACATATAACTTAGAAAGTATAAGCTCTAGAATACTTTGTAATTTTCCTGGCTTTTTCCCTGTACCCGGTTACTTCAGAAATAAATGCTCTTCTTTCCCAGTTTATCTGCATCTCATTACTGGCCCATGAGAATAAGCAGCCCAATCATCGGTTTCGTCTGGGAACACAAAGACATAAAATCAACTTAGGTGCTCATCAGTGTTGGATTGGATAAAGAAAATGTGGTGTATACAGACAATGGAACACTATGGAGTCAAAAAAAGAACAAAATGATGTCCTTTGCAGCAACATGGATGTAGCTGGTGGCCATAATTCTAAGTGAATTTACTCAGAAACAGAAGACCAAGTGTTGCAGTTTCTCCCTTATAAGTGGGAGCTAAACACTGAGTACATATGGACATAAATGTGAGCTAGATGTGAGAGGAAAGGAGGTGGGGCATGAGCTAAAAACTACTTATTGTGGGGTACTATGTTCACCTCCTGGGAGTATTAAACCCAAGTGACAAATCTGCACATAAACCCTCTGTCTTTAAAATAGAAGATGTATTTTACAAATAAAGAAAGGGCCAGGCGCAGGTGGATCACGAAGTCAGGAGATTGAGACCATACTGGCTAACACAGTTAAACCCCGTCTCTACTAAAAATACAAAAAATTAGCTGGAAGTGGTGGCGGGCACCTGTAGTCCCAGCTACTCAGGAGGCTGAGGCAGGAGAATGGCCTGAACCCAGGAGGTGGAGCTTGCAGTGAGCCGAGATTGTGCCACTGCACTCCAGCCGGGGTGACAGAGCAAGACTCTATCTCAAGAAAGAAAATGAACAAAAACGAACACTTCTTAATTTCAAAATTTAATACAATACTATAGCAATCAAAATAGTGTAGTAGTAACATAAAGACAGACATACGGACCAATAAAAGAGAACACAGAATCAAGACAAAAACTCTTGTGTGATTTTTGACGAGACTGCCAAGACCATTGAGCAGGAGAAAGGTCAGTCTTCTGAACAAATGGGATTGGAAAAACGAGATATTTACATGCAAAAAACCAAAGTTGGTTCTTTATCTTGGATCACATACAAAATTAACTTGAAATAGATCAGAGACTCAAACGTAAGAGTTAAAACTATAAAATTGTGAGAACAAGAGAAAATGCTGTGACATGGTATTCGGCCATGATTTCTTAAACTTCAAAAGAATGTGTCAACAAAGTAAGTAAATAAACTGGACTTCACAAAAATTAAAAATTTATCAAATGACACTATTACCAAAACAGCAAAATTACAATAAACAAAATTGGAGAAAATACTTGTAAAACATTGTAAATCATTGCAAATACTTGTAAATTCTCTTGGGCAACGCCAGTGGGAATTAACATGGTGCGGGCACTGAGCAGAACAATATAGTCGTCCTTTAAAAAGTTCAGCAAGTAATTACCACACAATCCAGCGGCTGTAGAGACTAGAACACGTAATTTACATCAATTTTCAGAGCAGCTGTACTCAACACAGTAACTCAAATGTGCATAGATAAACAAAATGTGGTACATACTTAATGGAGTTACTATTCAGTCATAAAAAATAGTAAAATTATACTGCTAAAAACACAGATGAACCTGCCCAAGAAAGCCAGATATGAAAGGACAAATACTTTATGATCCCACTTACATGAGCAACCCAGAATTTGTGAAACGTATTTTGAAAGAATGTGAAAAAGAGATGACAGGGCGCAGTGGCTCACACCTGTAATCCCAGCACTCTGGGGGACCAAGGCAGGGAGATCACCTGAGGTCGAAAGTTTGAGACCAACTTGACCAACGTGGAGAAACCCCGTCTTTACTAAAAATACAAAATTAGCTGGGTGTGGTGGCGCATGCCTGTAATCCCAGCTACTGGGGAGGCTGAGGCAGGAGAATAGCTTGAAGCCAGGAGGCAGAGGTTGCAGTGAGCTGAGATCACACCATTGCACTCCAGCCTGGGCAACAAGAGCAAAACTCCATCTCAAAAACAAATAACAACAAAAAAACAAAACAGAGATTATTAAGGGGTTGGGGAGGAAACTGTAAAAGGAAACTATCTTATTACTAAGCTAAAGGGAAAAGTCCAGCTGGGAACTGCTTAGGACAATTCTGCCTCCCATTCTATTCAAAGCCACCCCACTGCTCACCGAGATAAATGTATATCTGACTGCCTCCTTTGGAGAGGCTAATCAGGAACTCAAAAGAATACAACCATTTTTTCTCTTACCTACCTATGGCCTGAAGACCACCTCCCCAGAAATGAGTTGTCCCTCATTTCCACACCTAACCAATGGTTCATCTTACATATATTGATGTTTCATGTCTCCCTAAAATGTACAAAACCCAACTACCCTCATCACCTTGGGCATATGTCGACAGGACCTCCTGAGGCTGTGTTATGGGTGTGTGTCCTCAATCTTGGCAAAATAAAACCTTCTAAATTAAATTAACTGAGACCTCTCTTGAGATTTTTGGGGTTCATACTGAGGTAACCAAAGAGGGATTTTGAGTGGAGGTGCCTCTGACCTTTCACGAATCTCCTACTGGTGCTTGGTACCAGCTTAAGCTATCTTTATGCACTATACCAACACGACAATTCGCTGAGGCATGGAAGAAGCCCCTCCAGAGAATCCCTGATCTCCCAAAATTTGTTCGAGATCCGAAGTTTATTTTGCTGTACAACTTATTTTATTTTATTTTGAGTTTTACTTGCTTCTAACACAAGGAAGGCATGCCTTTCCTGCTTCCATGATGATGGAAGGCAGGTAACTCCTTTATGGAGTTTGTATTCTCTTCCAACAGGGAAGATGAGTTGTTCTTCGTTTTCTTTTCTTTTTTTTTTAACCCGCTTCTAGGATGGTATAGAGCAATTATCAGCCTGAGACCCACCCATAGGTAAGTAACTGAACTGTGGTTTGCTTTGGCTAAAGATTAACAACCAGCTGGTCTTAATTTCTCCTTACCATCAGAGCACTCAGTAATCATATAAACTGTGTGATCATTTGTTTTGCTTAACTGTTTTGTTGTTGTTTGTTTCTGTTTTTGTTGTTTTTTCGGTCTTTTTCCCACTGGATTTGATCAACTCTATATGACTTGATCAAATCCAAAGGAAGTTCCAAATTGTGGGGAAAAAAAGCCTCTGAAGTGACTAAATTCCCACGGGACAGACAGAGAGAAAAAAAAAGATGGCGCGGTAGAGGAAGAAAAACGGCTAGCAAAAGGAAAAAGAAAAAGAGGAGAAACTCTTTTGATTTTGGCTACTATAGGGCTTTGTTGATGTAAAAGTCCACCTTTTTGCAAGCCAGGCCAAAAGGACAGAGCAATGGCTGTATTTCTGAAATAGCAGCAGTTTGCCCTATTTGAAATATCGTAATGAGATTTTAAAAGATTTTTTTTTAGATGGAAGTTTGCTCCATCACCCAGGCTGGATTGCAGTGGCACAGTCTCGGCTCACTGCAACCTGCGCCTCCTGGTATCAAGTGATTCTCCTGCCTCAGCCTCCTGAGTAGCTGACATTACAGGCACATGATACCATGCCCGGCAAATTTTCGTATTTTCAGTAGAGATGGGGTTTTGCCATGTTGGTCAGGTTGGTCTTCAAATCCTGACCTCAGGTGATCTGCCTGCCCTGTCCTCCCAAAGTGCTGGGATTACAGGCATGAGCCAACACACCCGGCTGCTTGTGTGCTCTTTAATAAAGAAGACACTGGTATTAGTTTAATAAAAATAGTTACATCTTGAATTTAGTAAGACTGCCATAACTTCTAATCTTTTGGCTTCAAGCAGTCCACAGGTAGTAGGGCTTACTTTAGAAAAGAGATGTTACTGTTTTTGTTTCAAAGTTAAACTATAAACTAACTTCCTCCAAAGTTAGTTTGGCCTACACCCCAGGAATGAACAAGGACAGTGTGGAGATTAGAAGCAAGATGGTGTCAATTAGGCGAAATCTTTTTCACTGTCTCCATTATAATTTTGCAATGGTGGTCTCATAACTTTAAATAATTACAGTTGTGGTTTTTATAAATAATCTAGCTAAACAATTAAAGTAACTGTAATAGGATAAATACTTGCAGACAAATTTGTCAAAATTTAGAATCTAAAGTTAAATTAAATAACATGTTTTATTATTTGCTTATTTTCCAATAAAAATATATTTGTAGGAAAATATCCATTCTAGAAAAAAGGGTGTCTTTTTAAAAAGGTGAACAATTTTTTATCTGATTCAAAGCTTAGGTTATGTATAAAACAAAGTAAGCCGGGCACGATGGCTCACACCTGTAATCCCAGCACTTTGAGAGGCCGGGCAGGTGGATCACCTGAGGTCAGGAGTTCAAGACTAGCCTGGCCAACATGGTGAAAACCCGTCTGTACTAAAAATATAAAAATTATCAGGGCATGATAGTGTATGCCTGTAATCCCAGCTACTTGGGAAGCTGAGGCAGAAGAATTGCTTGAACCTGGAAGACAAAGGCTGCAGTGAGCCAAGATCGTGCCATTGCACTCCAGCCTGGATAGCAGAGTGAAACTGTCTCAAATAATAATAATAATAATAATAATAGTAATAATAGTAATAATAATAATAATAATAATAATAATAATGTAAAAGGAACCAGCAAATAAAAGAGGTAAAAAGAAATTTTATAAAAATAAAGAGATTTTGTTTTGGTAAGAAAGCTTAAAGAGAAATAATTTCATATGAGAAAGAATCTTGTATGGTAAATTTAGTCCTAAGTAAAACAACTGGTTGTTTAAGAAAGAGGGATGTTCAGGATAAACCAGAGAGTGAAGTATATCACGACCCATCTGCATAAGTCACAATAAGAGGATTTATTAAAACAAACAAACAAACAAAAAAAACCCAACTTTCATATGATCAAGTTGTCTATGATTAAACGGAAATTACAATGGTCTTTCTAGAGATTGGGTTTGATATAAAAAAACAAAAAACACTTATACATTAAAGGATTGGTTTGTAAAACAATGAAATTTTCATAAGGGGTTGACTTACTCTTAATAAATTATAAGAGATTTTTAACTCAAAGTTCAACTTCTATTGCATCTTGCTTGTTTTGGTTTTCTATCCCCTTTTAAAAGGCAAAATTAGGCTAGGCGCAGTAGCTTACACCTATAATCACAGCACTTTGGGAGGCTGAGGCGGGCGGATCACGAGGTTAAGAGATCAAGACCATCCTGCCACCATGTGAAGCCCCATCTCAGGTAAAAATATAAAAATTAGCTGGGTGTGATGGTGCATGCCTGTAGTCTCAGCTACTCGACTGGCTGAGGCAGAAAAATTGAACCTGGGAGGTAGAGATTGCAGTGAGCTGAGATCATGCCATCACACTGCAGCCTGGGGACAGAGTGAAACTCCATCTCAACCACCACCACCAACACCAACAACAAAGGCACATAATAGTAATACTCCCCTTCAATTCATTTTCAGCTCAGACAAGTTTGTTTTTCTTCTGAAATTTTCTTCTGAGGGTTCTGTTTGTTGTGGTCTGATGCTAACAATGTATTCTTAAAGATCTAAAGAAAATGTTTTTTTCCAACAGAATATTCTGTGACAGGAACAGAGGTCGTTTCTTTTGCCTTTTGGTAACTGGCCTAACAGAGTTTACATTTTATCAAAATAATTCCTATGCCATTATTATTAAGTTTGGTTTGCTTAGGAAAAACTGAGATTAGAAACAAGTTTCTTTAAATTAAGGTTATATGTCCTTGTATCTTGCTGTATGTGCTTTTAAAGTCTTTGTGATGTTGAGTTATAGAGCTTTGACTCCTGGTCTAAAAACAGAGTCCTGCTGAGGCTTAAACACTGAAGCCTCATCTTCAAGCTGGTAAAAGATGCCAACCAAAATAAACTGCATTCCTGAGAAACAGGTCCAGAAATTAAAGCTATTCAACTCCTGAAGGCCCAAGGACTATTGCAAAAGAGGTATGTGAGATTTTAAGGGACAATTTTGAAAGATAAGAGAAACTCAGTTCCTGTATAAATTAACCATTAATGTCAAAGACACACTGATACAAGACTAGCATATGTGCCCTATGTCAGATTAACAAGGATTTCTTGAAGCATTAACCATCTCCTTAAGAAAGATTATAAAGGAGTATGGAATTTATAACAAGATCAAAATGAAAATTATACAGATTGTTTATAAAATTTTGGATAACAAATTTAATTGGTTTCATGCTGTTTTTATAAGGGCTCATTGTTTGTAAAGTTAAGTATCCTCAATCAAATAATGAAGGTTTCACCTTTTTTTTAAAAAAATTATTGAGTTATCACTCTGGTTAAATTAATGATTTATTTTACAATGACCTCTGATCCTATTTTGTAATATCAAGTACTTTAAATCTTTAATATCTGACAAATTTTCCAATATCAAATGATAACTTCTGTCTTTTTCTGACCTAATTAGTCCTTTAAAATATTAATAGGTTTCCTAACATCCAAAAACGACATATTTGGCTTATTTGGCGTAAGAATTCTATAGGAAGCATTGTCAAATATAAAATGGTGCTTGGCTTTCTTGGGGCTGCATTTGTTATGGTGTTCCAAAATTATGGGAAACTCCTATAATTCTGTTATGTGTAAATGTACATTATTAGTAACACTTATAATAGTTATGTTAAATTATTGTGTGCCACAGAGATAACACATTTTCTTGTCAATTGTGTCTTTGACTATGACTGCTCTAAAACTTTTAGTCATCCACAGACAATTGTTGTCTTTATTTGGTCCTCTTTAGAAGGTTGTTTTATAATCAGCTATAAACTCTAACAGGTGCTCTTGAATGCAAGTTTCTGATAACTTGGAGACTGTGACATGAGAATACAGAAAAAACTTTCAGGATTCATGGAGAGCTGAAATGTTTGTGAATATCAAGCAGAACAGGAATTACCTGCATGGACTAAACTAATAGAATTCGAAGTAATCTTTTAAACTCTTTGCTTAAAATGTTGCTGATCCTTTGTTTCTCAGAGTCAAGAAAACTTTCAAGTTAACAATTGAGTACTCTTATGAAGAAAATTTGCAGCAAATTTGTTTCTGATTTCTCCAAAATTTGAAAACTATTTGAAAGTATTCTTAACAATTATGGCAATACAATTATTTGCATAAGTGAAATAAAAATGTTTTCATTGTTAAGAGGACACAATGGAAGAAACTGGTTATTTTACCAAGGCTTTGACTGAAATGGTGTGCTTTCCTTAAAGGAGTCAAATGTGACTTATGGAGTCAATAAAATTCCCTTGGGAAATCTGGCCTCATACCTTTTTCTGCATGGTCCCTGTAGAGAGTTACTGTCCTGTGGTAAGTAAAGAATGTCACTTTCTGACAGGCCTAGGAGCCCCAATATTATCTTGGAAAATCAAGAGTAGAGGAATTCAACCAACTCATAGGTATTAATAGCACAAATGCAAGGCTGGGCTCAGCTTTAAAAAAGTCTTAGCTGAGACTACTTCTATGAAACAAAGTTCCGTCAAAGCCAATTAAAAAAAGAAGCCTATTGGAAAAATAACTATTCTTGTGGCACTTTATACAAATAATATCGCCAAATAGAATAAAGAAAATAGATCCTACCATGATTTGTCTTTAATGGGAAATTGGAGAAAGAAAAAATGTTTCAAAAACGATAGTAAACCTGTTGCTAGAGTCTAGTATTGCCAAATTTTTAAATAGGAATAAACCATCCTAGCCATGAAAGATCAGACAAAACCTGACACCAGAGACTCATTTTCTTCTGAAATGCTTTCTCCAAAATATTTTTTGTTTTTAATGAGGGAAATGTGAAAGGAAAATATCTTGGGTACGTGAAATCACTATGCTAAAGGGAAAGGTCAAGCTGGGTACTGTTTAGGGCAAACCTGCCTCCATTCTATTTAAAGTCACCCCTCTATTTACTGAGCCAAATGTACACCTGATTGCCTCCTTTGGAGAGGCTAATCATAAACTCAAAAGAATACAACCATTTGTCTCTTACCTACCTGTGGCCTGGAAGACCCCTCACTACTTTGAGTTGTCCCACCTTTCTGGACTGAACCAATGTTCATCTTATATATGTTGATTAATGTCTTATGTCTCCCTAAAATGTAAAATCAAACTGTGCTCTGACCACCTTGGGGAAATGTCGTCAGGACTTCTGGAGGCTGTGTCACATGAACACATCCTCAACCTTGGCAAAATAAACTTTCTAAATTATCTGAGACCTGTCTCAGATTTTCATGGTTCATTAACTAATGATGAGTTATTGTTTCATGGGGTCAGAGTTTCAGTTTCAGATGATAAAAAGGTGCTCCAGATGCATAGTGGTTTTGGCTGCACAATAACATGAATAACCAATGCCACGGAATTTAACAAAAATTGTTAAATCATTACTTTTCTGTTTACCATATAATAAAAAATCCTAAAAATATACTATTTTCACAGCAGAATCAGATTCCTGTGATATCAATGTGATGAAAACATAAAATGAGGTCAGAATTTTAAACATTTTCTGGAGGTCAATGATATTAACAAATTATAAATTTGAAACTTTCAACAACATATTTTTCAGCCATAAAACTTTCATTAAGTTTTAAGGAACAGCTTTATAAAAAAGTTAGTTTTCTACATTCTTTCATCTGATATAGTAAAATGCAGTTCGATTTTATAATTTCATTTATTTTCTTTTTTTGAGATGAAGTCTCACTCTGTCAACCAGGCTGGAGTGCAGTGGCACAATCTCAGTTCACTGCAACCTCTGCCTCCTGGTTTCAAGTGATTCTCCTCCCTCAGACTTAAGAGCAGCTTGGAATACAGGCACCCGCCACCACACAGGGCTAATTTTTGTATTTTTGTAGAGATGGGTTTTACCATGTTGGCTAGGCCGGTCTTGAACTCCTGACCCCAAGTGATCCGCCTGCCTCAGCCTCCCAAATTGGTGGTTTTACAGGCATGAGCCATTGCACCTGGCCAAATTTGTAATTTAAAGGGGCCATATTAAGAACAAACAATTCAAACAAATATTTGAGAAATATAATTGTGGTTGCATATGCTTAACTATTTTCTTAATTTTTTTGAAAAAATTCAAAAACTCTTATTTCTAACAATTCTGTTTCTCCTCATTTACTATTAGGTGTTTTACTAACCACTGTCCTGTTTAAGATACTGTTTTTCAATTTTCCATGTATTTTTGACACATTTCTGTAAATTTCTTCTACAATTGTTTTAGAGATGACAAGTAATAGAGGAAGACTGCTAATGCTTCCAAAGAAAAATTATCCAGATAAAGTAAAATATGAACATCTCTTCATGGCTGAGTAAATACCTGAGCTGACCAGATAATTTTCTTCATATTAAGTATCATTCTGCAAACAGTAAGTAGGCTTAGTTTATCATTAAAATAAAAAATTCCAAAAATAAGGTAGATGTAAAGTAGGAACTTTATTTCTCCATTAGCAATGTGTGTTTTACATACTGTAATTTTGCTTACATTTTTAAAAGTTTACCGGGCATGGTGGCTCACACCTGTAATCCCAGCACTTTGGGATGCTGAGGCAAGCAGACCACCTGAGGTCAGGAGTTCAAGACAAGCCTGGCCAACATGGTGAAACCCTGTCTCTACAAAAATACAAAAATTAGTTGGGCATGATGGCAGGTGCCTGTAATTCCAGCTATTCGGGAGGCTGAGGTGGGAGAATCGCTTGAACCCAGGAGGCGGAGGCTGCAGTGAGCTGAGATCACACCATTGCATTCCAGCCTGGGTGAGAGAGAATGAGACTCTGTCTCAAAAACAATAAAAAATAATAAAATAAAATAAAAGTTTAATAATCTATGAGCACTTTAAAAACATACTATTAACAGTATGCACTAGACAATAATTATGAAAGTAATATGCACTATTAAAAAATAGCAACAATTAAAAAAGGAAGAAAGAAAAACTTACTCTCAATGATTCCTGGAAGGAGGAAGCCTGGTATTGTGCGTATTTGGCAATTGTAGTATGAGATCTATTGCTTTCACAACGCCAGATTTTCTTTGTTCCAGTGGGATCCCAGTTTTCATCTGCTGGTTGCAGCAACTGTGTCCTCACTTCTACCATATGTTCATTGTTAGCTTCTACCAAAGTTTTGGTAGAGAAAAGTCCAAGATCTTTAAAAATAATAAGTTTTGTTAATCAGTAAAGTTGTATTCAGTTCAATTAAAATGTCAAAGTATTTTTAAAAACTTTATCAGTTTCCCTTAAGAGGGCTCCAACCATTTGGTATCAGAGTTACACAGCAGGTCCTTGAAGCTCTGGCTATATAACCATCATGTCAGGGTGTAGAGGGTGGCAACATTTATAAACATAATCTAATTTTACTTATATTTAATACTCAGAACTTCTTCAACTATGTAACCTAAATATTGTATGTTGGATAATGATACCAAATATAAATCTAAAATAAAAATCCACCACAATATTATGTTTCAAAAACAATAGTAAACCTGTTGCTAGAGTCTAGTATTGCTGAGTATTTTTCATAATAGGGATAAACCATCCTAGCATGAAAGATCAGACAAAACCTGACACCGGAGACTCATTTTCTTCAAGTGCTTTCTCCAAAAGTTTTTTTTTTTTTAAAAAGGGGAAATGTGAAAGGAAAATATCTTGGGTACCTGAAATCACTATCCTAAAGGGAAAGGTCAAACTGGGTACTGCTTAGGGCAAACCTGCCTCCATTCTATTCAAAGTCACTCCTCTGTTTACTGAGCTAAATGTATATCTGTTATTATCCGTATATATCTGTATATGATATCTATATTATCACTTGCATCAGTGCTAAAGATGCTTGCTCATGCACAAGAGGTATAAAATTGAGTGAGAAAGAAAGATAACACACATTAAAATAAAGACTCAGAATGTTGGGGGAAAAAATCAGTGAGTTTCTGTCAGTGTTATAAAAGTTTAAAGATAGTAAAATATATATTCAATCTTGGTTTTAAGCTTACCTAATTTAAGAGCTCCAGCAAGGCCACGTATTACTGTAACAGGGTTTTTTGGATTTGTACAAAATTGATGTAATGGAGGAAAGAAAGCATCACGTTTATTTTCCAACTGTAAAAGCAAAATATTTTGTTAGGTCTCAGATAAATGACAAAATATACCTCAGATTTGTGCCTTTAATAAAATGATTAAATACAATACTTCAAATTTGTGAGTTTTTTTCCATCAATCTGGCTATTAAAAATCTGCAGTGCATCCTAACCTTTGATATTATGTTGCTACATATTACAGTATTGTATCATTTGTCTTGTCAGGAAAGTGTGGAGGTAATAGCTAAAAAAAACCCTCTCTTTTAAAAATTACATTTTAAATTTGATTCACTTTAAAACTGTTACCTATCTCTTATACCACAGTGATTTATAAAATTCTTTTAAATTAGTTGAGTTGTTCGAAAGTATTTCCCAAGCATATTTTTTGAGTTATCTTCTATTGCTTCTTAAATGAGACAACAGGTAGAAGAGACATTTAAAGTTTAAAATCAAACTGTTTTATAAACTATTAACAAAACTTTTAGAGAATAAAAACCACAACAGGCAAACCTTAAATTTGTATTTATTGCCTCAAAGTTTCAACTGAAACGCTTATTTTTAGTCTCTCTTCCATGACTCTTCTAATACCATCGTCAATAAATTTCAACTAGGTAAAAAATTAATATTGAACATCTGTCCAAAGAAAGGCCAGTATCTCCAAAATCCTCTCGTACAGATCTGTTTCGAGATCATTCTAATTACTGTATCTTCATATTTTAGGTTAAGATTCTTTAACTTGTGAAGGAGAATGAAAAAGTTGGGTGACACAAACTCTTCAGAAGGAAAAATACATAAAAATTATTTTGATGAAAGCCACAGCAGCTTTATCAAATGCTTACGTTGCTAAATAGTAAAAAAAGCCACTTAAATTCCAATGGAAATTTTATACCCACATGTATTTATGTAAAACTTTTAAATAACATGTATTCATAATCACTTTTATATCCTCAACCAGTTTTTATGAAGCTAGAAAAAAATTCCTTTATTAAAGAAATGTAACATTCAACAGGTATACATAACTAGCAGTGTCAGAATTCAGATTTAGAACCATGTTTACTAAAAGCTTACCCTGGAACAATTATCTTTTGCTACTCTCATATAATCCCAGTCAATATTTGAGAAGGCCTTAATTTTTCTAGACAAAATCTGTTTGCATATCTGGTGGTCAAGAACCTTTTCTGTCAAAGGCCAGATAATAAATATTTTTGGCTTTATGGGCAACCTAGTCTCTTTAGCAAACTCTGTCAATGTACTGCAAATGCAATCATAAAGACAGTAACTAAATAAATAAGCATAGTTATGTTCCAATAGAATTTTATTTTCAAAAGCAGGTTGGTGGGCAGCACTTCGAGTAAGAGCATTCATTTGTTAAGTGCCCTGAAATATAAACATGTTCTTCTGAAATATTAAACCTTTGAGAGTAAAGTCTATGCTCCCTAAGGCAATCTGGCTTGATTTAAAGAATACATCGATTTTCTACAAGACACATTAGTTCAGACTCTCGATTTATTTATAAGTTACTCAATGCGGACTCACGTAAATACTAGGTGTGGGTGGATTCAACTTGTCCTTTGGCAAGGGTGGGTATGGTGAAGTTGGTGGTCTTGGAGGTGGACATTTATCTAACAAAATGCAGCTATTAGACAAGCCATTTTTACCTGGATTCCTTTAAAAAGAAGCAGAAGAAATGTATCAGTTACATATTTATTTTAAAACTAGAAAAAAAAGAAAATCTGAATTAAAAGTCAGGCATAAGGCATTCACTAAAATACAAACAGTGTAAGATATTCAGATCCATTAAACAAAAAATTGAGGACTATTAAATTTCAGCAGATGTGTTATAAAAGCTAAACAAAATATACTACACAGAGTGCATGAGCTAAACAAAATACACTACAGAGTACATAAAGTGTTGACAAAATTCCTCGTTATTCATTTTCCAATTTGCTTTCTCATATCAAACATTAATATAAACTCAAATTTCTCTCCAACATGTGCCACCGTTAAATGTTCTCCATAAAATGATAAAACAGTTGATCAAGAAGTGATTTACGTATCCTTAATATCATAGTATATCTCCTTTCTGACACTGCATCTTAGTAATTATTTCTAGAATACCATTGTGACAACTTTCAAATCCAGAAAGCTCATTAGTTTCATCCTCAAGACTTGTTTTCTGTGGAATTAGCAAATAATGAGATTCCATTTACTAAACTTTCACATCTTATAATTTTAAGTGAAGTGTGTAGTTGCTCTGTGTTGTCACACTGTTCATAATCATTACTTAACAGTATTTGGATTTTTCCTTTAATGAAAGGTATAGTATTTGTTAAATTATTAATATAAATTCTTAAAATATGGTAAAATTACTTCCATAATCCAATTCTTCTTTTAGTATGCAAATAAGAAGTATATTCCTAAACCTTAATATTTTAACAAATTCAGAAAATTGGCAAGCCTTTCAAATTATTCAAGCTGTCTCACCTAATTATTAAAATTCTAAAATAATCAATGCATTAAAATATCAAAGGAATGAGCTCTTAAAAATGTTAATATTTCAGACAAAAATCTGAAAACTCTGTTTTGGAAAGTAAAAAATACATTACATCAGTAACCGCATTTATTTCAGAATCAATTATGTTTTTATTTCAATATATAGAATAATAAAAGCTGAAGCAAAAGCTTGTTTTGCTTTATTTTCCTACACAGAAAAAAACTTTCAAGTCATGCCTCTGTGGTTGGACTAATAAAAATGAAACTTTGAAATGCAACATATACACTTTTAAGATGTCATAGTAAACAGCTGTTAGGGTGTATAACCTTTTTAAACAACTAAAAAGGTCTTATGCATTTTTAAGTTATGAATTAGGTTAGAAATTTGACTTCTCTATTTTTTAAATAAAAAATGTGCAAATATCTATTAAACATTTACATTTAACTACCTATTACATTCTAAAGTAGTATCTAGATTTCAGTCTCTCTCCACAAAGCATAATGACCCATAGGTTTAGTTATAAATGATACATGTTAAGCTTTAAAACTTAAATACGGAACTGAACCTAATTCATAAACTCCTTAGAATTTCTGTTTTAAACACATAGAATATACTTTGTGAAGAGACAATTCAAGTATTCTCACTATACCAGTACTTAATTGTACTAAATTTGGTGAAGTATTTAATTGTACTAGAAATTTCTTTATGTTAATTTCTTGTAGTATCAAAAATTATTTGAACAACCACCTCCGTAAAAAAAGAGACTATGCAGGGTGCGGTGGCTCACGCCCGTAATCCCAGCACTTTGGGAGGCAGAGGTGGGCGGATGACCTGAGGTTGGGAGTTTGGGACCAGCCTGACCACGATGTAGAAACCCCATCTCTACTAAAAATACAAAATTAGGTGGGTGTGGTGGCGGTGGCCTGCAATCCCAGCTACATGGGAGGCTGAGGCGGGAAAATCACTTGAACCTGGGAGGCAGAGGTTGCAGTGAGCCGAGACAGTGCCATTGCACTCCAGCCTGGCTGACAAGAACGAAACTCTGTCTGAAAAACAAAACAAAACAAAAACAACAACAACAACAACAAAACAATAAGACTAAGAAATTGGGATTTACTGTAGAATTCTGTTGTTGTAATTTCTACAGTCTATAAAAGAAAAAACAGTGGATATATAGGAAGCTAAAGCAATGGAAAATATAGATACCTAAATGTGAAAAAAGAAAGAAAAAGATGAGGCATGAGCAGAAGAGTCATGATTCAATCACTAACACATGATATCACTTAATTTATTTGAATTCAGTTTTCTCCCCAGAATGGATGCTATTATCAACTGACTGAATTGGTGTGCACATAGAAACTATCATTTCTCATTCTGGCTTTTTCTCTACAACTCAGAATAATTTTATTCCCAACTTTAGAATCCATCCTTTTATTCTCTTTCTTTCTGTGATTGTTTTCTTTTTCTTTCTTAATTTCTCTCTTATTTTCTTTTTGGTATGTTACCTTCACTAGCAAATTGGAAGCTACATTTATTGGAATAGTGTTTCAGCCACAGATACTTACAATATTTTAAAGATACACTATTTACAGCTTTTAAAAATAAAATTATCCATTTCTGGTAAGGTAAAGTCCTTTTACCTTGTCTAACCCAAAAATAACTCTTTAAGAACGCATTTTATTATAAAGTGATTGTTTATATACACCTCAAAATGAGATAGATTAAAATCTATAGTCCATTAAGAAATATAAAACATATCAATTTATTTAATTATTATTTTGCAAAAAAATTATCATCACTACTCCATTACTGCTCCCCAAGGTTGTCGCAATCATAAATTATATACAAGCAAGAAATTTTGATTTCATCTTAGACGCTGATCAGTTAATATACATTTAATGGCTGACACACGATGGTTTCTAATAAAATAATCTAAATGCCTGAGAGTCTAATCAATGCTTAGATACAGTCATAGAGAAAAAACACGTGACATCTTAAGATCTCACAGTATGAGGAAAAGAGTTATATAATCGTGAAGCAAAAATTGTTTTCAAATTTGAAGTTTAAAAACTTTTTAATAAAATGACCAAAGTAGATTAAAAATAATGTTTAGATTGTCTAGTTATAGGTTATTTATTTTCTGTTAATTTGCATCTAATTTCAGAAAGCTCTTTTATGAATCTAATAAAACCAATATATTATTGTTAAAATTTCGAGGTTTAGGTACTAAAAATATAGAAGTAATACAGTATGTGTTTTAGGCATGCGAAATGACTTTCACTTACATTTTATACTCTTCTATACAGAACATTTATAAGAGTTAAGATAACTTATTAAGATTTAATTTTATTGTGTTTAAAGTCTATGTTAGGTTTGTCTTTGAGGCAGTCCAAACTCTGTAAAACTGACTGTGATAATGATTGCACACATCTGGTAATCTGCTAAAACCAAATGAACTGTAAACACTACATGACCAAACCGTATAGTATGTGAATTATATCTCAATAAAGCTGTTTTTTTAAAAAGGTGGATTAGGCTCTTTGAGGTAATCGATGTGTTGGCTTAATATCAAAGAAAGTGTTCCTGATTCTTTTTTGAGGGAAGGGAATGAAAACCAATTTTTAAACAAACATGTGAACCCCCATTGCTTAAAACAGTAGCACAATATAGCAAGTCTTACCAGACTGCCTGCATTCTCCGTGCATTTCCTGTCTCTCCTGAAACTATGTAACTTCTAGACTCTGACAAAATGTTTTCTAAAATGTAAGCAAAGACTAGCCTTAATAATCAGTAAGGCCTATTCCTACTCTTAACATTCTACAGCTCTAACTAAAAAGGAAACAAACAATAGGATATTCCAGGCTTTGCTGTTCCCTATGTGAGGACTTCCCTTATTGTCTTTCAATTCCCAGAATGAGGTTTATCACAGAGAAACTGATGATCCTAATAACCAATAAAGGTTTGTAACACTAGAAAAAGACATAATCTCGCAGATAAAGCAGTTCACAGAAAAATGTTTTCCATATCTAATACAGTGATAAGATAAAACCAGTGTTTCCACAATGGCCAAATAGGAACAGCTCCAGTCGGCAGCTCCCAGCGAGACCAACACAGAAAGAGGGTGATTTCTGCATTTCCAACTGAGGTACCCAGTTTATCTCACTGGGACTGGTAAGACAGTGGGTGCAGCCCACAGAGGGCAAACAGAAGCAGGGTGGGGGCACCACCCCACTCAGGAAGTGCAAAGAGCCCAGGGACCTCCCTCCCTCAGCCAAGGGAAGCTATGAGGGACTGTGCTATCTGGCCCAGATATTATAATTTTACCAGTTTTTGCAATCCGCAGATGAGGAGATTCCCTCGTGTGCTTATACCACAAGGGTCCTGGGTTTCAAGCACAAAACTGAGCGGCTGTTTGGGCAGACACGGAGCTAGTTGCAGGAGTTTTCTTTGCACCCCACTGGTGCCCAAAACCCAAGAGAAACAGAACCATTCACTCCACTGGAAAAGGAGCTGAAGCCAGGCAGCCAAGTGGTCTCACTCAGCAATGCCCAGCAAACTAAGATCTACTGGCTTGAAATTCTCACTGCCAGCACAGCAGTCTTAAGTCAACCTGGGAATGACTAAGCTTGGTACAGGGAGAGGCATCTGCTTTCCTGGGGCTTCAGCAGGCAGTTTTCCCTTTGGCAGTGCTAAGGAGGCCAGGCGGTTTGGATTGGGTGGAATTCATCACAGCGCAGCCAAGAGGCTGGGGCCAGACTGCCTCTCAAGATTCCTCCTCACTGGGTAGGGCATCTCTGAAAGAGAGGCAGCTGCCCCACTCAGGGGCTTTCAGATAAAACTCTCATCTCCCTGGGACAGAACACCTGGGGGAAGGGGTGGCTGTGGGCACAGCTTCAACGGGCTTAAACTTTTGTGTCTGACAGCTCTGAAGAGAGCAGTTGATCCTGATAAAAAGGATTCTCTCAGCACAAGGCTTAAGCACTGCTATAGGACAAACTGCCTCCTCAGGTGAGGCCCTGACACCTATGCCTCCTGACTGGGAGAGACCTCACACAGGACTGATCCAGCTGGGATCAAGCCAGTGCCCCTCTGGGACAAAGGCAGCAATCTTTGCTGTTCTGCAGCCTGCACCTGATACCCAGGCAAAAAGGGTCTGGAGTGAATCTCCAGAACACTGCAGAAGATGGGCCTGTTAGAAGAAAAAACAACGTCATCAATAAAAAGGACCTTCACACAAAAGCCCCACCCAAAGGTCATCAGCCTCAAAGATCAAAGGCAGATAAATCCACGAAGATGAGGAAAAACCAGTGCAAAAAATGCTGAAAATTCTAAAAACCAGCATGCCTGTTCTATCCAAAGGATCACAACTCTTCTCCAGCAAGGGCACAGAACTGGACAGAAAATGAGACTGACAATTTGACAGAAGTAGGTTTTAGAAGGTGGTTAATAACAAACTCATCTGAGCTAAAGGAGTTAAAGAACCTTGATAAAAGATTACAGGAAATGCTAACTAGAATAACCAGTTTTTAGAGAGGAACATAAATGACCTGATGGAGCTGAAAAACACAGCATGAGAACTTTGTGAAACATACAGAAGAATCAACAGCTGAACTGATCAATTGAAAGAAAGATATCAGAGATTGAAGATCAACTTACTGAAATAGGAGTGAAGACATTATTAGATAAAAAAGAATAAAAAGGAATGAACAAAGCCTCAAAAAAAACAGGACTATGTGAAAAGACCAAACCTATGATTGACTGATGTACCTGGAATTGATGGAAAGAATGGAACCAAGTTGGAAAAAGCACTTCAGGATAATTTTGAAGAAATGGATAAATTCCTGGAGACATACAGTCTCTCAAGACTAAACCAGCAGAATTCCAATCTCTGAATGGAACAATAACAAATTCTGAAATTGAGGCTGTGATAAATAGCCTACCAATCAAAAAAGGCCAAGGGCCAGGATTCACAGCCAAATTCTACCAGACGTACAAAAAGGAGCTGGTACTATTCCTTCTGAAACTATTTCACACAATAAAAAAATAGGGACTCCTCCCTAACTCACTTTATGAGGCCAGCATCATCCTGATACCAAAACCTGGCAGAGATACAAGAAAAAAACAAAACAAATCCGGCCAATATCCCTGATGAACATTGATGAAGAAATCTTCAATACAGGCAAACCAAATCCAGCAGCACATCAAAAAGCTTATCCACCACAATCAAGTTGGCTTCATTCCTGGGATGAAAGCCTGGTTCAACATAACACAAATCAATAAACGTAATCCATCACATAAACAGAATCTATGATAAAACCCACATGATTATTTCAAGATATGCAAAAAAGGCTTTAATAAAATTCAACATCCCTTCATCCTAAAAATTCTCAATAAACTAGGTATTGATGGAACATGTCTCAATAAGAGCTATTTATGGCAAACCCATAGCCAATATCATATGGAATGTGCAAAAGCTAGAAGCACTCCCTTTGAAAACCACTACAAGACAAGGATGCCCTCTCTCACCATACCTATTCAACATAGTATTCAAAGTTGTGGCCAGGGGAATCAGGCAAGAGAAGGAAATAAAGGGTATTCATATAGGAAGAGAGGAAGTCAAATTGTCTCTGTTTGCAGATGACATGATTGTATATTTAGAAAACCCCATCATCTCAGCCCCAAAACTGCTTATAAGCTGATATGCAACTTCAGCAAAGTCTCAGGATACAAAATCAATGTGCAAAAATCACAAGCATTCCTATACACCAGTCATAGACAAAAAGAGCCAAACCATGCATGAACTCGCATTCACAATTGCTACAGAGAATTAAATACCTATGAATACAACTTATGAGCACCACTTCAAGGAGAACTACAAACCAGTGGTCCAGGAAACAAGAGAGGACACAAACAAATGGAAAAACAGTCCATGCTCATGGATAGGAAGAACCAATATAGTGAAAATGACGTGCCCAAAGTAATTTATAGATTCAATGCTGTACCCATAAAGCTACCATTGACTTTCTTCACCAAATTAGATAAAACCACTTTAAATTTCATATGGAATTAAAAAAAGAGCTCATATAACTAAGACAATCCTAAGCAAAAAGAACAAACCTGGGGGCATCGCACTACCTGACTTCAAACTATACTACCAGGCTACAGTAATGAAAGCACAGTACCGGTACCAAAACAGATATATAGACCAATGAAACAAAACAGAGGCCTCAGAAAAAACACCACGCATCTACAACCATCTGATCTTTGACACCCTGTCAAAAACAAGCAATGGGGAAGGTATTCCCTATTTAATAAATGGTGTTGGAAAAACTGGCTAGCCATATGGAGCAAACAGAAACTGTACCCCTTCCTTACACCTTATACAAAAATTAACTCAAGATGGATTAAAACTTAAATGTAAAACCTAAAACCATAAAAACCCTAGAAGAAAAACTAGGCAATACCTTTCAGGACACAGGCATGGGCAAAGACTTCATGACTAAAACATCAAAAGCAAATGCAACAAAAGCCAAAATTGACAAATGGGATCTAATTAAACTAAACAGCTTTTGCATAGCTGTTGGGGAAAGGCTTATGGAGTGCCTGTATAAACTGGCCATAAAAATATGGGACAATAAGTTGTGGAAAGCCATAAAAGGGCTCTGAGGAGGAAAGCTTTCTTATCACCATTATGTTCCCATGCTCTAAGCAAGACCTGCTCTCTTACCTAGAAACAGTGTGTTAAAGGAGAAAGACACTCCTTTGAAGCACTGGAATGTGGCTGGACATGCAGCCTCCTAGTTCAGCCTGCTCCCACCAGCCGCTCTTCAGTAAGTTAAAGATATGCTGATTGAGCACAAAAGAGATTCACTTAAACTGCCACTGCTATAAGATTATGTGTATGACGCACTGCCTCCCTTTCACCGTTTCGCCCTGAACGTCTGCTTCTTAGATCTAAGTGATTGTACTCAACAGTGTGGAGACCAGAGCTCTAAGCCTTTGCAGCCTCCACATTTTGCACTGGCCCCCTGGCTCCCACCTTTATGAACTCTTGTCTCTTCTCATTTCTTTGTCACCATTGAACTTCAGGTACCCACGGGTGGTGATGAGGCTGGACCCCAACACGCAGCAAAAGAAACTATCATCGGACCGAACAGGCAACCTACAGAATGAGAGAAAATTTCTGCCATCTTTCCATCTGACCAAGGTCTAACATCCAGAGACTACAAGGAACGTAAACTCATTTACAAGAAAGAACAGCCTCATCAAAATGTGGACAAAAGGTATGAACACTTCTCACAACGAACTTAAAACAAATTTGTAAGAAAAAACCAAAAAGCTCCATCAAAATTGGGCAAAGGGTATGAACAGAAACTTCTCTAAAGAAGATATTCATGCTGCCAACAAACATGAAAAGCAGCTCATCATCACTGGTCATTAGAGAAACGCACATCAAAACCACAATGAGATACCATATCACAACAGTAGGAATGATGATCATTAAGAAGTCAGGAACAACAGATGCTGGCGAGGCTGTGGAGAAATAGTATGCTTTTACACTGTTAGTGGGAATGTAAACTAGTTCAACCATTGTGGAAGACAGTGTGGCGATTCCTCAAGGATCTAGAACCAGAAATACCATTTGACCAAGCCATTCTATTACTAGGTATATACCCAAAGGATTATAAGTCATTCTACTATAAAGACACATGCACATATTATTGCAGGGCTATTTACAATAGCAAAGACTTGGAAGCAACTCAAATGCCCATCAGTGATAGACTGGATAAAGAAAATGTGGCACATATACACCATGGAATACTATGCAGCCATAAAAAGCATGAGTTCATGTCCTTTGTGGAGACACGGATGAAGCCTGAAGCCATCATTCTCAGCAAACTAACACAGGAACAGAAAACAAACACCGCATTGTTTACACTCCTAAGTGGGAGTTGAACAATGAGAACACATGCATATAGGGAGGGTAACATTACACACCAGGGCCTGTCAAAGGCTGGGGGCAAGGGGAGGCAGAGCATTAGGACAAATACCTAATGCATGCAGGACTTAAAACCTAGATTACAGGTTGATATGTGAGGCAAACCACCATGGCACATGTGTACCTATGTAACAAACCTGCACATTCTGCACATGTATACTAGAACTTAAAGAAAAAAAAAACAACCCACAACTTTCAACATAATAAATTTCCTTATGACAAATTTAAACATATAAAACAACAAAAAAAATTGTTGTTTTATATGAGTGACTCTATAAATCTTTTGAGCATGTTACATTTCTTAACATATCACATCACATTTTATTTGTCTCATCTGGCCAGTAGTTGACCATTTTCATTTTGTGAAGAATTTTCCCACACTAACCTGCATGCTTTCAGAACTTCTGTTGAACTGGGGCATATAGACACTGACATTGATGGTAAGATCTGAGAAGTAGATCTGTGGCTAGCTAAAGGCAGGTCTACTTTTGTAGAGCTCTGTGACTTCCCCAGCCCCTCTCCATTGACTGTGTGTAATCCACTGTGAGGACTGTTAAGGCTGGTAACACTGTTTATGCTTCTCTGCTCAGTGGATTTAGGAGAAGGTGTTGCTGTGGAAATGGCTGAAGAGGGTGAAGAGGCAACAGAATGATCAGTCTTTGTATGAACAGCTGGGTGAATATTATTCACTTTGTCACAGGTTCCAGTACCCACATTGCCATTGGCTTTTCCAATCAACAAAGCAGAGAGCTGAGGATTGTCTGCAATTAATAAATTTGGTGAATCTCCATGGTTAGGACTGGAAACAGCATCTGCTATCAACTGATGAACATGATTAGAAAGTCCCTTGACATCAGCACAGCCATTAGATGTGTCTCCAGTATGCCTGCTTGTTTCAGGCACCAAGGATCTATTTTTTGAAGGCTTGCTCTCTTTGGTAAACATAATGCCTTGTTGTCCACCTGAGGTAGCAGTATGACAGGAGAGGTGACTGTCAGCATCCCCCTGTGGTACTGAATTACTAGGCAGAGTGAGATGTTCATTCGCCTTCTTAATACCAGTGCTAGTTGCCTGGTGATACTGGGCTGACCCAGTGGAAAACAGAGGTTGTTCTTCATTAGGTCCTGACAAACATGAACTCTGACTTTTATGAAGCCCCTAAAAAAAAAAAATTGAAATTTAATATCATGGGAGCTGAAATGCATATACAGAAAACTCTTGAGGATTAAAATGTTAAACACAAAGCCACCATAAATAAACTAAATTTTGTGTAACATAATTGAAGCCAAATCTCAAAATCATTTAAAAGTTCCCGTAATCAACAGATTAAAGTGGTTAGTATTTTTAGAGAAAATGATCTAACCTGCCAGCTTAATTTCATTTACTAATATGTGAACAATTTTCTTCACATTAGGCTTTTTAAAGTTTAAATTGTTTAATTCTGACATACATTTTTAGCTGAATAAAAGTGTATCTCAAAATTTAGATGTGGAAAAACATGTATGGTTATTATACTTAATACATGAAGTATATTTATTACAGGGAATATCATTCACAATAAGCCACAGACTATGCAAAAAAAGTCTCAATAAAACTAAAAGAACTGAAATCATAGAAAGTATGTTTTCTGAAAAAGAATTACATCAAATATCAAAAAGATAAAGTCCTATAAATACCCAAATGTGTGAAAACTAAACAGAAATCTAAATTTCCTATGGGCCAAGTTAAGAAATGACAAAATAAATTAGAGAATTCTTTGAACTTGATAAAAATAAAAGCATACCATATCAAAATTTAGTTTAATGCAATACATAGAAGGTTTTATAGCTTCAAGCACTTAGGTTATCAAAGAATAAAGGTCTAAGATCAAAAAGATAAAATACCAATTTAAGATGTTGTGAAGAGAGTATCAAACCAAAAATAAATACAAGGGAATAAATAACACAGGTAAGAAGGAAAAAAAATTACTGAAATAGAAAACACAAAACCAATGGAAAAAATTTGTTAAAAAACATATACAACTGGTCTTTGAAAGGATGGACATCACTTAAAAAAATCCTTCAGCTAAATATATCATAACAGTATATATAAACTTGGCAAAGTAGAAAGAAAAGAGATTATACCACCAGAGATCCTACAAACAACATTTTAGGAAGAAATTATACTAATCTTAACAAAAATCTTTTCAGGATATACAGCAGGACAGACCTTCACTAAGTCATTTCAGAAAGCCAGTTATACTCTAACACCAGTGAAAGCCAGTAAAATATATCACTGAAAAAAACATCTCCCTTGAATATAGACAACAGGATCCTTAAGAACACATTAGCATGTCAAACCCAGCAATATATAATAATTATGCACCAAGACAAACGAGGATTTATCTCAGAAAGCCAGTAGGTTTGCATGTGAAAATCAAGCAATGTAATACCATGCTATTAGAATAGAGACAAATAACAAAAAGGTGGAGTTACATTTACCTATTTTTAAAACTTACTATAAAATTATAGTGACCAAGGCTGTGTAGAATTGGTGTAAGAAAAACTATATACAGGAGTAGGACAAAAGAGTCTATAAATACATCCACACATAGATTATGAACTAATTGTTGACACAGTTGCCAAGATGGGAAGAATAAGACTTTTATACAAATGATGCTGGAATAATCAAATATCCTTACGCAAAATGGATATTCTCACACAATGTACAAAAATTAACTCAAAATGACTTAATTAAATGTATGAGACAGAGCCATAAAAATTCTATTATAAAATATAATATACCAAATAGATTATAAAGGGTAATCTCTATAAAGTCAGTTAATTATGTTAATCCTTTTTTTTTTTTTTTTTTTTTGAGATACAGTGTTGCTTTGCTGCTCAGGCTGGAGTGCAGCGGTGTGATCTTGGCTCACTGCAACCTCCACCTGCCAGGTACAAGTGACCCTTGTGCCTCAGCCTCCCAAGTAGCTGGGACTACAGGCACGTGCCAACTGGCCTGGCTAATTATTTTCTTCTTTTTTTTTTTTTTTAGTAGAAACGGGGTTTCATGGCTGGGCGTGGTGGCTCATGCCTGTAATCTCAGCCACTTTGGGTGGCTGAGGCAGGCAGATCACCTGAGGTCAGGAGTTTGAGACCAGCCTGGCTAACATGGCGAAAACCTGTCTCTAATAAAAATACAAAAATTAGCTGGGCAAGGTGGTGTGTGCCTGTAGTCCCAGCTACTTGGGAGTCTGAGGCTGGAGAACTGCTTGAACCCAGGAGACAGAGGTTGCAGTGAGACAAGATCACGCCACTCCAATCCACTCCAGCCTGGGTGACGGAGCAAGACTCTGTTTCAAAAATGGAAAAAAAAAAAAAAGAACGGGGTTTCATCATGTTGGCCAGGCTTGTCTCAAACTCCTAACCTCAAGTAATCCACCTGCCTTGGCCTCCCAAAGTGCTGTGATTAAAGACATGAGCCACTGCGCCTGGCCACAAATGTTAATCCTATCTACAGAGCACCTTCACAGAACATTGAGTGAAGAAGGAATCAACTATAACCTAATAGTAGTAGTAATGGAAACTTTAAAATCCTCTTGAAGTTGCTGCAAAGTGTGACCCCCACCTCACGCTCAAGTTAAAAGAGAACATTTAAAGCCTGTCTTCTCTTTGTGATCAGTGGACCTTATCTATACTCCCCAACTCCACATTCCTCAAAGTTTATTACAGGCCCAGCAAGTTCCTGCTTACTTCCCTAGCACGGCTGCAGGGTCTTGTGGCTGCAGGGTCACAAGACCAGTAAGTTTAGGCTGCAAGATATGTTTTTCTCAAGATGTAAGAAATGTTGTAATGCTTGATTAACAGCGTTAGCTTCTCACTTCTGTAACTTGCTTCCCGCATCACACAGTTCCTGCCTTTAGATGTTTAAAGGTAGGAAAAACCCTTTGTTTGGGGCTCAGGCTTTTTGGACATATGTCTGGCTGAGCCAGTGATAACCTTAATAGACTGTCTCGAACCTTTTTTGGTCTCTCCAGTCTTTGATTGTCCTGAAACAGTTCTGGGGGCTTTGTCTGGGATTGGAGATGGCAGATTTTCTATCTCCTTTGCCAGTGGGCTAGAGCCCTGGGGTCCTTAGCACCACCAGGAGAGTTTCAGCCCAGAAGGAGAATGGCCCTCCCATATTCCAGAGACTTCCCCTGACAGCACAAATGGAACAGGTAGAAAGTGTTGCAGGACAGTCACGGAAGCAGTGCACAGACATCTAAACCGTGCTAAGGATTGGGCCATAAGGCAAGACCTGTCCCATAAGGATGGAAAGGCAGCCGGATTACCTCCCAGGGCGTGATGACTAGTCTGACCCAAGGGGGCTGGGAACATCAGGAGAGGCTCCACTGACCCAGATGAAACTCACGCCCTAACTGATACCAGATGTGGGTGGAGCTCACAAGTTGGTCAGAAAGGAAAACTGTTTCAGGAATGCGGGAGGTGTGTGAAAGTGTGTGAAAGAGACGGTCTCGGGAGAGACCAACACAGGGCGTGATGTGGTGAAGCACAGATCTGTTAGCAGGGACTGTGTGCTCTGAGGCAAGTGTGAGAAAAACCAGACCTAGGACACTGCATATGGCCCATAGGACCAGTTCCACGGCTGCAGTGAGCTGTGACAGGAATTAAGGTACGCTCCTGGCTAAGCAGTGTCCAAACCTCCCATAATAGGATCTGGACTGGTGGATGCAAAAGTGAAAGCGTGCTGTGAGTGGGGAAGTGGGAGGAAAAATGTCAAAGCCTACTCCACTGGAGTGCATGCTGAAAAACTTTAAAAAAGGTTTTAATGGTGATTATAGGGTTAAACTAACTCCACAGAAACAGAGAACCCTTTGTGAGATAGATTGGCCGTCTTTTAATGTAGGGTGGCCAGCCAAAGGGACAACAGACAGGGAAATAATTGGCTGAGTGTTCTGGGTAGTCATGGGGCTGGAGAACAGCCTGGGTACCCGGATCAGTTTTCGTATATCAACTCCTGGCTAAGTGTAATTCAAAGTCACACTAAGTGGCTGCAGGCCTGCTTTGGGACCTATTGTAAGACTCTAATGGCCCGGACAAAACCAGGAACCACAGGAAGAGACCGCAAGGCATCAGAAAAAGAAAAGGAGTCACAGGAAAAGCAGAAAAAACCTGTCCTACAGGCCCCAAATGAAAAGTTAGAAAGTCCACCCCCCCATGCACCAATTTATCCATCCCTGGCAAAGAGGGCTTAGACAGGAAGGATGCTGCCCTGGCCGCCTCCGGAGATTCAGACTCAGAAGAAAGCACTCCTCAGACAACACCACACAGAGAGGAACCACAGTCCTTGCCTGAAAAGCCAAGGGAGAAACTCCAGGGGGATGAGGTAGGCCACCTTAGGTCAGGTCATGCCCAAGCAATGCAGACACCCCTTCAAGAAACACGGGGACAAATTTATTTAACTGCACAGAATGAAGTCCAAGGGGGCGAACAGCTCTTCGTTTATCAGCCCTTCTCTACTACTGATCTCTTAAATTGGAGACAACCTACTCCTTCCTATACAAAGAAGCCTCAGGCTCTTATAGATCTAATGCAGTCTATTTTCCTAACTTACAATCCTACCTGGGATGATTGCAAACTTCTTCTGTCATTATTTAATACAGAAGAGCGCCGTAGTTATACAAGCCGCTCTCCAGTGGCTGGAGAACAATGCGACCGCAGGCACAGGAGATATCAGGCTGTATGCATAAGCACTCCCGATAGAGGCTGACCCAGACTGAGACCCTAACCAGGCTCAAGGGCTACAAAGTTTGCAACGGTATTGAAAGACACTCCTAAATGGAATAAAGGCTGAAGGGGAAAAGGCCACCAATATCAAAAAGGTCTCAGAGGTCCTCCAGAGCCAGATGAAAGTCCCAGTGAATTTTATGAGAGGCTCTGCAAGGCTCAGCAACTTTACACGCCATTTGACCCAGAGGCTTCAGGTAATCAGTGTATGGTTAATGCAGCATTTTTAAGTCAGGCACGAGGAGACGTAAAGCAAAAGCTTCAGAAGTTAGGTTTTGAAGGCATGAATATTATCCAGCTTATCCAAGTGGCTACTAAGGTGTTTCTAAATCAGGATGAGGAGGCCAAGAGAAAAGCTAGATGCAGAGCTAAGGAAAAGGTAGACTTGATGGCGGTGGTCTTAGTTGGAGGAGAAACTAATTTTGTGAGAGGACATGGCTGTGGTGGAGGACAAGCAAGGCAAAACCAGGAAGCTAAGCCAGGACAAGAGGGCTGACCTACGCTTGAGAGAGATCAATGTGCGAGAGGCAAGCAGATGGTACACTGGAGAATGAATACCCAGAAAGAGAAAAGTATAAAGGCAACAATCAGGGACAAAATGGCTGGCCAGAACCCCCTGCTGACGGTCAAGGGGTTCACAAGTCAGACACGGATTTAATTAGACTGGCAGGAATCAATGATTATTATGAGAACTGAGACAGACCACGCTCCATTTCATTAGGCCCTGAGGAACCTACGGTCTCAATGGAGGTAGGGGGCAGGAAAATGCACTTTGTAGTCGATACTGGTGTGGAGCATTCGGTAGGAACTCAAGCAGTTGGACCACTGTCTAAAAATTATGTCAATATAAATGGGGCTGCAGGAGTAACAGAAAAGAGGCCTTACTTCAAATCTAAAAGATGTGTGACTGGAGGACAGGAAGTCCAAAATGAATTTTTATATTTGCCAAATAGTCTGGTGCCCTTGTTAGGAAGAGACTTGCTCCAGAAATTGCAAGCACAAATCTCCTTTACCCGAGAAGGGGACATGACTTTAAACCTAGGTCAAAGAAAAGCCATGATAATGACCCTTACCATCCCCACAACAGAGGAATGGAGACTACGAGAGATGCAAAATTTGTAAAGATGCATTTTGCAAGTGGGAAAATGAGGCAATGTATAAGGAATTATTTATCAGGCTGCCAGGGGTGTGGGCAGAAGACAATCCCCAGAGCTAGCCATAAATCAGGACCCCACAGTGGTGGAACTGCTGCGGGACACCAGTGCGAATCGGTCAGCATCCCATCCTAGCAAAGCCACCCATGGGATTACAAAGGATACAGTTCAGCTCCTTAAATCTGGATAATAGAAAGATGTGCCTCTTCTTGAAACACTCCATTACTACTGGTGTTAAAGCCCTCTGGAGATTACCAGACGGTACGGGATTTGCAGGCCATATATAAACTTGCAGCTACATCACATGCCATTGTGCCCAACCCATACACACTGCTTGGGCGAATTCCTGCTGACACTGCTTGGTTTATGTGCTCAGATATAAAGGATGAATTCTTCTGCATCTGACTAGCTCCTGAAAGCCAGGGCATCTTTGCCTTTGAGTGGGGCTCATCACAGTATACTTGGACCAAACTCCCCCAAGGATTTAAAAACTCCCCAACCATTTTTGAGGACACACTTGTCTCAGACCTGAAGGCTTTCATGCCACGAAGTGGCCGCTGTGTCCTGTTGCAGTACATAGATGATTTATGCACCTACAAAAGAGTGCTTTCAAGGTACAGAAAAGCCTCCTTGATGTTCTGTGGGAGGCTGGCTATAAGGTCTCTAAGGAAAAGGCACAAATCTGTGGCCAAAGAGCAAGGTATCTTGGCTTTAACCTCTCTCAAGGGCAGCTTGAGTGTGGACGTGGGCGAAAAGAGACTGTTTGTAGCATTCCTTGACCTGACGCTAGACAAGTGTGGAAGTTTAAACGGGCAGCTGGTTTCTGTCGCATTTGGATTCCATGTTACTTGCTCTTAGCAAAACCACTGTATGAGGCTACCAAAGTGGCGGAAAACAACCCCTCCTGTGGGGAAAAGAGCAGGACATGGCCTTCAAGGAAATCAAGAAGGCTTTGATCCACGCCCTGGCATTAGGACTGCCAGACATGACAAAGCCTTTTTACGTGTATATCTATGAAAGAAAAGGAATATCTATAAGAGTCTTGGTACAAACACTAGGGTCATGGTATTGGCCCGTGGCATGTTTGTCCCAGCGACTAGACTTGGTGGCTATGGGATGGCCTCCCTGTTTCAAGGCAGTGGCAGCCACTGCCCTGTTAGCAGAAGATGCTAACAAGCTCACATTTGGACAGAGGTTGATAATTCAGGTGCCCCATACGATCGTCACCCTGATGGGGCAGAGGGGGCATGGCTGGCTTTCTAACCCTAGGATGTTAAGATATCAAGAACTTTTGTGTGGAAACCCCTACATAATCCTGGTGACTCTGAATACTCTAGATCCACGCACACTGCTGCCAAAAGAGTGGGCAGAGCACAGAAAGCCCCCGTTGTGTTGCCCAGGTTATCACTGTTGTGTGGAAATGGTAGATGAGGTTTTCTCAAGCCAAAAAGACTTAAAGGACCAGCACTTAAAAAATCCAGATGTGGAATACTTTACTGATATGATACTTCAGATATGAAGCAGCTTCAGATATGAAGCAGATATGATACTTCAGATATGAAGTAGCTTCATATCTGAAGGTGTCAGAAGGGCTAGATATACGGTGAGGCATTGAATCTAGTGGCTGAAGCCTGCCCTCTGCTGGTCGGAACTTCAGCCCAAAGAGTTGAGCTAACAGCCCTCACTAGAGCATCGCTCGTGGCCAAAGGAAAGTCAGTAAACATCTATACTGACCCAAGGTGTGCTTTTGCCATTTTGCATTCCCATGGAGCCATATGTAAGGAAAGAGGATTATTAACTACTGAAGGAAAGGAAGTCAAAAATAAAAGGGAAATAGAGTTGCTCTTAGAAGCTGCTCTGAAAGAGCTCCAAAAGAAGTAGCAGTCATCCATTGCAAAGGGCATCAAATGGCAGGAGGTGATGAGGCTAGAGGAAACAGGAAGGCAGACAGAGAAGCCAAAAGAGTTGCAATGATGGAGGTAACTAAGAAGGAAGGGCAAACCCTTACCATGCCCTTACTAGAGCTTCCCCTTACAGAACCCGCTAACTACTCCTCTAATGAAAAGACCTGGTTTGAGCAGGAGAGTGGAAGTTAACAGAAAGGTTGGTGAAAGTTCTCAGATGGGAGGCTTGTCATCCCAGAAGCAATAGCCACCCAGTTCATAAAGCAGTTTCATCAAGGAACACATATGGGAAAAACCGCATTAGAGACTCTTGTTGGATGGCATTTCTATGTTCTGCGCCTAACTGCCATCACTTGAGCCATTTGTGAGCAATGTTGAACTTGTACCCAAAATAATCCATGGCAGGGGCCAACATGGCCCCCAGGGATTCAAGAAACTGGACTACACCCTGTGAAAACCTGCCTGTGGACTTTATCGAGCTGCCTCAAGTTGGAGGCTGCCGGTACATGCTAGTGTTTGTCTGCACTTTCTCAAGGTGGGTCAAGGCATTTCCCACCAGGACAGAGAAAGCTCGGGAAGTAACCAGGATCTTACTAAAGGGGATTATTCCTAGATTTGGACTGCCTCTAACTTTAGAATCAGACAATGGCCCAGCATTTGTAGCAGATAGTACAACAACTAACAGATGTTAAAAATCAAATGGAATCTGCATACAACTTATTGCCCACCGAGTTCTGTAAAAGTTGAAAGAATGAAGGAGACACTCAAACAGCTGTTAAAGGTTTTGCCAGGAAACTTATCTAAGGTGAAATCAGGAGCTGCCCATGGTCCTTCTGTGAGTCAGAGGCACCCTACTAAATTAACTGGGTATTCACCCTATGAGATGGTGTTTGGCTCACCACCCACAATCATAACTCAGATAAAAGGGGATTTAAAAGAAATTGGGGAATTAACCTTAAGAAGGCAAATGCAAGCCTTAGGTGAGGCCATGCAGGAAATACAAAGGTGGGTAAGAGAAAGAATACCTGTTAGTCTCATAGATGCAGTACATCCCTTCCAACCTGGAAACTCTGTCTGGGTCAAACAATGGAACCCAACCACGTTAGGGCCTTTATGGGATGGTCCCCATATTGTGATCTTGTCTACCCCCACTGCTGTTGTTGCAGGTATCACACCTTGGGTTCATCACAGCCAGCTGAAACCAGCAGCGACCACAACTCAGGACCCGCGGCCAGTCAACAAAACCCAGACTACCCAAAACAGTTGATCCTGCGGCAAAACTATGCCACTGCTGACAAGGATAACTGCCCTGCTCTGACCATACCGGAGGCTGGTCAGTCCAAGCACAGCTGAACCTTAGGGAAACACTGAGCCCTGCTCTAGTCAGACAACTGGAAGCTGACTAGTCTATGCATGGCTGAAGCCTGAGGAAGTCAATAATAGATAAGTAAATGTGGACTGAATTTACAAGCATAATTAAATTCTTGTACTGATTATTTTACTGTCATGTTATCTTTGCAAATGCTGCCAAGCTTTTTGCCCAGAAGGGTGCCCATGCACAGTATAAGTTTAATCATATTGGTAATACTGAAGTCACTGACACTTTCACCTATGGTTATAAAAGGGGACCAAGATGACTGTCATCACTGTATGATAGAAGCCTGGTCCAGAAAAGGTATGACTAAAACTATGTTATACCAGACCTACTATGAGTGGACAGGGACTCATACAGGAACTTGTGTCTATAACCAGACTAGTTGGTCTGTGATCGTGGAAACAGGCAGCCCCAAGTATGTAATGACCCAGAGTTCGTGCCCTATGACTTTTGGTTTGAAGTCCAAACTGGCAAACCCCTAATGCCATCATATATAAACCCCACAGAAATCAGGGTCAGTAAACCTGTAAACAAAAAAGAAGTATTCCCTCACTCGCATAAAGGCCCTGTCTCCATACATTTTGATGCCTGCCAAGCTTCACATCTCAGTAAACTAAATACTATTGGGACCATCCGTAAAAATCTAGGACAAGAAAGAGTCAGCAGCAGAGCTACCAAGGCTGTAACAGGAAAATCCAAAAAGGAGTGCCCTGATTGTGATAATCAGTGGACCACACATGAATTTATCAGCACCTATACACAGGAAGGGTTGCTCTATTTGCCAGCCAAGAGGTGAAGATAGGGTGCACAACTGGAACTTGCAACCCACTCAATCTGACAATACTAAAGCCAAATATGCCTTTCTGGACTAAAGGGCCTAAAGGGCTACTAATCTTTGATCAGGAAAGAGCACTCCTAGGACTTCGTATTCCTCTGGTCATTACCAGGAAAACCCAAAGGACCCAAGTTCAAGTTAGCCCAATGCAACACTTTAGGTTTTATACATCTTTCAATGAACACTTTAATCCTGAAGTATCAAAAAATCAAATTCCTCCTATATCAGCTGAAAACCTGTTTGCCCAGCTAGCCGAAAGTACTGCTAACAATTTAAGAGTTACTGTATGTTATATATGTGGAGGTACCAATATGGGAGCCTAAGAATTGATGCCACAAGAAAATTTTACCTTACCTGAATTTGTTACAAATTCAATGCAAATCCAAGTGTTTGGCTGTTAAGGAACCCCATCACTGGAAAATACTGCATCACCCATTGGGACAAGGCCTTTCAGAACCAGGGAGGGGCAACGACTTGCCTAGGTCAACAATATCTTGCAAAATCCGAAAACAGAACACAATGGGAAGCTTTATAGACAATTCCTCTGTGTCAGACTTTAATCCCTTTTGCAGTTCCCAACACTATATCAATCATGTTACCACCGTAATAAGTGGATGCCTACTTATTCCTTGTCTCCTGCCACTTCTCATCAGAAGCATCCAATCCACCACAGAAGCCAACGGTACACAGACATACCATCACCTGAATAATGGCTCTGCAAAAGTACCAACCGGTATCCCAAGATAAGTATGTACCCACTCAAGAAGAAATAGCTAATTGTGGTGCACTTTACTAATCTACATTTGTGTGGGACACCAAAGGGGGGAAATGAAGAAGGAATTAATGAAATCAACTATAACCTATTAGTAGTAGTAGTAGAAATTTTAAAATCCTCTTAAAAGTTGCTGCAAAATGTGACCTCCCACCCCTCAACTTACACTCAAGTTAAAAGAGAATATTAACAGCCTGTCTTCTCTTTGTGATCAGTGGACCTTATCTATACTCCCCAACTCCACATTCCTCAAAGTTTATTACAGGCTCAGCAAGTTCCTGCTTACCTCCCTAGCACAGCTTCAGGGTCACAAGACTGGTAAGTTTAGGATGCAAGACATGTTTTTCTCAAGACTTAAGAAATGTCGTAATGCTTAACTGCCTTTGTTTCTCACTTCTGTAACTTCCTTCCCACCTCACGTAGTTCTCGCTTTTTAGATGTTTAAAAGTAGGAGGGCCGGGTACGGTGGCTCATGTCTGTAATCCCAGCACTTTGGGAGGCTGAGGCAGGTGGATCACAAGGTCAGGAGATCGAGACCATCCTGGCTAAGATGGTGAAACCCTGACTCTACTAGAAATATAAAAAAATCAGCTGGGCATGGTGGCAGGCGCCTGTAGTCCCAGCTACTTGGGAGGCTGAGGCAGGAGAATGGCAAGAACCCGGGAGGCGGAGTTCGCAGTGAGCCAAGATCGTGCCACTGCCCCACAGCAGCCTGGATGACAGAGCAAGACTCTGTCTCAAAAAAAAAAGTAGGAAAAGCCCTTTGTTCGGGACTCAGATTTTCTAGACATATGTCCAGCTGAGCCGGTGATCACCTTAATAAACCCTCCTGAACCTTTTTCGGTCTCTCCAGTCTTTGATTGTCCCGCAACATTTCCTGCAATAAAATAACTGAGCTTCCTACCCTACCAATTCTGACACATAAAATTAACCATTTCAAAATAAATTTTTAAGGCAAGTTTTAAGTTTAATCTTCAAATACTTTCAGGAAGGACAGTCTCTGTTTTAGACTGAATGGTAGCTTTTTGTTCCTTGTAGCCATTTGTATTGAGTACCCGGTTTGGCCACATCTAACTTTTTCAGGCTCAAGGGATAAAACAGAATAGAAACAGCCTAATTCCCTATTTTACCCAGCTGATTAAATAAAAAGTAAAGGAAATAATTTAGAATATATAATATTAGATTATGTTTTGATACGGACCTTACAGAAAAATTTATGAGAGAAGAGGGTAGAGAATGCTGGAGACAATAGCAAAGAGTTACATTATGAACAGAAAGATAATAAAAAGCTGATATCCTTGAGATTGTGATATTTGATGAAACTCCTGGAGGAGGATCTGAGAGAATAATGAAGATACAGTCGCCCTTTGTATCTATGGGTTCCCACATGGGTGAATTTATCCAACCATTAATCAAAACTATAAGGAAAAAATATATAATAATACAACAATACAAATAATACTTATTTTTAAAAGAGCATAACTTATTTTGAGGAGCTAACTTTTGTATGATAATCAGGACACAGCTATAAGAGAAATCAAGAGGAAATCAAAAGGAAAAGCTGGTAGATTGTACAAACTGCCTGTATCACACAAATTTCTTATTTTCCTCACTCAATTCCTACTGATCAAAAACAAAAGAAAACTGAAATGTTAGTCCAGCATTGTTCAACCTTCATTTTAGAAGGTTTATTAACAGGATATATTCCCTAACTTTGAAAACACAATGTCCAGTGAAAGAATTAAGACACTAAAGGTCACATACTATAGTATTCCATGTGTATAAACTGTCTATAATATGTTAATCCATACACATAGAAAACAGATTGGTGGTAAGTTATCCAGGGTTAAGAGAAGGGAAGTGACTGGTTAACTTACTGCTGCCACCCACATTGAACACACAGGCAGACAGATTCACATCTTACCATAGTATCACAACTTACCAGAGCAAAAGGCAGTGAACAGAAACTGCTGCTGGAACCACTAAGAGAAAAACCTAAACTGTAACTGAAAAACTGATGGATGCTCAGTTTTTGAGAGTTAGAAGCTTCAGGGAGGCCAAGCCTTAGGGAATCTCCATATTTTTATAAGTTTTACCTCCAGAAGCCCTAATAGGATCTTACAGTAAAGACTAGAAAACACACCTCTACAACTTCTAACAGGAGAAGAGGCAAAGTAAACATTCTGAAATGTTTCCTGAGCATCCGTTCTTAAAAAGGCATGACTCAGGGAAATTACTGTATTATTTGGCCAGAGCCTAACACAGCTAGGGTTTTACTATAACCTAAACAACACGACAGACAGAAAATACTCAATGCCAAGCCTCTCTAGCCTTCCTGCTTGTTTAATGGGGAATAAAAAGCTGACCAGCACTTGTGAAGGAATCAGCCAAAAGGTAAAGTCTCATTAAAAGACAGGCAACTAATACAGAACACTTCCTTCCCACACACTTTATCACCTCATCACACTTTATCACATCAACAGAACACTTGCAAAATATGAGGGAATACAAGTGAAAGCATAATCCCACCCCCAAGTATCAATCCCTTATTCTGTAACCTGGCTGCTGCCTCCTTTGTCTGTGGTAAGGCAGCTGGCAGGTTTACTAAAAGCTTGCCTGAACTTGGGTCTTGCTCTCTCTCTTGTTTTTTCTCTCAGCTGACCTTACAGAAACCAACCACAGACCCAGAAAACTTAGGAGAATATCCAACAATATAAATAACAAAAAATACTACAATACACATCTATATGTAAACTGTAAAAAAGCAAAGGCAATGAAAAAATTCTGAGAAAAATTAAGGAACAAAAAAACACCCCAGCTTAACTATGGAGGAGCCAAGTTAAGAATTACATCTGACTTCTCTTGTGAACATATGCACTAAAGGAATGAATATTTCTGCCCACCCTTACCGCCCAATTCCTATTTTGAAACTGAATCACCAAGGTGAAATTATTAGGAGACTGGGCTTTTGGGAGGGGATAAGATCATAAGGTGTACAGCCCTCATGAGTGAGATTAGTGTCCTTACAAAAGAGGCCTGAGAGACACTCCTTGCCCATTTCACCATGTGAGGACACAGCAAGAAAGTAACATAGATGAACCATCTCACAAGACACCAAGTAGGCTAGCTCTTGATCTTGGACTTCTCAATCTCCAAAACTGTGAGAAATTTCTTTGTTATAAATCACCTAGTCCATAGTATTTTGTTATAGTGTTCTGAATGAACTAAGACTCCATGCAAAAGAGAGACTAGACAGAAATGTTTAAAGTATTGAAACAAAAACCCAAACTGGAATTTCAGCAAAATTACCATTCAAAAACCAGGAAAAAATTTTTCTCAGACAAACAAAAACTTGGAGAGACTTCTGTAACTAGAACACATGGCTAATAGGAGAAACCATGAGAGATGAGGAAAGGAATGGGAGCTTTTTTACTTTTTGTGTAATTTTTCCTATATACCGAACACAGCTCTAAAAATTAAAGTATATTAGTCAATAAAAATAAACAAAGTTTCAAGAAATTTATATCTGTATATAAAAAGAAATTTATATCTGTATATAAAACCTTAATAGCTCTACTGTGCCATCAGATAAAGCAGGTCCTTCAGTGAGGCCTCACTTTCATTCTACTAAGGGAGGAAACCACCCCTCATATTGTCTTATGCCCAATTTCTCCCTCCAAAGAAAGAAGAAGTAAAAACGCAGAAATGAAATCCACAGGCAGACAGCCCGCACCCTGGGCCTAATTAAAGATCGACCCCTGACCTAACTGGTTATGTTATCCATAGATTCCAGACATTGTATGGAAAAGCACTGTGAAAATCCCTGTCCTGTTCTGTTCCATTCTGATTACTGGTGCATACAGCCCCCTGTCATGTACCGCTGCTTGCTCAATCGATCACGACCCTCTCACATGGACCCTCTTAAAGTTGTGAGCCCTTAAAAGGGACAGGAATTGCTCACTTGGAGAGCTCGGTTGTTGGAGACATGAGTCTTGCCTAAGCTCTCAGCCGAATAAAGCCCTTCCTTCTTTAACTTGGGTGTCTGAGGGTTTTGTCTGTGGCTTGTCTTGCTACACTACCTCTTCATAAGCTATTCTCCAGCCACTCCTTAACCTGCCCTTTCTCCTTGCAAATTCCTTCAATTATCTGGGTCTCTAATGTGCTGGCCCTCCCAAGGCACTTGCTCATGTCACATTGTATTACAATTCATGGTAATTTAAATTCTGCTAGTCCTTTCCTTCCACTAGAATAAATATTGAACAGCTTGCATGGTAGCGGTGTTCTCCAGGGAATATGTGCAAATATTACTTGAAGATACTTTCTAAAACATGTCATTATGTCTTATTGAAATAGCAATGAGATTTGGTGTAACTGTAAAGTAATAATTGTTTTTTCCCTTTTCCTCTGATTTCCATACTACCTAATGTAATTTATCTGTACACTAGCTTTAACTACAACAGTCCCTCATATTCGTAGGGGATATATTCCTAGACCCTCACTGGATGCCTCAAACTGTCAATAGTCCTGAATTCTCAATATTTTTTTTTTGATCTGATAACTGAGGGACAGCAACTAAGTGAATAAAGGGTAGGTAACGTGTACAGTGTTGATATGCTGAACAAAGAGATGATTCACATCCTGGTCAAATGGAGTGGAACAGGACAAGATTTCATGACACTACTCAGAATGGCATGCAATTTAAAATGTATGTACTGTTTATTTCTGGAACTTTCCATTTAACAGTTGCCCCCAGGTAACTGAAACCACAAAGAAAGCAGTATCGTGAATTTATAATACTGTAAATAAACTTACATGCACAGACTAAATTACCACGTAGTCCAGACATACCTCATTTTATTGTGCTTTGCTTTACTGAACTTCAAAGACACTATGTTTACTACAAATTGAAGGTATGTGGCAACAGTGGATATCAAGCAAGCAAGTCCATCTGTACCACTTTTCCAACATAATGTGTTCACTTTGCATCTCTGTAACTCTCTCAATTGTTTGAAACTTTTTCATATTGTATCACTGATTTGTAATCAGGGATCTTTGATGTTACCATCGTCATTGTTTGAGGGCACCACAGATAGGGCAGCACACTTAATTAACAAATGTTCTGTGTTCTGACTGCTCCGCCATCCAGTCCTTCTATTTTTTTCCCTCTCTTCAGACCTCCATATTCCTGTCACAAAAATATTAAATTAGGCCACCTAATAAACCCTACAATGGCCTCCGAGCATTTGAATGAAAGGAAGCATTGCGTATCTCTCACCTGAGATTTGTGGATTAACTCATAACTTTGAAAGAAGTTCTACTAGGGATTTTTTTTTAATTTTTTGAAACAGGGTCTCACTCTGTCACTTAGGCTGGAGTGCAGTGGTGCAACCTCAGCTTACTGCAGCCTTGTCCTCCTGTGCTCAAGCAACCCTCTCACCTCAGCCTCCCAAGTGTCTGGGAATGCAGGCACATGACACCATGCCCTGCTAATTTTTGTAGTTTTCGTACAGATGGGGTCTTGGTATGTTTTCCAGGCTGGTCTCCAACTCCTGGGCTCAAGCAATCCTCCTGCCTTGGCCTCCCACAGTCTTGTAATTAAAGGCCTGAGCCACTGTACCAAGCCACATCTCTCCCTTTAAATCCAAAGCTAGAACAATTAAAGTTAGTGAGGAAGGCATGTCCAAAGCCAAGACAGTCATAAAACTAGCCCTCTTGTACCAGTTAGCTGAGTTGTGAAGGCCAAGGAAAGTAAAACTGTTACTCCCATGGACATACAAATGTTAAGAAAGCAAAACAACCTTATTGATGATATAAAGAAAGTTTTAGTGGTCTAGATAAAAGCTGTCTCATCACTGACAATATTCCCTCAAGCCAAAGCCTAATCCAGAAAAAGGGTGTAAACCCCTCCTTCAAATCTATGAAGGCTGACCGTGGTAAGGAAGCTGCAGAAGAAAAGTCTGAAGCCAGTAGAAGTTGGTTTATGAGGGAGAAGGAAAGAAGTCATCTCCATAATATAAGTAAGTGCAAGGTAAAGCAGCAAGTTATCCAGAAGACCTAGCTAGTATCATTGATGAAGGTGGCTACACTAAACAATAGATTTTCAATGAAGATTACAGTGGAAGAAGATGTGATTTAGGTCTTTTCTAACTAGAGAGAAGTTAACACCTGGTTTCAAGGCCTCAAAAGACAGGCTGACACCTTTGTTAGGAACTAATAAGGCTGGTGACTATAAGCTGAAGGCAATGCTCATTTATCATTCTGAAAATCCCACAGCCCTAAAGAGGTATGCTAAATCCACTCTGCCTGTGCTTTATAAATGGGATAACAAAGCCTGTGTGATAGCCCAACTGTTGACATCATGGTTTACTGAATACTTTTAAGTCTATATGGATAGCTACTACTCAGAAAAAGAGATTCCTTTCAATATACTATTCCTCATTAAATATACATTTGGTCATTCAAGAGCTCTGACAGATGTAAAAAGAGATTAAATTTGTCTTCATGCCTAACACAGTATCTATTCTGCGGCTCATGGATCAAGAAGTAATTTTGACTTTAAGTCTTATTATTTAAGAAATACATTTCATTTCATAAGTCTATATATAACTAACACAGACAGCAATTCCTCTAATAAAGCAAAGGAAAGGGAAAACTTTCTGAAAAGGATTCAGTCATTCAACATGTCATTAAGGACTTTCATGATTCATGGGAGGAGGTCAAAATGAATGTGGAAGAAGTTGATTCCAATCCTCATGGATGACTTTGAGGTGTTCAAGACTTCAGTTGAGGAAGGAACTACAGATGTAGAAATGGCAAGACAGTTTGACAGGTGGAGCCTGAAGAAGTGACTGAATTGCTGCAAGTGCACAACAAATTTTGAATGGATTAGAAGTTGTTGTTTCAGGGATGAGAAAAGAAAGTGGTTTTCTGAGAGGAAATCCACTCCTGGGGAAATGCTGTGAACACTAACTACTGTGATACAAACAAACGATTTGGAATATTACATAAATTTATTTGATAAAGGCAGTGGCAAAGTTCAAGAGGATTGACTCTAACTTTGAAAGAAGTTATATCATTGGGAAAACATCAAATAGCATGGCATCCTACAAAGAAATCTTTCAAGAAACAAAGAGTTTGTTGGGCACGGTGGCTCATGCCTGTAATCCCAGCACTTTCGGAGGCCGAGGTGGGCACTTCACTTGAGATCAGGAGTTTGAGACCAGCCTGACAAACATGGTGAAACCCCATCTCCACCAAAATTACAAAAATTAGCTAGGAGTGGTGGCATGCGTGTAGTCCCAGCTACTTTGGAGGCTGAGGCAGGAGAATCATTTGAACCTAGAAGGCAGAGGTTACAGTGAGCCAAGATAGCCCCATTGCACAGGCTGGGCAACAGAGTGAGACTCTGTCTCAAAAAAAAAGGGAGGCAGGGAAGGAGAGAGGGAGGAAAGGAAGAGAGGGAGCAAGGAAGGAAGGAAAGAGGGAAGGAAGGGAGGGAAGATCACAGTAGCAAATATCGTTGTTGTCTTAAGGGGTCACAGCCACTTCATCAGCAAACACCATCCTGATCAATGAGCAGTCATCACCATAGAGGCAAGACCGTCTACCGCCAAAAAAATTATGACTTGCTTAATGATCACAGGCTTTCTTTTTTTAAGCAATAAAATATTTTCAAAGTAAGATGTTGTTTGCTTACACAAATTATAATTGCAAACTGACATAATATAGTGTAAACATAACTTTTATATGCACTAAAAAATAAAACTAAATTAGTGTGATTGGCTTTATTATGATACTCACTTTATTGCAGTTGTCTTGTATGAAACCTGTAAGATGTCCAAGGTAGGCCTGTAATGATCCTGGTATCACTTAAAAGTTTTATACTCTTATCAATTACTTAAATTACTTTTTAAAGACAAAGCCATTCTTTAAATTTCTATCTTTTTAGAATGTACACAAACTAAATAAAGATAAACTACTATATAAGAGCCAAGAAAGCAGCTAGTCCTTTTTTTACCTGAGCGGAGTTAGATAGCTGTTTTCTCCATGGCTCTTCTGTGCTGCTGTTCAGGTCTGTATGATTATGAGGTAGAGTGTGTGTATTTTGCTGCAGGTAAGGCACATTTCCATTACTTTCACTTCCTGCTATACAATTACTGCCTAGCAAGATAGTGTCTGTACTTCCTAGAATTTTTGATGTGCCACAAGGAATACAGCCTGCAGAAAAAGCTCCACTGGACAAAAGTTTTTCAACACAAGCAGGGCGAACTCCAGGCTGAGAGACGCTAGATACTCTGGTCAGAGCACCATGTGGTTGTCGATTAGAGACAGAGTTTGTAGGCAGTGATGAATCAGTTATGGCCCCGTTATGAATTCCAGTAGTTCGTACCTGAGCAACTTCTTTGTGTCTCATCTTCAAAAACAAAAAAGAAAAACTGCTGTGTAACTTTGAAAATGTGTAGTTCATACATCTCTAATTTCATATAACATTTCATGTCTCTAAAAAAACATATAGACAATAGATCCACTTTAATATATAATTCCTATAAAAAGAAGAAAGGTGTTTCAGTATGTAAAGAAATCGGCCTTTATTAACAGCTCAAGGGCAAAATAAAGCTGCTAAAGATTATAAATAATGATTCAAAAACTTACAGGCCATTTTTCCTTCATGAAACAGAAGATTTCAAATTTCCATTCAGTTTACATTCTTGTCAAATCCTTCAAATCAATCATTTGGATCTAAGTTAATCTGAGTATATTTCCTTTTTAAAAAATTTGTCCATTACTAACACATATGTAAAACTCAGATATATACATCCCATGAAATATACACAGAAACTATAAATTAGCATTAATATCCTCTAAAATGATACTGTAGTAAAGAAATATTCTCAAACTGTTGGTAAATTTTAGAGAAAATAAAAATATTATACATACTTGCTGCATTAAGACAAACTGACTTTCTAACTGTTCCAGCTGATGCTTCTGTGCTGGATTTAAATTATCTCTATTTGCTCGCAGTTGTTCCAAGTGCTAGAAGAAAAGAGATTAATATAATCAAAGTTTAATCTAAAATTTAAGACAATATAAGGCAACTCCTCACTAAAAAGACTACACAGAACCTTTGCAGGATGAAAGACAGTGATTCCTAATGAACGTTAAGATAGTGATTCTTTTTTTTTGTTGTTGAGACAGAGTCTTGCTCTGTCGCCCAGGCTAGAGTGCAGTGGTGCAATCTCTGCTCACTGCAACCTCTGCCGCCTGGGATCACGCCATTCTCCTGCCTCAGCCTTCTGAGTAGCTGGGACTACAGGCATGTGCCACCATGCCCGGCTAATTTTTTGTATTTTTAGTGGAGACAGAGTTTCAACGTGTTAGCCAGGACGCTCTCGATCTCCTGACCTTGTGATCCGCCTGCCTTGGCCTCCCAAAGTGCTGGGATTACAGGTGTGAGCCACCACGCCCGGCCCCGATAGTGATTCTTAACCAATGTTACTCAAGCTCAAAATCCTTTAAGAAGTCTGAAAAAGTGGAAAGGCGTGGTGCCTCATACCTGTAATCCCAGCATTTAGGGAGGCCGAAGAGGGCAGATCACGAGGTCAGGAGATCGTGACCATCCTGGCCAACATGGTGAAACCCCAACTCTACTAAAAATACAAAAATTAGATGGGTGTAGTTGAGCATGCCTGTAATCCCAGCTACTGCGGAGGATGAGGCAAGAGAATCCCTTGAACTCAGGAGGCGGAGGCTGCAGTGAACCATGATCACATGTCACTGCACTCCAGCCTGGCGACAGAGTGTGACTCTGTCTCCAAAAAAAAAAAAAAAAAAAAAAAGTCTGAAAAAGGCAGTAAAATCTAAAATTCTGAGGAAAGCTGTTTTGTGTGGTTTTAGTTAAATGTATTATGGGGAAATAAAAATTCAAAGACAAAGCTATTTAGCTTAAAACACTTAATAATAAAAATGCTTAATGCAACATTATTTGTAACAGAATTACTGAAAAACATGTAAATGCCCAATAGTTGGGATCTGTTTAAATAACAGATTTGCCCCACCCATGCAATCATAAATCAAAGAATAGAGAAGCAATACACAGACACAGAAAGATCCTCAAGATACATCTTTAACAAAAAAACTAAGATCCTAAAATATTTGTAAAAGTGTACCTACAATTCTATTTTGAAAAGACAAACTTGGAGATCACACCTGGGCAACAAAAGTGAAACTCCATCTCAAAAAAACAAAAGACAAAACCAAACCAAAAAAAACAACAAGAGAGACTTGGCCAGGTGCAGTGGCTCACACCTGTAATCCGAGCACTTTGGGACACTGAGATAGGCACATCATTTGAGGTCAGGAGTTCAAGACCAGCCTGACCAACATGGTGAAACCCTGTCTCTACTAAAAATACAAAAAATTTAGCTGGGCATGGTGAAGCATGCCTATAGTACCAGGTATTCGGTAGGCTGAGGCAGGAGAACGGCCTGAACCCAGGAAGTGGAGACTGCAGTGAGCTGATATCATGCTACAACCTTCCAGCCTGGGCAACAAAGCAAGACTGTCTCAAAAAAAAAAAACAATACACAAACACATTTGTTTGTACATGCACAATTTACATCTCTAGAAAAAAACTGTTAACATTGCCTGTGCATGAAAAACTAAAAATAGGTGGCTAGAGGTAGAAACTGGAAGGTGCCTTCACCTTATGTCATTTAAGTTTCCTCTCCTCTCACAAAATGGATTCTGATTCCTATTATCCTGGAAAATGTGGGCTCGTTTTAATTATATTCATATTAATTTAGTTAATCATCATTCAATTAATACCTAAAAAACAACATTTACTGTTTCTACTGCTTTCGAATTGGGGGAAAGATCGTCAAAGAATTCATACCTGTAATTTCTGTGGTGTCAAACACAACGAATAAACTTGCTGTACTGGATGATGTGAAAGACTCTGGCCACCATTCCAGTTATCAGAACCATTCTAAGGAAAATTTAGTGTAAAAGATTAAGAATATTTGCTTAATTTCATACACTTAGAGTTATGACTAGTGAGAACCAAGTGACTAGGAATCGGAATAGGTATATATATGACATCCTTTTAAATCATTAAAAATTATTAAAAATGCATAATTAATTCATAAACTTACACATTTAGAAAAAAAGGACCATATTTAAATTACGTCTCAAAGAGGTAGAAAGGTGGTCTACTACTATTCAACATTCAGTTTATTTCATTGTCAGAAGTGATGGTAAAAACTGTGTTAAAATTGTAAAAGCAGGGAAATGAATAAAATGACGTGATGAACACAAACTTATCCCTACCTTCTATATTTAATGTGATGCAAAGATTATGGAATAGAAATACTGCTTCACTTTCTGATGTCCACAAGCTTAAAATACAGTCCAGGCACAATTTCAGAAGAGTTAGTTTCATTTTTGACTGGGATTTTCCATATCTCTAAAATGTATATATACCTTTGTTGGACTAGATGTTCTTTTCTTCTTGGCAGGACTGGACAGGCCTTCTACTTGGCTAGAAGTAATCATGTGTAGTGACAAGGATTGCTGTAAAATTGGTGTTTGACTGTGGTTTAATACATGTTCAGTATTTGGATCATGAGCTCTATAAGCCTAAGGATCACAGAAGTAAGATAAAAATATGGTTCTACATATTCCTAATTCACTCCTTCAAATTATAAAACTTCATATACTTTTCAACACTATGCGGACATCATTGATGGTAATTATTCAAAATTATAATCAAATGAATCATCAAGGGAGCAATGTGTGTCTTCTTCAGAAAAGTTTCATCTTTTAAACTTAATAAACAACTATAGAAATGTCACTTAAGAAATTACTTTCTAATTATGAGAATATACAAAGGTTTAAACTGGCACCCGTATTCCTTCCCATATCAGAGGGAATTTTATTTTTATTTTCTAAAACTCTTTAGAATTAAAAAATTTTTATTTTTTAATTAAAAAGATTTCTCTATTTTAAAGTCAATCCTTTGTTTAGTGAAATAAACTTGATTACTGAAGAGTGAAAAAAAAAAACCCTTAAAGCTGGGCACCTACAGAACATAACCCAACTTCTCACCTGCTGTGCTGTGTTCATGGCACCCTGCCTGGAGGTAAGCTCTGCGGGGATTGGTAGGCTCCATGCCTCCTCAATACTAGGAAGTAATTTAGTTTTATTCTGTAGACTACTTTGTGGAAGGTTACACAACTGAGCCTAGGAAAAATTATGTAAAAAGCAAATTTAACACAAGCCTACTTGAGTAAGAGCAAGTCCACTAAATCTTCCTCAGGGTTATAGGTATTTAAAAAAAAATTCTAAATTTGGGGATTTTAGGTAGATGTTAAATATAAAGAGGGCAACTAGAATATTCTTTGGAGAATCAGAACAAACACAAGCTCTATTTTTCAGTTCTCACAGATATCTTCTCATGAAATTTTAAGCAAGAGTGAAAAATGGCATTTGTTATTTTCTCTACAATGTTATGAAAAGTTAAAAATGCAGATAAGCACACTGAAAAAGTTCATGCATAGTAATGTAAAATGTAAATATGCATCAATAAAGTAAATGTGCAAAAGAACATAGTTTACATACTGCATTTCACTTAAAATTAAATGAAAAATAATACCACAAAATATTACAAAATATGGAAACAAGGCAACATCAAAACACAAATAGACAAACTTGCCAGCCACCCTTCTCCTGCCAATTATTATAGGAATATACGTGTCATTTAAAATATACTATTTAAAATTTTTACCTGTAGAAATTTAATTCTTGCAGCAAGCGTAGAGGTATTACTACAACGTTTGCTTCTAGCTGCATTTAGGTAGCATTTAATGGCATCTTGAGGTTGATTGCAGGATTCATAGAGAGTACCTAGGTCCATCCAGGCTGCGGCATGCCCATGGTCCAATTGTACAGCACAAATATATGCCTGTAAAGCATCCATAGGCTGATTTTGCTGCTGATACAACACACTGGAAAGAAAAAGAATGCTGTCAAAAACTACTGGTTACTTTCGTTCGTTTATTTTTCTGTTGTTTTCAGACAGTGTCTCACACTGTCTCCCAGGCTGGAGTGAAGTGGCATTTCCATGGCTCACCACACCCTTGACCTCCCCAGCTCAAGCAACCCTCCCACCTCAGACTCCTGCGTACCTGGGCCTATAGGACATGCCACCATGCCTGGCTATTTTTTTAAATTTTTTTCATGGAAATAGAGTGTTACCATATTGCTCAGGCTGGTCTTGAAACCCCAGACTCAAGAGATCAACCAGGCTCAGCTTCCCAAAGTGCTGGGATTATAGGCATGAACTACTATATCCAGCCAGTTAATTTTATATTACTATACAGTATATTAGATGTTTCAATCATCCAGTGTATCAAGCGAGCTTCTACTGCTTTTATATATATAGCCTTACCCTATTGAACACCATGTATCTGCACTTGCTTCTGATTTATCAATAGATTGCCTGTAAGATATAAAGGCATCCTGAACTTTCCCAATACTTGAATAACACCTAAAAGGAAAAAATATAAATAAATACAATTCCATTAATAATTTATTTGCCAAAAAGATGAACTGTATTCCAAAGAAGAAAAAATGGGCAAGCATATGAGTATGTGTGTAAATATGATTACTGATGTACTTTATGATTTTACATTGTCGATGTACATTATATGATTTATTTTAATCTCTATTGTAACTTGCTGTTAAATACTGTCTTGAAAGAGCTAGTACGTTATATTAATAAACTTTTCTGAAACTATTGAAGATTTCTTCAATACTATAATATTGAGGGTTAAACATAAAGCTCTCTATTTACACAAGTTTGAACGCAGGCTTCCTACATTATAAGAACAGAGTTAAATCTAAAGAGAAAAGTACCTTTGATAATGACTTTTATATTAGGATTTAATAGTCCCCTTCCACTTAGTAACACTCAGAACAATCATTCTTTGTTATCTGTGTGATTTGTTTAAAAAAGTAAATCTATTGTAAAAATGATCAACATGTAATTCTCTACATATAAAGTTTTTAACTTTATATTCTTTATGATGGAGGAATTCTATGTGTGTGCATATGTTACCAAGAAGCCATCTGTATAATTTCACTTTATTATGACATTAAATGATACAAAACAGCAAAAACCCTACAATATCTTTACTGGTACAGGTACTATAGGTTGATCACTCAATCTCTTCTAACTTATGTATCCCAAACAGCTGGGAACCACAGATTAAAACAGAAAACATGAGAAGAGGCATTTCGTATAGGTTTGAAAAATATGTGCAAATATTACTCAACCTACAAATGGAAATTTTTAAATCTAGGCTATCAACTTGAGATATGTATTTTAAAGGGCAAGTAATATGATTAAAATGAAAATAAACGTGTACCGACAAAACCATATTAGACACTGGTAAAGAACTATAGGGGAAATAACAGAAATGGCAAGACAGAAAAAGATGGGGAAAAATAATCAAACTTAAGGATTAATAAAGACTTGATGATGTGATTAGAGAGTAGGGGTTGGGGGGGCAATTGTTATAAGCCTGGTTCACTGGGAAAACAGCAGTTATCATTTAAAAATGAACAAAAGAAAACACACACACAAATCAGGAAAGTTGCTAAAGAACACCATGAAGAAGGTTTTTAAAAATGCTAATTTAGATGTGATGTGAGGACTTTGGTAATGTTCAGTAAAAACAACCAGATGTGGTACCGAATTATAAGCTAACTTAAAGTCAGAGATTTTAATTTGGAATTTACTCATATGAGAGAGTGATTTAAGAACACAGGATGCATGTAAGAGAGGTGTAGAAACATGTCTACAGAATGAGTCATTAATGGGCTGGGAAATACAAGAAATGCCAGTAACTGAAACAGAGATATTTAGAGGATGCATACAAACTGTTGTGGGGGAGGGGAGTTGTTGATAAGAAGATACTTAATGACAATGTAACAGCGACAGACACCAGAAAGAATGTGAATATGAATAGAAAAGAAAGAAATTTTCTTAAAACCAATTTCAGATTATCAGACAAATCTGGCTAATACTGGAAGAAATAAGCAGTATTTTCTCAGACCAACATTTTCCAATTCCATTTACAAAAAGTGCAAACTAGAAAGCCAATGCACTGAAACACAGGTCTGAGTCCAGTCACCAAAAACTTTCCCTTTAATGCAACATGTCTAGGCTCCTCTGTGGTAATCTAGAGTAATACAAAAAGCACAGGGTATATTTGAGTTGCAACTCTTTCTCTGATAATAATTACATGTCACCTTGAGGAAAACATTTTATTCCTCTGGACTTACTTCCTACATCTATAAAATGAAAGAGTGAACAAAGGTATTCCCCTAATCTCTTCCAAATTTAACATTACACACAGTTCTGTGACTCCAGGAGACTATTTTAAGTGAGGCAATAACCAGTGTCATTACAAATGTATTACTACATCCCCATTTCACTTTGATATGTACAATCCAATTGAAAAGCTAAATAAATATTCAACACAGCCCTAAATAATGACAAATTATCAGATGCCTATGTGTTTTACTAACACCCAATGTCCTTATGCAGAGCTTTAATAACTTTTAAAGTATAACTTTTAACACATCATTTTTTCAGCACAAATCACATTAGAAGCATTAAATCAGAAGGCAGTAGATGAGACTGAAAAAGGTAAAAGCAAAGAAAAAATTTTCCATGAAACCAAAGCAGGTTAATTACCTTCATCTGAGAAGTCAAGAAAGTTTTCTGTGAAAATTTTAGCTAAAAACATTAAAACCAAACCACACCCCAATGCCTTAAATTCATATGACTCAGGGAAAGCCCTTTGTCAATACTACTTTCCTTACAGAGCTATAAAAGTATATTATTGAAACTAATTTTACTTCCTTTTTTTTTTTTGACATAGAGTCTCACTCTGTTGCCCAGGCTGGAGTGCAATGGCAAGATCTCAGCTCACTGTAACCTCTGCCCCTGGGTTCAGGTGATTCTCCCGCCTCAGCCTCCCAAGCAGCTGGGACTACAGGCATGCACCACCACGCCCAGCTAATTTTTGTATTTTTAGTAGAGACAGTGTTTCACCATATTGGCCAGGCTGGTCTCCAACTACTGGCCTCATGATCCACCCGCCTCGGCCTCCCTAAGTGCTGGGATTACAGGTGTGAGCTACTGCACCTGGCCTTCATTTTGTTTTTTTGAGACAGGTCTCACTTTGTCACCCAGGCTGGTGTGTAGTGGCATGATCACACCTCACTGCAGCCAGCCTCCTTCCTCACAACCTCAGCCTTCCCAGTAGCTGAGACTATAGGCGGGCACCACCACACCCAGCTAATTTTGGTATTTTGGGTACAGACAGGGTTTCGCTATTTTGCCCAGGATGGTATTTGACTTCTGAATTCAAGCATTCCAGCCTCTTTGGCCTCCCAAAGTGCTAGGATTATAGACATGAGCCTGAAACTGTAATCTTAAGCATCTTTCATTACATTATCTTATAAAATGCTACAAGAAGTAAACAATAACAACTATCCTTTACAATAATGAGATATTCCAGTACTATAACAAAACATGCAACGAATCTTATTCTTGAAAAAAAAAGCAAAAAATGTCCTGGTTCACAGTCTTTCTATTTATAGTAAAAAGAACTGCTCAAATATAATAAAACTTAAGGCCACAGACCAATGTTTACACCTGCTCCGTTTGGTAATTAACCTCTTTTAATGTTACTGTATTAAGGCAAAAGCTAACAGTATATAACAGTGCCGGCTCTAAGCCTAAATCCTACTTAGTTCACTTGCTCTATTTAGTAACAAAACTATTGCATTGAGTAATAAAGCCAGGTTGCTCAAAACACTTTGTTGTGCAATGCAGATACAAAAAAGATTCAGCTTCTCCTGAACTTGAGTGGTGGGTCAAGTCAAAGTTTGGAACTCTCAAGTTTTGTATTACTAGCAACCCAAGGTCAAATATTTTATAAACCCTAGAGTTCTTCATTACAAAAACTTTACCACAAAGCATTAACTTCATTTTTATTATTTATCATTAACAGAAGACCAATATTTTTAATAAGGAATAATCCTAACAATAGTCTCCCTTTAATATAAATATGCTTTCCTTTCAAAAAAAAAAACATTGTACACAAAGTTAACAGAAAAACTAAATTTGAACATGTCTGCATGTCAAAGTTACACAAAATGAGCTACCCTATGTAAAAAAAAAAAAAACCAAAATTTACCACTGAAACAAATCAGAGCAATTAAATTAAGATATAACCTTGTTTTGAAAAGGTGCCTGACAGTTATAATTGAATCCTCTCAAGAGTTAAGAAAAATTGAGATGTCAAGTAGTTTATTTATTTTTTTAATTTTTGAGATGGAGTCTCTATCTCCTAGTTTGAAGTGTAGTGACATGATTTTGGCTCACTGCGGCCTCTGTCTCCTGTGTTCAAGAGATTCTCCTGCCTCAGTCTCCAGAGCAGCTGGTATTATAGTCGCCTGCTCACCACACCCACCTAATTTTTGTATTTTTAGTAGAGATGAGGTTTCATCAAATTATCCGCCCACCTTGGCCTCCCAAAGTGCTGGGATTACAGGCATGAACCACTATACCTGGCCTCAAGCAGTTTTAAATGGACTATCAATGATTCCACAGTTAACAGCAAAGCCAGGATTTAAAACCCAGGTTTCTGAGTCTTCAATCCATTGATCTTTGCAACACACTAAATTACAATCTAGTGATTTAAAAAAACATGTACATGTACAAATATGTATTCTATCAGACACATAAATATTATACCAGTAGGTATAATTCAGACAGTCAACATTCAAAGTAAGAAAAATATGGAGAAAAAATGTCTGGGTTACCAAAAATTTTTTATGTTCCTACCATAACGAACAATAATAACTTATGCATTTCCTCTAGAATTTCCACTAGCACTGTAATTTGAGAGCTATGATTAATAAAAATATTTCCATATTAATATAAAAAATCACCAGCCAAGATTATAAACAGCAAATTTCTACTGATGACTGACAGATAAAATTAAAACTTGGGGTTTTGCTGAATATTTTTTAAAACGCTAGATATCAAAGGAAATACAATTTAAATACTAAATTGAAAACTATTGGTGATTATTATGTGATGGTACCCTTTAAAACCCTTTTAAGACTCTTTAAAAGCTAGCAATAACTGTACTCAGATTAAGAAAATGTGATGGTGATATCACAACTCTACTAAACACAAAAATCATCCGAGCGTGGTGGCACACCCCTGTAGTCCTAGCTACTCAGGAGGCTGAGGCACAAGAATCACTTAAGCCCGGGAGGCAGAAGTTGCAGTGAGCCGAGATCATGCCACTGCATTCCAGCCTGGGCAACAGAGCAAGACTGTGTCTCAAAAAAAAAAAAAAAAAAGAAAAGAAAAACATGAAAACAAAATGTAGTAAGTAAAAGAAGAGTACCTCAATAAGAGCAACTAAATTCAAAGCTATCTATTTTTACCTCCTAGGAACTTTTTATTTTCTAAGCACATAATATAATTATATTTTAATGTGAAATAAAAAATATAATTATTTTAATTAGGGGGATATTTAAATTATATTTTAAACATTAATTATATTGTAATAAAAATGTAATTATATCTTAATTTTAATTAAATTACGATTATAACAGCAGTAAATAACCACAACAAAACTTCAAGTTTATATGGGAAAAGCAAAATAAAATGTAGGTTCGAAGAGCTATAGGAGTAGTATACAGTGGATACCACAGATTTTGTTTAATAATTAGATTAATAACTACAGCTACACAGACAACTGAAAGACTAATTGGGAACTAATTAATTAATTAATTTATTTATTTATTTTGAGACAGAGTCTTGCTCTGTCACCTAGGCTGGAGTGCAAGGGTGTGATCTCAGCTCACTGCAACCTCTGCCTCCGGGCTCACGCCATTCTCCTTTCTCAGCCTCCTGAATAGCTGGGACTATAGGCACCCACCAACACGCCCGGCTAATTGTTTGTATTTTTAGTAGAGATGGAGTTTTACCATGTTAGCCAGGATGGCCTCGATCTCCTGACCTTGTGATCCACCCGCCTCGGCCTCCCAAAGTGCTGGGATTATAGGCGTGAGCCACCCCGCCCAGCCGGGAGTTTATTTTTAAAATTTCACTTCTCAGATTACATTTTATAAAATCTACAAATGATTTTACATTACAAATAAACTCTAGATAGCACGAGTATTTCATCTCACCTTCCAAGAAAATACCACGATTGGCCAGAATTAGGATCTGCCTCCAAAGACTTTTGGAGATACTGAATAGCATAGCTTTCCTTTGTGGCTTTGTCTCCTACTAGATCCATATTATGATGCATCCAACCTATAATTAAGAAGTTATAAGCATTTACCCATCATTCTACTTCTTCAGTTTCAAGAAAATCATGCAGGAAACAGCAAATTACTTTTTCAGTAATTTATTCATGTAACTTAGATCACATTTTCCCAAAATTTAAAACTACCAAAGTTTAGAGAAGTTTATTTCACACAAAATGATACAATCAAAGCTAAAAAGGGATCTTAAAGCACACACAGATAACTAAATGATTTTAGGAACTGGATTGACATGGAGATGACAAATCAAATTCTCTTTTATAAATTTAGTTTGGAAAAAAATGCAAGTTATAAATTTTAAGTATAAAATTGATAAATTTACTGTCCTTTAAAGGTTACCATGCAGTGAGAGAAATTCAAAAACAACTTTCAACCCCATGCTTACATCCAAAGAATAAAAAAATGCTTATGTAATCAAAGATAATTCATTTACATTCCTTCTGCTGCTGTTGTTGAGACGGAGTCTCGCTCTATCGCCCAGGATGGAGTGGAGTGGCACAACCTCAGTTCACTACAATCTCTGCATCCTATGTTCAAGAGATTTTTCTGTCTCAGCCCCTCAAGTAGTTGGGATTACAGGAATGGGACACCATGCCTGGCTAATTTTTGCATTTTTATTAGTGACGGCATTTCACCATGTTGGGTAGGCTGGTCACAAACTCCTGGCCTCAAGTTATCTGAACACCTCCGCCTCTCAACAATGTACTGGGATTACAGGCAGGAGCCACCACACCCATTTATATTCTTTTTAATAGCTGCTTTCGGACTTTTACCTAAAATATAATCCTTTATAAAATCTCAAAATAATACAAAGTAACACTTTAAACAACTTACAAAAGGCCTCATACATTACTGACATTATTTATTTATAATAATAACATTATTAATGTCACAGCATTAGATAAACAATCACAACAAAACTTCTAGGCTATATGGAAAAAGCAAAATGAAAACTAGGTTCAAAGAGCCATAAGAGTGGTACACAGTGTGTGCCGCAGATTTTTGTTTAATAAATAGATTATGAACTACAGCTACATAAACAATTGAAATCTAATAGATAATATATGCTAAATGCTCAAGTCAAATCAAAAACAGTCTGTCAGCTGTGACTTAATTCAAGTGTATAAAATTAGCTTTCCAAAAGCATCTAAGCAAAACTCTGCCCAATTGCTTTTGAAATTGTGGATAAAACAGTGACAGAAAAAAAATTTATATTACCACCAACTTGAGTAAAAGTTAGGATTTTATTTGCTTAGACCAAAGCCAAAAAATAACTGTACTGAAGGACTACCAACAAACATTAACCCAAATAGCAAATACAATCAAGATAAATAAGCAACGAAATTAATTACTGGGGAGGGGACTTGCTATATTCTATATGATAACATATTATTTTATACTACTTTCAAACACTAGATTACCTTATCTTCAATATGAGAATGTAACAGATTTTTGACAAGAAAACCCACTAAGATGTTCTATAAATTTTAGGTGAAATGTTTCCATTGATCATGTATCAATACAACTATAAAGCAAGTTTAGTATCCACTTACCAGCTGTGTGATAATCTTAATCTAATTTACTTAAGTCAAACCTCATCCTGTCGTCAAGCAGTAGGGGAAGTCCAGAATCCAATACTAGCTGCAGTAAGCACTATCTTTTTTTTTTTTTTTTTTTTTGAGACGGAGTCTCGCTCTGTCGCCCAGGCTGGAGTGCGGTGGCGCGATTTCGGCTGACTGCAAGCTCCGCCTCCCAGGTTCACGCCAGTCTCCTGCCTCAGCCTCCCGAGTAGCTGGGACTACAGGTGCCCGCCACAATGCCTGGCTATTTTTTTTTTTTTTTTTTTTTACTAGAGATGGTGTTTCGCCGTGTTAGACAGGACAGTCTCCATTTCCTGACCTCGTGATCCGCCTGCCTTGGCTCCCAAAGTGCTGGGATTACAGGCGTGAGCCACTGCGCCCGGCCTTGTTTTTTTTCTTTGTTTGTTTGTTCTGAGACAGAGTCTCGTTCTGTTTCCCAGGCTGGAGTGCAGTGGCGCAATCTCGGCTGACTGCAGCCTCTGCCTCCTGGGTTTAGGTGATTCTCCTGCCTCAGCCCCCCATGTAGCTGGGATTACAAATGCACGCCACCACGCCTGGCTAATTTTTGTATTTTAGTAGAGAGGGGGTTTCACCATGTTGGTCAGGCTGGTCTCAAACTCCTGACCGTAAGTGATCTGACCATGCTGGACCCCGACAGTGCTGGGACCTGGCCAGCACTAAGGACTATCTTTATACAGATGGTGAGAAGGAGTGTGCTTGATACTATGTTTATCAACAATGAAAATACACTTAGAAAACATTTATACAGTAGTCCCCCATTACCTTCATTTTTGCTTTCTATGGTTTCAGTCTCCCAGTGCCAAAAAATATTTAATGGAAAAATCTCAGAAATAAAATATAAGTTTTAAATTGCATGCCACTCTGGGTAGCATGATGAAAACTCAAACTACTACAGCTACTCCTACTCTCTCTAGTGTATCCACACTGTCTATGCTACCCACACAGTAGTCACTTAGTAGTCATCTTAGCTACAAGATTAGAAAAACATAATAAAATACAGGGTTTGGAACTATCGGCAGCTTCCAGAGTATCATGGAACATATAACTCCGGTAAAACAGGGAACTACTGTAATAAAATTATTTATTTAAAATTTTACCTCAAAATAATACGTAATAATTAAATGTCACATTTAGTCTTAACCCATAGACTTCTAAATGAAAACAAATGTCTAAGCAGAGGGAAAAAAATTGAACCTCAAAAGGCAAATCTCTTCAAATTAATGTAATGTATAATAAAAGTTTTCATGTACCTAACTGTTGCAATACAGTTGCTTTTACTTGTGCAGGAAGGTTTTCTGTCTGCAAAAGTTGTTCATATGCCTCCTTTGCAGAATGATACTTCCTCTAAAGAGCAAAGGAAAAAGAATATTTAGAGAAAAATAAATATTAAAATAAAAATACTCTTGATTTTAACAATATATACATGGCCATACTTAACTTATAAGTAACAAATAATAAATCAATACGTAATGATGAATATTAAAAATTATAAATGTGATAATAAAAAATAAAGTAATATTACAATATTATTAAAATAGCTAGCAATGAAGATTTACATACTAATAATGTTTAAGAAGTTTCTAGTACCATAAAAAAGTAACAAAGTAAAAATTGCTAATATTTTAACTGAATATTTATTTTGCCCAGGCCAGCCATGTTTCAGATTACAGCAAAAAAACTAACATTAAATATAACAAGGTGTAACCAAATATTCCAACATTTAAAAAAAATCTGTATCTCAAATGCCACAAAAAAACTGCAACCTCTAACTTCATTTAAGTAACATTCATAAAGCTACAGGAGTATTCTATCAGAAAATGCAGTATTAGCCTAGAAATACTTTCAAAGAGAACAGTAATTTGTTAATAGATCAAGTACCACTATTCTTTACAAACTACTGCTCTTAGCAAAAAGTACAGAATCAAAACAGTGCTTAAAATTTAAATTCAAAATTTAAAATATACAGTTCTGGAAAATACTCTTTAGAAATATTTATAATTTTAAAGACATTACATTTTCCATAGATATAAAGTAACTGTTTGTAATATTTAAGGTTATAAGCAATTTTCTAAGTAAAACCATTTGCACAGCTCTACCTCACAAAGTACTAATACAACTAAAACCTATTATTGTTACAGTTATAAAGTTAAACTCAACTCCTCCAAACTAAAATAAAACCAATAAATATTGAATCTGAAATATACATAGCAAAACCATGCTAAACAATGCAGTAAGAAAGTGGCTTGTACTTATAATCTCAGCTGCCTAAGCAGCTTTAACATTTTAAAAATAAAATAACAAAATGATAGAGTGCCACTTCAAGAGCTACTAATGATTGTAACAAATTGGCAGAGCAATATAACTAAATCAATGCTGTGTAAACTGGGACTGAAAATAAATGTAACCAAAACTGACAGAGAAAACAGTGAGAGGTAAACAACACTATTTTTCTCTCTTTCTCTTTCTCTCACACACACATGCAAATAGCAAAACTGACCAAAACCAGGTGAAAGCAAAAGTCACAAGTAATGAAAAATGAAGTAAAATATAAGCACTTAAATTCATAAAAAACACATTTTCAAATAGGGCACTAGAGATCACTGGGGAGTATCAGAAGGAAAGAAAATACAGAGTAAAACATTCAAAATATTTTAACTGCAAAAAATTACAATTAAAAATGGCTAACCATCTCAATGCAAAAAAGCAGGGGCAGAGGGCATGACAAAATGTATCACTTTTTCATGATTAAACAGAAAAAATTGGCTTGGCGAGGTGGCATATGTCTGTCATCCCAGCACTTTGAAAGGCCGAGGTGGGTGGATCGCTTCAGCCCAGGAGTTCAAGACCAGTCTGACCAACATGGTGAGACCCCATCTCTACAAAAAAGTATAAAAATTAACCGGGCATAGTGTCACACACCTGTAATCTTGTAATCTCAGCTACTCAGGAGGGTTAGGAAGGAGAAGTGCTTGAACCTGGGAGGTGGAGGCTGCAGGGAGCCAAGATTGAGTCACTGCACTTCAGCCGAGCGACAGAATGAGAGCCTGTCTCCAAAACACAACAATACAAAAACCCAAACCTCAAAAATTATAAATGGAAGGGAGATTCTTCAATGTAAGAAAGGCCATATGTGATAAGCCCTCCAAAAATGTCAGTGAAAACACTGACAGCTCTTCCCGTAATATCAAGAACTACAAAGGAAACCAAAATCACATTTCTACTCAACTTAGTAATGAAAGTTCTAGCTAAGCAATTAGACAAGAAATAAAATGCATTCAAGTCAGAAAAGCAAGTAAGCTCATTTTCCTGAGATGATATGATCTATTAAAAAATTATTAAGCATACACAACCACACACACACACACACACACATGCACACACAGCAAAGTTGCCAGATTCAAAATCAACATTCAAAAATTAGTTGTACTTTAGTCCCTCCTTATCTGCAGTTTCACTTTCCATGGTTTCAGTTACCCACATGCAAATGAAGTCCAAAAATAGTAAATAAAAAAAATCCAGAAATAAAACAATTTGTAAGTTGTAAACCATGTGCTGTTCTTAGTAGCATTATCAAATCTCACAACATTCATGCCACTGGGAACTAAGTCATCACTTTTTCCAGCGTACCTGCATTATATATATGTACCCACCCTGTACATGCTTCTAAGTCTCTTACTTAGTTGCTATCTTGATTATCAGCTTGAAAACCGTGATCCATATATAGTGTCCAGTACTATTTGAGTTTTCAGGTAACCTAAGGAAAAGTCTTGAAATTGTCTCCCACAAGTAAAGCTGATGGAGAAGTTGTAGGGGTATGGGGATGAGAAGGATTACTGTACACTAACCATAGCAATTAACAATTTGAAAAGAAAATTAAGAAAACAATTCTATTAACAGGATTAAAAAGAAAAAAATTTTGAAGGAACAAGTGTACCAAAAGTGAAATATCTGTACACTGAAAACTACAAAAAATGCTAAAAGAAATTAAAGACACAAATGAATGACAGACATTCTGTGTTCATGAACTGAAATTCCTGATACTTTTGCAATGACAGCACTTTCCAAAGCAGTTTACGGATGTAAAACAATCCCTATGAAAACTGCATACTGATTTGCAGAAAATGAAAAACTCATCCTAAAATTCACATTGCAAAGGGCCAAAAACAGCCAAATAACTGTTGAAAAAATGAAGTGAAGAATTTGCACATTCAAAGTTCATACAGACTAAAACATGATAGTAAATGAAACAATACGGTATTGGTATAACAATAAAAGAGAGCCCAGAAATAAAATGCCCACACAGATGGCAAACTGATTTTCACCAGAGGTGCCAAAACATGTCAATGGAAAATAGTGTTCTAAACAAATGGTGCTTGAAAAATTCAATATCCACATTGAAAATAATGAAAATTGGTCCTTATTTTATACTACATATAAAAAATTAACTGAAAATGAATCAAAGCCCTAAATGTAAGGCTTGAATAGTAAAACTCTTAAAAAAAATTGCATGATGTCTTCACATCTTGGATTTCACAGTGATGTCTTAAACCTGACACTAAAAACATAGGTAACAAAAAGAAAAACTCGACTTCTCCAAAATTAAAACTTCTGTACATCAAAGGACACTATCAAAATAGTGAAAACAGCAAAGTGGGACAAAATATATGCAAATCATGTATTTGGCAATGGGATTAATATTCAGAATATATTTAGAACTCCTACAATTTGACAACCAAACCCCTCACAACCAATTCAAAAAAGGGCAAAGGATTTGAATAGACATTTCTCCAAGAAGCTATACATGTGGCCAATAAGCACATGAAAGGATGCTCAAAACCATTAGTTTAAGGGTACTCTAAATCAAACAATAATGAAATATCACTTCACAATCACCAGGATGAAGGCCGTGGAGAAATTTGAACCCTTGTGTATTGCCATTAAGAATGGTACAAATACTGTGCAAAACAGCTTGGTGGTTCCTTAAAATACTAAACAAAATTATATTTCTCAGCAATTCCACTAGATACATACCCAAATGAAAACAAAGACTCACATAAATACTTGTACACCGCTGTGTATAGCAGTATTATTCACAATTGCCAAAATATGGAAATAATTCAGCCGTTCATTTACAGATGAACTGCTAAGCAAAAATATAAATGTGAATGAGTATAACAAAATATTGTTCAGGCACAAAAAATAATGAAGTGAGAATGTGAATGAACCCTGAAGATTCAAAGCTAAGTAAAATAAGCAAGACACAAAAAGATAAATACTGTATGATCCATTTGTGTGATGTATCCCAACACAGACAAATTCAAAGACATAAAGCAAAGGATATCACGAGCTGAAGTCAGAAGAAAATGAAGACTTATTAAGTACAGATTTTGTATTACGAATGATAAAAAAAGTTATGGAAACAAACAGTGGCAATAGTTACACAATACTGTGAATGTACTTAATGCTACTAAAATGGCACACTTAAAAGCACATAAAATATGCCTTAGGAGGTTGAGGCAAGAGGATTTCCTTAGGCCAGGAGTTTGAGGCCTGCGTGTGCCACATAACAAGACCCCATCTTTACAAAAATGTTTTAAAAACCAGATGGGCATGGTGGCACGTGCCTATAGTCTTAAAGGTAAAAGAAGAAAAAAATAGTAAATGTCAAGGGATGTTTATTTCACTAGTTATAAAACAAACCAAAAAACAAAAAACAAGAAATACAGTCAGTATAGCATGCTGCTTTATGAAAAGGTTTATACATAAACCTATACATAGATTTGAGCCCAGGCTGGTCTCGAACTCCTGGCCTCAAGCAATCCTCTTGCTTCAGCCTCTGAAAGCACATTTTATTATTTTTAAGTGTACCATTTAAGTACATTCACAGTGTTGTGTAACCATCATCACTATTTTCAAAGCCTTTTCACCACTTGAAATACAAAATCTGTCACTTTACTAACTCCCCATTCTCTTCTGACTGCAGCCCCTGGTAACCTTTACTTTAGATCTTTAAATTTGTCTATTCTGTATATTTCATATAGGTAGATCACAGCATTTGTCCTTTTCTGCCTGGCTTTTTATTTTTATTTTTTGAGAGCTCATTGCAACCTCCACCTCCAGGGTTCAAGACAGTCTCCTGCCTCAGCCTCCTGAGTAGCTGGGATTACAGGGCACATGCCATTACCACCAGCTAATTTTTGTATTTTTAGTAGAGATGGGGTTTCACCATGTTGGCCAGGATGGTCTTGATCTCTTAACCTCATGATCCGCCCGCCTCGGCCTCCCAAAGTGCTGGGATTACAGGTGTGAGCCACCGTGCCCAGCCCAGCTTATTTCACTTAGTCTTTAAAACAAAACAAAACAAAATACATTCTTATATCCTCAATACCCTAAATTCTGAAAATTTTTAGAGAAATTAGTATATAAAAGTGTTCTCATTAGCAAAGCGGTTTGGGAACTATGACAGAAAACAGTAAAACTTTTGTTTTAGCTTTTTATATTTATTTTAAGCCACAAAAATATATCCACTGAAAATATTAAAATAAAGAATAACCATAAACATTTAAAAAACATCTTCATCCAAATGACATGGTGCCCCCACTCCATATCCCCAAGCAATTCTTGAGTTAGTAATACTTAAGACTCATCTTATGCACCAGTCCTAGAATCAGCCACTTCTCCAAGGAGCACTAGTTCCTTTTACTAGAGAATAGTATTAGTAACAAAGATCCGGGCAGTAGGTGTGCTTGCTAATAGTGTGGCATCACTGCTTCAGTTCATCTTGGCTGACAGAACAAGGATATACAGATATATATATAGCTATCTATATAAAAATACATTAATCCAAACATGAGTTCATACTGATATCACCAGATATAATCCATTTCCCATAGTTCATTCTACTATCCCCCAATGGGGTATTTGTAGACTCCTACCTCAACAGGGAATAAACTGCTCCCAAGAATACCATTCGTTTTCTTATTTGCAGAATTTCTTATTTTCCTATTTCATCTTCTCATTTCTTTTTCTCCTCCTCTATTTTTCTGTTATTTTCTATTTCTTATTTCACTGTCTTATTTGTAGAATGCCAGTATGTTATAGTTTTTGAATTTCTAAAATTTATCCCCATAACAACTTTCCCACTAACAGCACAATTCTTAGGCATAAGATTGTTTTATTTTGTTTAAACGTAGTTTCATTTCCAAAGATCAGTAGATTTCTCCCATTACTCTCTTCAAAGAGATGATGTGATACATTTATAACAAAATTTATTTGGATACAGTCTATGTTCCATTCTGGAATTTCCTGACCTCACATTATTTTTTTAAATTTTATATACATTAAAGGTTCATTCTTTAGGCTCTAAAGTCAGTTGCTTGTCTTAAATAAGTAAGCTAATGTATCCAAGATAATGTCATATATCCAACAATAGAGCAGCATGCAAAATGATTTGATTATTCTAACATAGCCTGGGGGCTTCATCTAATTATCACTCCTCTCTAAACTCCCTGAAAACACCTGATCTCATTACTATCCTTACAGTTTTTACAAAATGGCAAATAAATAGATTAACAAAGTATGGTGTCTTTTTGTAATGGCTTCTTTAACTTAACAATGTGTATTTAAGATTCAATTTTGTTGGTACGTGAATTCATAGTTCATTCCTTTGCAATATTTAGTAATATTAAATAGTATGTATTAGCACAGTTTTACACACTCACCTAGTGAAATGTATCTTGGTAGTTTCCATTATGCAGCAGTTAGGAATAAGCATTCATACACAGATTTTTGTTAGGAAAGAGACTTTCAAGTCAGTTTGGAAAACGTGCAGAAGGACTTGAGTAATACGTAAAGTCTGTATTTAGTATTATAAGAAACTGTCTTTCAAAATGACTGTTTCAATTTGCATTACCAAAAGCAATGGATTATTTATTTATGTTACTGTGTAACTTACCAGACATAATATTGTTAGGCTCTTAAAAATTTAGACTTTCTAACAGTTGTATGCTAATAGTACTAACTTATTTTTTGTTTTAACATGAATTTACCTAGTAACATCTTTTCATGTTATGTGCAATCTGAGTATCTTCTTCAATGTGTTTCTCTTCATATATTTTCACCATTTTAAATATTTTCTTATTATTACTACTGTTGGGTTTTACAAGTTTCTTGTATCATTCTACAAAGCCCTTTATTCAATATGTGATTTTTACATATTTTCTCCCAGTCTATGGCTCATCTTTTCAATCTTTTAACAGTGTTTCTGAGAGCAAAAGATTTTAATGCTAATTATCAAATATAAGTATTTTTTTCACAAGGATGGTACAAAGTGTTATATCTAAAAACTAATAATAAAGACAACTTCTTATATATTTGTATACTTGTGATCCATTTTGAATTCCATTTTGTGTACAGTGTGAGGTAGAGATCCACATTTTTTCTGCATAAATGTCCAACTGCTCATTATCATTTTTTGGAAGCACAATGCTATCATCACTGTATTATACACAGAGAACACTGTCAAAATCAGTTGACTAGACAAGCCCTGGAAGTCACTTGAGACACAACCAAAAGACAGCTTAGAAAACCAGAATTGGAAGTGTAAACTAGCTAGGCATTCTGGGTCTAGACCAATGTAGTAACAGTATTAGGACCTCCCACCTAAAAGAACAGCATGCCCAGGCTCATTCCCATCACTGAAAATACAAACAGTAGAGCACCCAAAAAAGTAAAAGAACCTAGTGGATCCCTTTTAATAAACGGCATATTCAAAAGTCCTTTTCTAAGTGTCCTTTCATCCCCGTGATGCTGAGACTACCTTCCCCAACACAAAGAGGCACCAGTCAACATGGCTGTGGAAAGCATCCTCTTCCCGTGAAACCAGCAACATTAGAGTGAGAGCCTGAAGGAACACTAAATAAACAAACAGAATAATGTAGAACCACCAATCTCTTACAAAGGAATTTTGTTTAGAACCACAGTCTGGAAGAGTAGAGACAGAATCTACATCACAAAAATGCTTCAATAATCACTTCAAATTCCCTTGAAACAAACGAAAATGACAAAGATCTCAGCAAAGAAATACAAGTTTAAAATGAAAGAAATTGAATTATAAAATTTAAAGATGCTAAAACAAAACTCACTGAACAGCTCAGTAGCACAGCAGAAATGAAAAGAGAACATAATCTTCTGTTACAATGAACCTGAGGGCTTGGCAACATAATTTACATTTGCACAACAACAAAAAAAATCAGATTAAATACATACATAAAACGAAGACCTATGGACCAATAATGAAATATCAAGCATTTACAACATAAGCATTCATAAATATGAAGCACATGTGACAAAAAGAGTAAATGATAAAATTATGGTTAAATGTCACAAATTGTCAACAGACATAAACCTATTCAAAAGGCTGAGCAGGCTGGATGTGGTGGCTCACGTCTGTAATCCCAGCACTTTGGGAGGCTGAGGTGGGTGGATCACATGAGGTCAGGAGTTTGAGACCAGCTGGCCAAGATGGTGAAACCCTGTCTCTGCTAAAAATACAAAAATCAGCCAGGCTTGGTGGCGGGCACCTGTAATCTCAGCTACTCAGGAGGCTGAGTCAGGAGAATTGCTAGAACCGGGGACGTGGAGGTTGCAGTGAGCCGAGACTGAGCCATTGTACTCCAGCCTGGGTGAGAAGAGGGTGACTCTATCTCAAAAAACAAAAAACAAAAAAGGCTGAACAAAGCTCCATGGGATAAATCCAAAAATATCTATGGCAAATATGAATTTCCCACCTGAAACCACAAACAAGAAAGGAAATCGTGTATTAGTCAACTGCTGAAAGAAAAGACTTTTCAACATAAATTATATCTGGTAAAAATGTATGTCAGGAACAAAGAAAAAGAAATACATTCTCAGATAAAGAAATTTGTTGGTAGCCAACCTACCACAAAAAGTATGATAAAAATCGAGTTCTTCAAAAAGAAATGATAAAAAGGAATCTTAGAGAATCTGAAAGAAAAAAAAAGAGCAGACATGTGTACTCAAAATAAGATTTCAACATATAAGTTTATAAAACCATGCATGGTTATTTTTAAAAAAGTATCTGGTATAACAGACTTATTTTTAAAGTGCGGAAGGTAAAAAGGCAAGGAAATAGATATAAGGGATGTCTACATTTCAACTGAAGTAGCAAAATGTCAACACTAGATGTCACATGTGCATATTGTAAATAACCAGAGAAACTAAAGAAAATTATATAGATATTTTCAAACATCCAACTGATATGTCAATATGAAATTTTAGAAGATAAATCACATAATCCCAAACAGGTCAATAATCTTCCTCAATGCAGTATGTAAAGACAACCATGGGTTTAAAAAAAAAAGAAAAAAACTCACTGTATGCCATTTACAAACAATAAGTTTCAAATTTAACACAGAATGAAAGTATGAGAATAGAAAAATGGCAAATAATATTTATAATATTTTTTTGGCCAGGTGCAGTGGCTCATGCCTATAATCCCAGCACTTTGAAAAGCCACGGCAGATGGAACACTTGAGTTCAGGAGTTTGAGACCAGCCTGGCCAACATGGCAAAACCCTGTCTCTACTAAAAGTACAAAAGTTAGCCAGGTATGGTGTCACACACCTGTAGTCCCAGCTGCTTGGGAGGCTGAGGCAGCAGAATCACTTGAATCTGGGAGGGAGAGGTTGCAGTGAGCCGAGATCACACCATTGCACTTCAGCCTGGGCAACAAAGCAGACTCTGTCTCAAAAAAAAATTTTTTTTTTCAAGCAAGTCTCATCTTTCAGCCTCCTGAGCAGCTGGGACTACAGGTGCGTGCCAGCAGGCCCAGTTAATTTTTTGTAGAGACAGGGTGTTTGGCCATGTTGGCTGGGCTAATCTTCAACTCCTGGCTTCAAGTAATCTGCCCACCTTGTGCTCCCAAATTGCTGGGATTACAAACGTGAGCCACGGGACCCCACCAGGCCTGGTCTTAATAATAATTTTTAAAGACAAAAATGTGGCTGGGTGTGGTGGCTCACACCTGTAATCCCCAGCACTTTGGGAGGCCGAGGCGGGGAGGATCAGCGTAAAATGAATTTACCAACCCCGTGCTGGGGTCTGACATCTTGCCTGGCAAATACAGACTCTGGAAACATAATTTAAACAGTCATTTAAAAACCAAATGTGGACTACAGTAATAAACAAAATCAAATTCTGAGGAGAGGGAAGAAACTGTCTTCTAGAACTGACATCTTAAAATATTTAAAATGTCAAACAAAACATAATGAACATGTAAAAAAGCAACAGAGTTGCTTCTTTCAAAAAATAAAGATTTCTGGTTTCCAATTTGGCATTTAAGAAGCTGGAAGTCATCACTCCATCCTAGCAAAGTAAAAATCCAAACAAGCTGAAAGATCAACAGCTCTTTTTAGATTCATCAGAGAAGTGGGGGTCACAGCACAAGTCAACAAACCCAAAATGGAGGAAAATGACAGACCAATGCAGGGAGTAAGGACTGGCCAGAGCAAACACCCCCGAGCACTATCCTCAGAAGGAACCAGTGCTGTCACAGGGAAATCTGAACTGTGAGTGACAAATTACAGGAGCTCAGCATGGACACATGTGAGAGATACAAATACCAGGGGGACCAGTTATCTGGGGCACACACATAAATTTCTGAGTTTTACCTCCAGTTTCTCACAGTGAATAATGAGGGAAAAAAAATTCTCCCAACCTAGCTATCCTGTCCTGTATCAACACGGGGAAAAAAATCTGAGAAGCACTATGAAGTTGACAGCTCAGAACAGACTCATTAAAGACTGAAATCTAAATCACAGACCTAAATACAAAGCTCCTCCTCCCCACCACAACTTACCACAACATTAAGGGGTGTGTGTGTGTGTGTGTGTGTGTGTGTGTATGTATGTGTATTTATATATATAGATGTGTGTATATAAATATATATATATACATCTAGTATATATATATATATACACACATCTATATATATATATATATAGATGTGTGTGTGTGTGTGTGTGTGTGTGTGTGTGTATATATATATATATATATATATATATATATATATATACACACACATCTAGTAACCAGGTGTGGATATCAAGAAAAAAAATAACCAAAAAGGCAAAAAAACACAGTTGGAAGAGATAGAGCAAGGATCAGAACCAAACTCAATTATGACACAGATGTTGCGAATATTAGACTAGGAATTTCAGTTAATTGTAATTAAGATCCTAAGAGATTTAACTGATAAAGCAGACAGCAGAAACAGGTAAAGACAGGAACTCCTAAGAACCAAAGAGAGATGCTAGAGATAGAAAATAATATAATAGAAAAGAAGAATACCTTTGAAGACTTACTGGTAAACTAGACAATACTGAGGAAAGAATCTCTCAGCTTGAGATTACCAACCGAAACTTCCTAAATTGAAAAATGAAGAAAAAATGTGAGAAAATGACAAAAAGTGTAAATTACCTATAACGGGAATTACAGAAAAAGAAACATAAAATATTTGAAACGAAAGTGAGAATATCCACAAATTAATCTCAGACACAAAACCACAGATGGCGAAAGCTCACAGAACACCAGGCAGAATAAATGCCGACACATTTATACATAGCATATCATTTTCAGACTATACAAAATCAAGATAAAGAAAAATACTGAAAGAAACTAGAAGGAAAAAAAATTAGACAGCAATGATAAATATTATCTATGTCTTCTCCTTAAAGCAAGAAGTGGAGTAAAATGTCTCTAATGTTTACAGGGGAAAAGAAAAAAAAAACACCAACCAGGGAGTTTATACCCTGATAAACTGTCCTTCCAAAATGAAGAACACAAAATGACCTACTCAGAAAAATAAAAAAGGAAAGCAGTTGATGCCAATATACCTGCTTTGTAAAGAATGCTAAAACAAATTATTAGAGAGAAGGAAAGCGACAATGGTCAGAAACTCAATATGCATAAAGAAAAGAAGAGCATCAAAAAAGGGGTAAGTGGAGGTAATATAAACACTTATAAAAATTCTTAGTTGATCTAACAAATTAACAGTTCATTTTAAAACAATATAAGTGAAATGAATGACAAGAATGATACAGGGAGAGGGAGGTAAAATTAGGATTATTTTATTATTCTAAAGTACTCTCACTACCAGTGAAGGGGTAATGAGCAATAGTGCTGCTTTATAGTGGACTTCTATTAGTGCACAATTAAGAGTTAAGTGACAGCCTGGGCGTGGTGGCTTACGCCTGTAATCCCAGTACTTTGAGAGACAGGGTGAGTGGATCACCTGAGCTGAGGAGTTTGAAACCATGATGAAACCCCGTCTCTACTAAAAATGCAAAAATTAGCAGGGCGTGGTGGCGCATGCCTGTAATCTTAGCTATTCAGGATGCTAAGGCAAGAGAATTGCCTGAACCCGGGAGGCGGAGGCTGCAGTGAGCAGAGATCACTCCATTGTACTCCAGCCTAGGCAACAAGAGTGAAACTCTGCTTTGGGTGGGGGAAAAAAAAGAGTAAGTGACAGTAAGACAGGAGTGAAAATGCAATCTTACATAATGCTCAGTTAAACCACAAAAAGTGGAAACAAGTCAGAGACAAAAATAGAAACAAAGAAAAAGGCAACAAACAAAACCAGCAGATACTAATCCAATTAAAGTCACATTCCACCTAACGACTTTTTCAGTAAATGACAGATTGTGTAAATTACAGTGGTCCCATACAGTTATAATGGACCTGAAAAATTCTTAACCCAGGTGGCATCAGAGCCATGTTAAAGTCTTAGTGCCGTGGAATACCTGTGTTTGTGGTGATGTCAGTGTAAATAAACTTACTGCACTGCCAGTTGCCTAGAAGTGCAGAATAGTATAACATATTCAGCAATGATAATAAATAACCATGTTACTGATTTATGTATTTACTATACTATTTATTGTTATTTTAGAGTATACTCTTCCTACTAATTAAAAAACCCACTTAAAATATTTTAAAAAATATTAAAAGTAGATGATATGAAAAGATAAAATATATGCTAATTGTAATTTTAAAAAAAGCAGGAAACACAGCAGACTTCAAGCCAAGCAACGTTTTCTGGGATAAAGAGCAGCATTACATAGTAACAAAGGAGTCCACTCTCCAAGAAGACATAACAATCCTTAACATTTATGCACCTAACAATGGATACATAAGGCAAAAAAAGGCAGACCACCAAGGAAACATAGAGGAATTCAGTAGCTGAGTAGGAGAATTTAATATCAATCAATAAAAACATAGAAACAGTGGATATCAAAATCAACAACACCATCAACCAACTGAATATATAGTCATCCCTTGATATTCATGGGGGATTGGTTCTAGTACCCCAGAAGATACCAAAATCCACACATACTAAAGCTCCACAAATTACCCTGTGTAACCAGGGTATGTAAGAGTCAACTCTCTGTATCCCTGGGTCTTCATCTCACAAACACTGCATTTTCAACCTCCATTTGTTTTTGGAAGTGTAGCCTGCAGCAGCAGGAGAATACACATTCTTCTTAAATTCAAATAAAACATTCACAAAGTCACAACACATTCTGCATCGTAAAATATACCTTAACAAATTTCAAAGAATAAGAAATTATACAACGTGTGGAGGGCAGCTTGAATCTACAAATCAGACTTAAACTAGAAGTCAATAAAATTAAAAGGACTAATCTTCAAAATAGTTCAAGATTAAATAGCACACTCCTATTAGCTTTAATCTAGGAATCGACAGATGTATAAACTAGAAGTCAATAAAAGTAAAAGGACTGGTTAATTTCCAAAATAGTTCAAGATTGAATAGCACACTCCTATTATAGCACGAGTAAAAAGATTTCTCAAGAAAATAAAACAACATTTTGAATTAAAGGAAAATAAAACTTATAAAAGTTTGTCGGATGGAGCAAAAGCAGTGCTTACAGTGGAATTTACAACACTGAATGCATATATCAAAAAAGAGGACATACTGGGCCGGGCGCAGTGGTTTATGCCTACAATCCCAGCACTTTCAGAGGCCAAGGCCGGACGATCAATTGAGGTCAGGAGTTTGAGACCAGCCTGGAAACTGTGTCTCTACTAAAAATGCAAAAATTAGCCAGGTGTGGTGGCAGGCACCTGTAATCCCAGGTACTTGGGAGGCTGAGGCAGGAGGATTGCTTCAGCCTGGGAGGTGGAGGTTGCAGTGAACTGAGATCATGCCAGTGCACTACAGCCTGGGTGACAGAGTGAGACTCTGTCAAAAAAAAAAAAAACAACCAAAAAACTGGCTGGGCGCAGTGGCTCATGCCTGTAATCCTCAGCACTTTGGGAGGCCAAGGCGGGTGGATTACGAGGTCAGGAGATCGAGAACATCCTGGCTGAAACAGTGAAACTGGGTCTCTACTAATACAAAAAATTAGCTGGGCATGGTGGCGGGTGCCTGTAGTACCTGCTACTTGGGAGGCTGATGTAGGAGAATGGCATGAACCCGAGAGGCAAAGCTTGCAGTGAGCTGAGATCATGCCACTGGCTGACAGAGCAAGACCCATCTCAAAAAAAAAAAAAAAAGGACTGAAAATCAGTCACTTATGCATACACCTTAAAAAATGTGAAGGAGCAAATTAGATATAAAAAAATTAAGCAATAAAAATTAGAACAGAATGCAATCAAACTGAAAACAGGAAATCAATAAAAAACAAGTCAATGAAACCAAACTAGTTCTGTGAAAAGATCCATACATCAATAATCCCCTACCTTTCAGGCTAATAAGAAAAGAAGACACAAATAACTCACTTCAGAAATGAAAGCGCAAATGTAGCTATTGATGCCAATGGACATTAAAAGATAATAAGAGAATGCAATAAAAAAAAGGCCAAAAAATCTAGAGGAAGTGAACCAACTTCTTGAGAGGCAATTTGCCAAAACTCACATAATCTGAATAAGTAGATATCAAGTAAAAAAAATTCAAGGCAATAATAAATAATCTTCTAAAAAAGAAGGCTCTAGGCCTACATCAGCTCACTGGTGAATTCTACCAACATTTAAGGGAAGAAACTACAATTCTCTACAATCTCTTTAAAGAGAAAGAAATAGAATACTTGCTAACTCATTTTACATGGCCAGTACTACTCTAAATCCAAAATCAGAAAGACATTTCAAGAAACAAAAACTACAAATCAAAATATCTTATAAATACGATACAAAAATGTTCAGCAAAATATTAGCAAATGAAATACAATAACCTGTTTTGCAATCCAACCAAGTGAGATTTATCCCTGATGTGCAGAGACAGTTTAATTGAAAATCAATTAATGTAATCCGTTAAATCAAAAGGCTTAGAAAAAAAATCACACGATGGCAGGCCAAGGGGATCACTGCAATCCCAGCACTATGGGAGGCTGAGGTGGGCAGATGGCTTGAGCTTAGGGGTTCAAGACCAGCCTGGGTAACATGGTGAAATCCTGACTCTACTAAAAATACAAAAATTAGCCAGGTGTGGTGGTGCATGCCTGTGCTCCCACCTACTCTGGAGGCTGAGGTGGGAGGATTGCTTGAGATTGGGAGGCAGAGGTTGCAGGGAGCTCAGATCGCACCTCTATACTCTAGCCTGGGCAACAGAGTGAGACCAAATCTCAAAAAATATTAATAGTTAAAAAACAAAAGGTTTACAAATTGGGAAGGAAGAAATAAAACTGCTCTCTCCATGGACAACATAAAATATGTAGACAATCTGAAGGAAGTGACAAAAAAACCCTCTTGAAATTAATAAGAGATTAACTCACAATTGCATGATCTAAGAGTAATACGAAGAAAGACAACTGTTTCTTTTTTTTGAGATGGAGTTTCACTCTTGCTACCCAGGCTGGAGTGGAATGGTGTAATCTTGGCTCACCGCAACCTCTGCCTCCCAGGTTCAAGTGATTCTCCGGCCTTGGCCTCCCGAGTAGTTGGGATAATAGGCAAGTGCCACCAACCTGGCTAATTTTTTTGTATTTTTAATAAAGACGGGGGTTTCTTCATGCTAGTCAGGCTCATGTCCAACTCCTGACCTCAGGTGATACCCGCCTTGGCCTCCCAAAATATTGAAATTACAGGCATGAGCCACTGTGCCCAGCCAACTGTTTCTTATATACCAGCAATGAACTAGTGGAATTTGGAATTAAAAACACAATACTCTTTACATAACATTCCCAAAATAAAGTAGGTATAAATCTAGGAAATATATACAAGATCTATATGAGGAAAATGACAACAATAAAAAAAAATGATGAAGATACCAAAGAAAAAATAGAGAAATATTCCTGGATGAGAAGACTCAATTCTAACAAGTTATTACACTTTGTAGATATAAACTGATATTAATGTTTACAGGAAGACATATATTTGTAGTACGTACTGCCTTAGAATATTGTACAATTTTCTTTTCTGTCTTGCTCTGTCTTCGAGACTGAAGGGCAGCGATCAAAGTTAACTATAATCTCCAACTCCTGGGCTCAAACAATGTGCCCACTTCAGCCTACTGAATATCTAGGAGAGAGGTGTGCACCCCTACACCTGGCTAATTTTTGTACTTTTTGCTATGTCGCCCAGTCTGGTCTTGAACTTTTGGCCTCAAAGAATTCTCTCATCCTAGCCCCCAAAGTGCTGAGACTACAGAAATGAACCACTGCATCTAGCTAAAAAAATTTTTTTCAAAACTTTTTGTAAAGACAGAGTCTTGCTATGTTACCCAAGCTGGTCTCATACTCCTGGCCTCAAGGGATCCTCTGACCTCAGCCTCTCAAAGCACTGGGATTACAGGTGTGAGCCACTAAGCCTGGCAATTCTTCTGTGTCTCAATCTCTGTTCACATAGAGCTCTCCAGAATAGATTTTTGTGAGCTATTTTAATTTCTCTAATAATGATTATTTCACCTTTGCCATTTCTTATGTTGTAGACACATGCAACTTCTTTTTCTTGAAGCAATTTTTGAAATGTTCTGTCTGCTTTTATTCACTGAGGGAAGAACATTAAGGCATACTTTCTAAAAGTTTCTTCATTATTAATTTCTGAAAGTCTATTTCATTTTTTTTTTTTTTTTTTTTTTTTTTGAGACAGAGTCTCGCTCTGTCGCCCAGGCTGGAGTGCAGTGGCGGGATCTCGGCTCACTGCAAGCTCCGCCTCCCGGGTTCACGCCATTCTCCTGCCTCAGCCTCCCAAGTAGCTGGGACTACAGGCGCCCGCCACTACGCCCGGCTAATTTTTTGTATTTTTAGTAGAGACGGGGTTTCACCGTTTTAGCCGGGATGGTCTCGATCTCCTGACCTCGTGATCCGCCCGCCTCGGCCTCCCAAAGTGCTGGGATTACAGGCGTGAGCCACCGCGCCCGGCCAAGTCTATTTCATTTATATCCCATTCCAAGTATTTTCTTATAATATCTTTATGTTCAGTTATACTTAAATTCATAGAATAAGACTATGTCTAACATAATATTCTTTTACATAAAAACTGGATCTGGCTTACCTCTGACAGAATTTTTGTGTCTGTCTATATGAATAAAATCTGTTTTTTTTGTACCAAAATTTAATACCAAAACTTTTGGTGCTAAAACTAATTCTAGTTTAGAATTAGTTTGGTGCTAAAACTAATTCTAAATTATGATTTACTTTAAGAAATAATGAAGGCTGGGAATGGTGGTTATTAATCCTGTAATCCCAGCACTTTGGGAGGCTGAGGTGGGCGGGCGGATCTATTTGAGGTTAGGAGTAGATCCTAACCAACGTCTGACCAACATGGCAAAACCCTGTATCTACAAAAATACAAAACTTAGCCGGGGATGGTGGCACATGCCTGTAATCCCATGTGCCTGCAATCCCAGCTGTTCTGGAGGGTGAGGCAGGAGAACTGCTTGAATATGGGAGGAGGAGGTTGCAGTGAGCTAAGACTGCGCCACTGCCCTCCAACCTGGGTGACAGAGCAAGACTCCGTCAAAATAAACTAACAAACATACATTTCATTCATGTTTAAAATGGCTTAAATGAAGAATTATTCACAGTAACATTATTTCTAATTTTCACAATTATTAATTAAACTGGTCAAAGTAGATCACTGACATACCATACAGCTCTACTTGTACTAATAGTAACTTACAAAACATAAGTTAAAAAAAAAACAACAAAAAAACTTCAGAGTCAGAGTATGCTCACAGGCTACATATAATTTGAATAAAGGAAAACAAAAACAAATTATACAAATACATGTGTGAATTTACCTAAACAAAAGAGTTTTGTACAATACTCAAATAACTATTAACACAGGTGGCTTTGGTAATAAATATAGTTAGAGGCAGAGGGAAGAAGAATTCACAGACCCTTTTTCTTTTCATTTTGTACAAACACATTCAAAATTATGCAGCATTATAGTAACAAAATGAATGTTAAAATATCACTAGTTTCTAAATCTGAAAGACTAGTCAGAAAAGGTTTTCCTTTTAAAATTTTTATATTAAATTTTAATTTCTGGCTGGGTGCAGTGGCTCATGCCTGCAATCCCAGCATTTTGAGAAGCTGAGGTGGGTGGATCACCTGAGGTCAAGAGTTTGAGGCCAGCCTGGCAAATGCGGTGAAATCCCTTCTCTACTAAAAATACAAAAATCAGCTGGGCATGGTGGCAGGCATCTATAATGCCAGCTACTAGGGAGGCTGAGGCAGGGGAATCACTCGACCCCGGGAGGCAGAGGTTGCAGTGAGCTGAGATCGCACCAATGCACTCCAGCCTGGGCAACAACAGTGAAACTCTGTCTTAACAACAATAAAAAATTTAATTTCTATGAATAAGACTGGAGCAGCAACTTGCCCACTCAAGTTTTCTACTTCTGGGTAAAATTTCATCATTTATGTTCTGCTAGGAAAAAGCTTCTAGATTTTCAAACTTGTTATATTTTTATACAATAGTTCTAAAATATCTTCTATTAACACATCTGTAACCCTGTAGCAAATTTCTCCAACACTACTTTTAACATTTTTCATTTTTTTCATCTGTGAGAAATATCCATTTGATCTTTTCAAGGATTCAACTTCTGGATTCATTTAGGTAATTTCTAAATACAAAACTAAAATAAAGTAGGCTTAAGGAGATTTACTATGTTAAAAACATGTACAAATAACACCAAAAGAAGTAACAATAGATGATGAAATGCTCCAGTTATCTTATCAAAATGAACAAAAAATATCCAAGAAGAAAACTAACATAGATGTTACTGCATGTTGCATGCAAATAGCATTTGTAGATACTTATGTTATACATGTGTCTTTAAACATTTCACAACATGCATTATAGTAAAGGTCAAATAACATTCCATTGTGTATATATTTAGATACACCCTCCCCTGTTTTCTTCATCCATTCATCTTTCAATGGCCATGTAGTTTGTTTCTTGGCTACTGCAAATAATACTACAATTAGTATGAAGTGCAGACAGATGCTGATGTTGTTTCCTTTGGATATATACGAAGTGAATGGCTGGATTATATGGTAGCTCTATTTTTAATTTTTTAAGTAACCTTCATCTGTTTTCCATAATGGCTGTACCAATTTATATCCCCCACCAGGACTGTATGGTTTGTTCTCTTTTCTCCACATCCTCAGTATCACTTTTAACTTTTTGATTAACATCCACTGATGTAGTTAGGCTTTGTGCCCCCACCCAAATCTCATCTTCAATTGTAATCTCCACAAATACCCACGTGTCAAGGGAGACCAGGTGCATGGGGGTGGTTTCCTCCATGCTGTTCTTGTGATAGTGAGTTCTCACAAGATCTAATGATTTTATTGGGCTCTTCCGTCTCTGCTTGACAATTCTCCTGCCGCCTTGTGAAGAAGTGCCTTGCTTTCCCTCACCTTCTGCCATGATTCTAAGTTTCCAGAGGCCTTCCAGCCATGTAGTACTGTGAGTCAATTAAACCTCTTTCTAAATTTCCCAGTCTTGGGTATGTCTTTATCAGCAGTATGAAAACTGACTAATAAAGCCATCCTAAGATATGAGGTGATATTTCATGATGGATTTGATTTGAAATTCCCTGATTAGTTCTACTAAGCAGTGTGTCATATACCTGTTGACCATTACTATACTTTCTTTGGAAAAATGTCTATCCAGGTCCTTTTGCCCACTTTTACTTGTAGGTTACTTTTTGGTTACTAAGTAATATGAGTTTTGGAGATATTTGGGGTATTAACCCTTATTGGAATTTATGGTTGGCAAGTACCATCTCCCAAACTCCCAGGATGCTTTTAACTTTGTTGATTGCTTTCTTTGCTGTATACAAGCTTTTCAGTTTGATGCAATCCACCTATTTTTGCTTTTATTACCTATGTCTTTAGTGCCACATCCAGAAAAATCACTGCTAAGATCAATGTCATGCAGCTTTCCCTGCTCTTTTCTTCTATTATGGTTTTAAGTCTTATGTTTATAAGTCCTCAATTCATTTTGAGTTGCTTTTTGTGTATGATGTAAGATAAAAATCTAATTCCATTTTTATATATGTGGATGTCCAGTTTTCCCCAAAAAAGACTATCCTTTTCCACTGTATTTTCTTGGATCCTTTGTCAAATACCAGCTGACCCTATCTATGTGGGGTTTTCTTCCAGGCTTTGTATAAAGTACCATTGTTCTATGTATTTTTTTACATACCAGTCACTATCTTACCATTTTCATTACTGTCGCTTTGTAACGTACTCTGAAATTAGGAAGTGTAATGGCCCAGCCTTGTTTATCTTGTCCAAGATTCCTTTAGTTCTTCAGGGTGTCTTTTGATTCCACACAAATTTTACAATAGTTTTTTGTATTTCTGTGCAAATGCCATTGGAATTGTGAGACATCACTTAGTGTAGTATGCACATTATGATAAATACTGATTCTTCTAATCCATGAACGTGGAGAGACCTTGCTATTTATTTCTGTCATCTTCAGCTTCCTTCACGGATGTTTAACATATTTCAGGCTACAGATCTTTCCATTTCTTTTGGGGATGATTCATTATTAACACATACAAATACTATGATATCTGTATGTTAATTTTGTATCCTGAAGCTTTAATAAATTTGTTTTTTTCTTTTTGGTTCTAATAATTTTTCCTGGAGGTGTTAATTAGGTTTTTTTTTCATCTATATGATCATGACTTCTGCAAACCAAGACTTCTTTTCCTTTTTCTTCCCAATAAGTATTTCTCTATCTCTTCATCATAACTAACTGCTCTGGCTAGGACTTCTAGTACTATGTGGAACAGGAGTACTAAAAGTGAGCATCCTTGTCTTGCTCCTGATTTTAGTGAAAAAGCTTTCCATTATCCCCAATAGAGTATGATGTTAACTACAGATCTGTGATATATGGCCTTAATTATATTGAGATACATTCCTTATGTAATACATTGAGAATTTTTATCATGAGACAACATTGAGTTTTTGTCAAATGCTTTTAATCCAGCCACTGAGATAATCATATAATCATCTGTCTTTTATGTTTATGTAGTATATCACACTGATTAGTTTGCAATGTTTGCATGATCATTACATCCTATGGATAATTCCCTCTTGATCATAGTATGTTAGCCTTTCAATGTGTAACTGAATTTTATTTTTTAGTACTTTTATCTCGTTAGTATTTTTGCTGGTATTTTGTTAAGAACTTACACTGATTTTAGCAATTAATGTAATCATCATAACAACACAGTAAGGGTAAACCTTATGTTTATCCAAAAAGCTACAAAGCCTATTTAACTGGCTACTGAAAGATTAAGAAAAAGAAAAGCTCAGCAAATTTAAGAAAATGTAATTATCAGGTGACAGAAGATACTAAAAGTATATGAGAAAACGTAGTTGACAGTCTTTCATTCACGGGTTAAAAATTAGGAAAACCAAAAGAACCTACATATGTACTCACACAATACTACATTTTATATTTCAGCCTACTTATGGAAGACAAATGCTTGTAACAGAATTTTTTAAATGAGGAGGACATTCCTATATTAACAAGGTATCACTGAGATAAAGAATTCCACTGAATATGTCCACTAACATGAAGTTACCATATGAAAGCACACTACCCATTTTTCCACTTCTGAGAAGACTCTACTCAGTTTACATTTCATGTCCCCACTCTATTTTACTGACCACTACTACACAAACAGGTATAGTCTAATTTTTAAAGATTCAAATATAAAAATTCTGTAACTTCAGTGATTACTCACTGAATAATTTTTTATATTTGTATCTTTAAAAATTACACTGTCATTTAAAATTCATACATTTCTTTCCTTTGATACAAATTGAGATTATTTTAATATCTTCAACTGTACAAACAATACTAATAGGTAGAATGCATTTAAAATTAGTTCCTCCGTATCACGTGATATGTGTCCGCACCCAAATCTCACCTTGAATTGTAGTTCCCATAATCCCCATGTACCATGGGAGGGACCCAGTGGGAGATATTAATAATTTAATAATGGGGGCAGTTACCCTCATGCTATTCTCATGATACTGAGTTCTCACAAGATCTGGTGGTTTTATACAGGACTTTTTCCCCACTGCTCACCATTTCTCCTTCCTGTCACCATGTAAAAGAAGGATGTGTTTGTTTCTCCTTCCACCATGACTGTAAGTTTCTTGAGGCCTCCCCAGCCATGCTGAATTCTGAGTCAATTAAACCTCTTTCCTTCATAAATTACCTAGTTTTGCGGATGTCTTTATTAGCAGCATGAGAATAGACTAACACATCAGGCATGTTTAATGTTAGAATCAAACACAGTTTCAAGATATTTTACTGTCAAGTATAATTTTCACCAGCTCTTCTCATTTATTGGGGTCATAAAAAATTATCTAACTGGGGCCAAGCACAGTGGCTCACACCTGTAATCCCAGCACTTTGTGAGGCTGAAGCGTGAGGATCACTTTGTCCCTGGTGTTTTGAGATCAGCTTTAAAAACACAGCAAGACCCTATCTGTAATAAAAATTAAAATAAACTGGCTTGGAATGCTAGCAGTCCTAGTTACTCCAGGGGCTGAAGAGGGAGGATGGCTTGAGCCCAGGAGTTCAAGGCTGCAGTAAACTAAAATTGTCCCCTTAATGCACTCCAGCTTGGGCAACAAGGGACACCTGGTCTCTTAAAAAATAAAATAATAAAATTACTTTTCCTATATCAAAAGACTAAGAAAATGTTTTTAAAAGAGCAACAACATAATACATGAAAAAAAGACATACCCAAAACGTGGAATGGCAGGTTATGAATTTTTATTCATGACACTCATGTAAAAAGATGGGCAATTCTTAACCCATTTATGCCTAGTGTTCCACTATTGGAACGCTAAGCATGCGGGGGTTACTTATATCCTATTGCTTAAGGTCATCGCCAAGGTACGACTGCAAAAATTCAAAAAATTGCAACCTCCAGCATAAATGGATTTAAATGCATTTTGTAAAACAAAATCAATCCCTAGGTTATAATATCCCAACCTGAAGGTATATCAACTTTGATTCAATGAATCTCTAAGGCCACCGTGTGTACCTTGTGGAGCACAGGGAGAAGTGAAGTAGAGAAACAAACAGATAATTCTTAAAAACTTCCCATGAAGCTTGTCACAGATGAGTTAAAGAACCAGCCAGTTAAATGTTCTATATCTTACTACATCTCATAGTAATATGAAAAATGGAAAATACCAGCATCTTTCCTGTCTTGGATAAAATTCTGCATCAAATCTACTTCTCTACATCACTATTTTCTACTTGTACTAGAAACATAAGGGTAGACCTAAAAAATTACATATGTGTGTAATAAGCTTCCCCCACCATGAAATTCTGTTTGTTTTTTTCTCCTTAAGACAGGGTCTCACTCTGCCGCAGAAGCTGGAGTGCAGTATCACACCACACTGCAGCCTCTGACTCTTCAAGCAGACTTTCAGTCTCAGCTCTGAAAGTAGCTGCAACTACAGGCACATGCCACTACACTTGGCTAACTACTAATTGTAGAGACCAGTCTCACTATGCCCAGGCTGGTCTCAAACTCCTGGGCTAAAGAGGTATTCCTGCATCAGCCTCTCAAAATGCTGCAATTAAGACATGAGCCACCATGCCCAACATGGTTATTAAATCTCTCTTTATTTCACAATTTAAATTCAAAATGTTCAGCTACTCATAATATGAAAAAATGCTACCCATTTTTTTAAGTCTACCAACTCCACCACAAACTGTAAATCTGTATGTTACAGTTTAAATATTATAATAAAATCTGCTATACAAAGCAAAATATTTTTTTAAAAAGCTGAAATAACTTTAAAAACAAACAGCCTTGAACTAATGGTAACTATCATTTGAAATGGTATGATGCTTAAAAGATACCTCAGTCTTAAAGAAAAACAGAAAACTTCAATAACAGTGACTTATTACAATCATTCATGAAAATTTTAAAAGAAAAGTAGACATTACATGCAGGGTTACATGAAAGCTTCTAAATAAAGGTATAGAGGCAAATTACATTAAGTCAAAGCACTGCATACATAGCAAGTATTGTATTTAGGAAATAAAATACACAGTTTAAGGTAGTTACACAAACTGCTATATATATATATATTAAGTACAAATCTCAAATGCCTTCATTTGTCTTTAACAATTTGTTCACTAAAAATTTCAAACACATTTAATGAGGAGTAGAATACAAAATACATGCAAGAGTATAATACCCACAACTCAAATCGTCTAATATATTTATTTCATTTAAAGCCTGATATTTTCAAGTACATTTCATTTCATCTAAAGCATAGGTGACTGTTTCATTCTTGTTCTTAAGTTAAAACACTTACCTGGGTTTCATACAAATGGGCAATATGAAATTGAACTGCAATGGATCATGGGAAAAGATCAGTTACAATACAGTCTAATGTAATAAAGTAACAAAAAGTAGGGATAATATAAAATGTCAGACATACGCAAATGCTAAAACTATGGAACATACATTTGACTACGGGTGCAACTTCTGTTTTAAACAGAATGCAAAATTAACAAACAAAATGCAATTAAACCTAACAAAGATCATGCCAAGAAAAACAATCAATATAAAAGATTAAGTAATATTGTAACAAATTTATTAATAACTCTAATAATCATTAAAATCTGCAATAGGTAAGTATATGTCATAAAAAGTTCTTAATCAGAGTATTAAGGAAACACAAGCATTTAAGTTTACATATCTTGACAAATGGTATTCAAAATTTTACGTTAAAAACATAATATTTACTCTGTAATCAAGGAATGTTTTTCAGTGTGTATGCTTTTTCTTTATAGTCAATCTTTTATTAACAACTTTTTTTAAGTTATAGATCAAATACTAGTAACAATTTGATGTTTCATTCTTCAGAAATAGATCACTGTGGTCAAGAACAAACACAAATGGTCAAACTACCTGAAGAGCAAGACTTCAAAATAATTTATTTGAAGATTCAAATAAGGCAGAATATTTGGCTTCTTTTTGCAGCCCTTCTTGATGCCCAATTCCCCATCATCAGAGCACACAACAAAATCACAACGGATAATTACAAGTCCAACTATTTGTATTTTATAGTTTTTATTCATCCATGATAAACACCTTTTCTTGTTTTGTTTTAGGATATATTTTTTAAAACTTTCAAAATTATAAACAGAATACTTATATTTTTAAAGAAAAGTCCCATAGCAATCATGAAATTCTGACATCCCTTTGTCTCTCCTCCCTTCCGAATCTTCCCTCCTTGCTTCTCCTCACTCATTTCTCTCAATGTCCTAAACATAAATTATACCTGGGAGGGTTGATACAATTACCAAATCCTAGCTAAACTCTTTCAGATTTTGGTTTAGTGAACCTCTGTAAATGTCTGGAAAGCAGCCCCTTTAATATGCTCCACAGCTTTCCAGTAAGTTCCCCCATATCTAACATTGGAGAATAATGCATTAGATAACCATAAATTCCTTTCCATAAGAGAAAAATTACTCCAAAATTTTGTAATTAACTAAAATCAAACAAACTTTCTGAAACTAAGTTATTGCTTTATAAAAATAGACAAATAGAAAAAGTTAAGTAATGAGCCATAAAGTAAAAGAAAAATCTTTTTGTGTGATTTCAAGATAATAACCTCTCCCTCAAAAAAACAAAAGCAACAAAAGAAAAAAGTCATATATATGTACACACACCCACAGGTTGAGAGGTTTTCTTCATCTTCCCTCCCCTTTTCAAACAGAGTTTTCCTTACCACATAACATCTAGTGAATCAAAATCTCACATCTCTGAATTGCTGGAAAGAAACTGGATGACAGATTAAGAAGGAAAAAGTACCAGTGCAGTGGCTTGTGACTGTAGTCCTAGTGCTTTGGGAGGCCCTGAGCCTAGGAGTTCAAGAACAGCCTGAACAACATGGCAAAACCCCATCTCCACAAAAAATACAAAAAATAAAAATAAAAATATTAGCCAGGCATTGCATGCGCCTTAAAGTTCCAGCTACTTGGGAGGCTAAAATAGGAGGATCACTTGAGCCTGGGAGATAAAGGCTTCAGTGAGCCATGGTTGCACCAAATGCACTCAGCCTGGTGAACAAAGTGAGACCCTGTCTCAAAAGATAAAACAAAATTAAAACACACACACACACACACACACACACACACACAGCAAAGAGAAAACCAAAAACTATGTCCCATATCCCCCATATCTGTACCCACCAAATACAGATAATAGAAAAGATTAGTGCTAACTGGCATCCTAATACTATCTGAACTTAAAATGCAAATTTAGGCTGGAGTCCCAGGCTCTGACCTCACCATCCCATAAAATACAACATCATCTTTTGTGGGATAAAAATCTCTACCTTTCATCCTTCTGTTTTTTTTTTTTTTTTTTTTTTTTTAAGACAGTGTCTTGCTTTGTCACCCTGGCATGTAGTGGCACAAACTCGCCTCACTGCAATGTCCGCCTCCCGGGTTCAGGCAATTCTCCTGCCTCAGCCTCCTGAGTAGCTGGGATTTCAATCAAGTGTGCACCACTGCACCTGACTAATTTTTGTATTTTTAGTAGAGATGGGGTTTTCACCATGTTGGCCAGGCTGGTCTCAAACTACTGACCTTAGGTGATCAACCCACCTCGGCCTCCCAAAGTGTTGGGATTACAGGTGTGAGCCACTGCTCCCAGCCCATGTTTCATTCTTATCTATACATTAAAAGGGAGTGTAATTATATAACTAGGTATACTCAGTATGGCAATATTCAATTATAGACTCAAATAGGTAAAAAATTGACATAAAAGGTCTTTAATATTCTAACATTTTTATCACAAAGGAAAATCACATAATTTAAAGTTTCATATTCTTTTTAAACATGTTTTTTTCCCAAAATATTAACTGTAGTCATTCATCTGAAAGAGTTCAAAAAACAGTATTTATTTTTTAAACTACACATTTTTAACTTATTCAGGTTTTGTTTAAAATTGGCTTTGAAAACTTTTGATTTTTGCAACATCACCAAGTACACAAAAAAGTTTCAAAAAATAGTCAAGCTTACGGTATGTGCAAATCCTAAAATATTAAAAGGTGAAGTAATTCATTAATATGAAAACATAGACACCATAAAGGGAGAAAAACTACTAAAGTAGGTAATCACTATTTGTTAGTGCTCTGTGACATACCAATCATTTCTACAGTTATCAAATAATAATACTGACTGTCTTTGAGCAAGAAAAATAGTACCCAAATCAACTCAACTCCAGTGATTTAAACTCTCTGAATCAGGCACATGCCTTCTCACTTCTCTTCTCAAGAATGAACAGAAACAAAGGTATCAGTAGAAAAAAAGGTATCATTAATATTCTTTACTCAAAAGTATTTCATTTAAAAATACTTACTTTCAGCATTGGACAAAGTACATGGATTACAGTCAATCAAGGCTAACTGAAAATGCTGCAAGAGAAAAGTAAAAATATTAATGCACTAAATTAAGAGTGCATAAAAGTACATTTTCTATTTTAGCCTTTCAATGTCTATCATAAAATAACAAAGCTATGCTATACACCAATGCACTACACTCGACCAAATAAAATTACTGTAATTCCAAATTTATTTTGAAAATGTAAGTGCTAATCAAGTTATTTCCCTGAGATAGTTAAGAATGGAGGCTGTATGGAAGAATTTACTATATTTATATTTTTGTTTTATTAAAAAACTTCAGATATTTGAGTCTTCCAGTAAACAAAATATTAAGGTATAAAATTAGACATGCACTTCATTATTTTAAAATCTGGAAAATACAATTATATTTTCAGAACATTATAGCTTATCTTGAGACTTGAACTTTAGAAAGTAACTTAGATAATATGAGAATTAACATAAAGAATAAAACATACCTGGTTTTAATGGTTCTTCAATGTCACTGTACTTCAGAACATTTAAAACCTGTATGTACAACCTACTTATACACATCAAGTAACCTATTTTCAAATTCACATGTGAAATGTAGTTGTTCTTTGCTGATAAATTTTTTTTTCATTTATTGACAAAAGAAGAAATTGGACCTCAAGCACTGAAAGCGGTGCTTTTAAACATATTTAAAACAGGGTGCTAAACATTTTAAATGTATGTAAATTGTGTGTATAAAATATATAATCATTCATGAAATATTAAAACACTTATATTTCTACTCTAAATATATCATATAAGCCTATGCAGAATGCAAACCAACTTCTAATTCACTGTCTACCGATAGAATAACTGTTAAAATCATACAGTAACATTTGATGTTTATCGTCTATGAACTACTTAACTAAAGATAATAGGTCCTAAAACTCTTTTAAATAAAAAATGCATACATCTCTTTCAAACATTCTACAAACTATTCCCATAAATATTCAATTTTCAGAGCCTCCACTACCTTTCAAAAATAATCAACCATGATACCAACAAAGAACAAGTTACTTTAAAAGTAAACTACAAAAAGATCATCATCTACAATGAAAGTATTAAAACTGTACTAAAAATACTAATATTTAATGTTTAAAATGACACTATACATAGAACATAAGTTCTTTGTAAAAATAAATTATATTCAACAACCTTTAAAAACTAAGTTTCAGGGGAAAAATCAATGTGGGAATCACTGAGAACCTAAATATGCCGAGTCAGGTTGAGAACTGCCAATTAACAAAGAACAAAATTAATGTTTGCTACATGATACTACAATCAAAGAATGATCACAAATAGCATCATGAGAGTGAACACTTTAGCTAGTAGACATAGGCTTGGCATCTGTGTTATAATATTTAAGTTGGGCTTTTCAGCAAATGGTGTTTGAAAAACTAAGTATCTGTATGAAAGTAAAGTTGGGCCTGTTACGTCATATGCAAAAGTTAGCTTAAAATGGATCAGAGACGTAAACTTAAGGGCTAAAACTATTAAAGTCTTAGAACAATAAGCAGGAAAAACCTTTAAGACATTGAATTTGGCAGTGATTTCTTGGACATGACGCCAGACGACACAGGTAACAAAAAAACAGATTTACTTAGCTTCACCAAAATTAAAAACTTTTGTACATGAATGAACCACAATCAAGATACTGCAAAGAAAAAAAACTTGTAAATTATAAACTTAACAAGGACTTAAAATATAGAATATAAAATATGTTACAAAAAGACCCAAAAATTTAAAATAGGCAAAGGACTTGAACAGTCATCTCCAATAATATGAATGGCCAATAAATACATGAAAAGATGCTCAAAATTATTAGCTATTAAGAGAAATACAACTCAAAACCACAATGTGGTATCACTTCACTCCCATTAGGACAGGTACTATGAAGCAAACAAACACAAATGAAAAAGATTTTTTTCTTTTTCTTTTTTTTCATTTATTGGCAAAGTGGTGAAGAAATTGGACCTCGAGCACTGAAAACAGGGACTCAATCTCTGTGTACACCAATGTTCAAGGTAGCATTACTACAGGAGCCAAAATGGAATAACACAAATGTTCACCACAGATTAAAGGATTAAGAAAATGTGGTTTAACTACAGAATAGAATATTATTCAGCCATATTCATCCCAAAGGAATGGGAAGCTTCTGCCAGGGAGTTTGAGGCTGCAGTGAGCTCAGATCACACCACTGTTCTCCAGCTTTGGTGACAGAGTGAGACCCTGTCTCAAAAAAATACAGAAAATAAAAAGGAATTCTGAAACACGTCACAACATTGATGAATACCTGAAATATGCCAAGTGAAATAAGCCAGATAAAGAACGACAAATATTGTACAAGTCCATTTATATAAGATATGCAGACTTCTACTGAGAGCCAGAAAGTAGAATAAAGGAACTCCCGGGTACTTGCAGGAAAAGAGAATGGCAAAGTATTGATTTATGGGTAAAAAATTTTTGTATGGGATAATGTAAAGTTCTGAAAACAAAGAGTGGTAATGGTTAAACTGCATTGTAATTAATGCCACTGAAATGTATACTAAAATGGCTACTTTATGTATATCTTCCCATAATAGCAACCAAATGAAGACAAAACCTAAAAATATCAAGGCTTCATTTAACTTATGAAGTTACTATTTAACTTCGTTTACTGCTTGAAACACATTCTGAAATTGGTAAATTACTCATAATACAAAAAGGCTTTTAATTATAAATACTTCATCAATCACTAATGAGAGACAATAACGCATGAAGGGGTTTAGAATATGTCACCCCAAAATAGGCGATTCTGACATAAAGATTATTTTGAGCCACAGGCAAATAAGAAACAGGTACAACAGAACTCCCTATCCTCCTTTCTACTTGAAAGGACAGGGTGATTCTTAATTTCTGAAGACAACTCTATATTCTTACAAGCCTAAAGGCAGCACAGAATTAATCTATATAACTTCTGCCAAATATTTACCTTTCCACAATTTGCTTCCCATGGCAACTTCAAGTCCTTCCCTTTGTCTTGTCATTTCTCTATAAATTTACTGTTCCTTTGGTTACATCTCACGGCAGCCCATATTGTACACTCCTGAGTTACTCACAGAAAGAAAATAAAACTTCAGGACCCTCTAAATTTATCATGCCAAGGGGGAAGTTAAACCCTAGAAACTGAATCACACAGAATGTGTGCAATTCTCTTTCTTACAGTTTCTTAGATAATAGCTCCTGCTCATTGATCTTGTTCAGTAAATAACTAGGAGACACCAGACATTCCCCATTCCAATCACTGATCTTTGGGATTAATTGTCCTTTTATTGGCCTAATTCAGACTGGATGGTGCCGAAGACCCCATGACAGTTACATCTTTAGTGTGAAATGTTGAGTATACCTTTCCTGAAACAAAAAGACTACCTCAACAAATCAGATTTTTGTTAACTCTGCAATAAGCCTTATATAGAAAGCTTTGTCTGTATAAGTGACTCCAAACTTCTACACTTTGGAAAACTAACTTCCTTTCTATGGAATCTGTGTTTGCAGGGACCTTAGCTTTGCAGTTGAATAAACTCTTCTTAAACATTATACTGACCTTTTTGAATACTTAGGTTGACATTCATCGCAAAGTTCTCCAGTGTATAATGTGTAATGCACACATTAATAAATTTGTTTATTTTTCTCTTGTTAGTTTTTCTGTCAGTCTAATATGCGGGGACCCAACTAACGAACCTAAAAATAAATGAAGGCTAAAGTTTTTCTTTTCATATAAGATCAAAACAATTGCAGACACTGGAAATAAAAAGCTAAAAAAAAAAAAACTGGACTGTATCAATGTCAATTTCCTAGATGTTAACCTTTGAGAAAAACTGATGGGTATAGGATCTTTGTTTGTATTACCTTTTATAATGATACATACATACTTTTGAAATAAAAAATAATAAAAGAAAACTGGGAAATAAAAAGCTTATTTCCTGAGGAAAAACCCAACATTTGAACACTGTGAACATTGCTTTTATTTTCCCTTAGTGCTATAGTTTGAATATTCCATTCAAAATTCATGTTGAAATTTAATTGGCACTGTGACATTAAGAGTAGAGATCTTTAAGAGGTGATTAGATCATAAGGGCTCTCTCTCATGAACAGATTAATGCTGTCATCAGAAGAGTGGGTTCCTTAGAAAAAGGGTGAGTTTCACCTGGTATCTTTCTATCTTGCTTGTAATGTGACGCCTTCCACCATGTTCTGACACAGCAAGAAGGCTCTCTTCAGACATGGTCCCAAGATCTAGGACTTCCTGGCCTCTAGAACTTCATGTCAAATAAATCTCTTTATAAATTACCCAGTCTCTAGTACTCTATTGCAGGGGCAGAAATGAACTAAGATATTTGGTTTGCAAACCGGAGTATGCTAACAGAGCAAGACAATACAGACTATTTTTTAAGTATATGAAGTATTGGAAGTACAGCATACTTACTCTCCTCAACACAAAAAGGGAAGCATAATAGCCACACTTCAGACTATACTATATTTTTAAGTAAAATCTGTCTTGAAACCATATTATTAAATATATGAGAACACAGGCCTTTCCTAAACAAGTCACTACAGGATAGAAACTGGCCTGAAAAGAAAATAACTTGACCAGGTGCAGTGGCTCACTCCTGTAATCCCAGCACTTTGGGAGGCCAAGGTGGGTGGATCACCTGAGGTCAGGAGTTCAGGACCAGCCTGACCAATATGGTGAAGCCCCGTCTCTACTAAAAATACAAAAATTAGCTGGGCATAGTGGCAGGCGCCTGTAGTCCCAGCTACTCGGGAGGCTGAGACAAGAGAATTGTTTGAACCCAGGAGGCAAGGGTTGCAGTGAGCTAACGCCACTGCACTCCAGCCAGGGTGACAAAACCAAGACTCCGTCTCAAAAAAAAAGGAAAAATAAAATAACTTGCAAGATTACAGCACTTCAGTACTATTTTAGTAAAACCTAAAGAAAAAAGAGAGGTATATAATTCAAATTACTCAGCCTACATTTAATTTGTCAGCATTCAAGATCTGCCAGGAGCAGTAAAAAACTTGGATGCTACGGTAAAATTACTGCTTTACTATTCCACACCCCCAAACAGCATAAAATGCCAAACATTTTTAAACAGCAAACATTTTGAAAATACATATTTCAAAACATGCATGAGAAAAGACTTTTAAAACTGATTACATATTTATAAAAAATAAAAGTTATGCACAACACCTCACATTACAGAAAGCTAAATTAAATACCACGAACCAAAAAAGTAAACATTAAGACAGTAAAGGAAATGAGACAAAATGATATAACCTCTCGTCTTCATTTTCAGTATCCAATCCTCAAACTAGAGTCACCCAATCCTCAAATTATGACTAAGCTTAAAAATGATCTTTCCAGAAACAAATTATCAATTAAACCATGTTTGTGAAGACATGAATACTCTATTGCTGCAAAATATAGTTCTGTATCTCTAGCTGTAGCAATTATCCCAAAAGAAATTCTGTATCTCTACCAAGATGCTCACAGTTAAGTCTCATCCAAATTTTGCTCTCATGAAGCCAAACTCCAGTCAAATTAAGATATTTCCCATTTCTTACAAGTGGAAGGGTCCCATACCCTGTCAGCCAAGGTAATCTAAACCACCTGTAATACTTCCTCTACTCCCTCATTGGTTTGTTGTCTGCCTCAGCAAACATCACCTCATCCTCTAAAAAGAATCTCAGGCTAGGATTCAAACCTGCATTACGAAGCCTTTTCTGGATTTCCCCAGGCAATAATTTCTGTTGCCTCGATAGCAGTTTGATCAAAATGTTTTTGTACTGGATATAAAGAAATATTAGAAATAACTCAATAAAATATGATACTAATTTTAAAATCAATTTTAATATAACCATTCTCTATTAAAACCAAATAAAAATATGTGTACTATTACAGCATTTTTTCCTTCACATTCTAGGAAAGCAATGTATCATATATGCATCTGCTGAATGTAACCTATGCTAATTAAAGAAGCATTTCTCAAGCCCAGCTACAATGCATCTAAATACAAAACATGGGCACTAAAAATGAAGTTATCAAGTAGTTATTTCAGACAATTCAGAATACAGTAGCCCATGTCCTCAAACTTGAGGAATACATTCCAAGACCTCTAATGGATGCCAGTAATCTTGGATAGTACTGAACCCTACAGATACAATGTTTTTTTCATTCTGGTAACCGAGACAGCTACTAAGTGACTAATGGGCAAGCTAATATATACAGCCTGGATATGATGGACAAAAGGATGATTTCATCATGCTATTCAGAAGAGTGCACAATTTAAAACTTTTTTTTTTTTTTGAGACAGAATCTCCTTCTGTCGCCAGACTGGAGTGCAGTGGTGGGATCTCAGCTCACTGGAACCGCCGAATCTCAGGTTCAAGGGATTCTCCTGCCTCAGCCTCCTGAGTAGCTGGGACTACAGGCACATGCCACCATGCCCAGCTAATTTTTGTATTTTCAGTAGAGATGGTGTTTCACTCTGTTGGCCAGAATGGTCTCAATCTCTTGACCTCGTGATCTGCCTGCCTCAGCCTCCCAAAGTGCTAGGATTACAGGCATGAGCCACTATGCCCAGTGACAATTTAAAACTTATGAATTGCTTGTTTCTGTTTATTTCTCTTTATTTTCCATTTAATATCTCTGGCCAAGGTTGCAGGTAATTGACCTCAGAAAACAACAATGTGGGTAAGGGGGGACTACTGTATACCTATATGCTTTACTAATCTTTAATAAATTCCTTGTAGAAAGCCAGGCACAATGGTACACACCTGTAGTCCCAACTGCTTGGGAGTCTGAGATGGAAGGATCACTTTGGGCCAGGAATTCCACGCGTTGTACTATGATTATGCCTGTGAATAGCCACTGCACTCAATCCTGGAAAACAGTGAGAGCCAGTCTCTTAAAGTATAATTTCCTTAAATAAAATATATTTCAAAATCTCTCATTCTTATTTATGATCAAAAAATGTTATTCATCAATGTAGACTTTGAGCTTGGTCAATACTGAGCAAATAAAGCCCTCAAATATCCTTTTCATTTGACAGGTAACTACATGCCTACTAAGGCCACGTATTATGCATATAACAATAAACAAACATAATCCCTCCACGAAAAAGCTCCAGCCAGAGAGAAATATTAAAGTAAATAATTATGCTCATCTAATCCATTCAGCAATGGCAAGAATTTCACATGAAAGTACAAGATGTCCAGCACAGATCTAACCACCTACAAATGGATGCCTCCTTGAGAAAATGTTATTAAGGTAGGACCTGCATGGATAAGTAAAAGTTACCATGAAAGAGTTCTAAAAAATGCATTGCAGAATAACAAGCATCTGTTAAGGGCCCAAAAAAACATGAAGGAGATAATATGAAATTGTATTGTCTTTTTCTATTCTGAACATAATCATAATAATGATAGAAAAGTATTGAGGTGTTTAGGATGAAAAGTGGCAATCTGAGTTCCATTTAAAAATAATCTTTCTTTTTTAACAGACATCACTGCTGCTCCTCAAATTTTTAGTTATCTTTCCAGACACATAAAAAGATTAACTCAGATCCCTTGAGTGTCAAGTGTGACTTGGTGAGCTAATAAATCAATTTTCTTAAAGGGAAAAAGATTAAACAGACATTTATCAAAAGAAGACATACAAGCAACAAACAGGTATATGAAAAAAAGTTCAACATCAATCACTGGGAAAAGCAAATGAAAATTACAGTGAGATATCACCCCATACATTTATTATCAAAAAGACAAAGTATCATGTTGATCCGGCTATAGAGAAAGGGAACCCTTAACAATACCAGTGGGAATGTAAATTGGTACAGTCATATGGAAAAAAGTGGCAGAATCTCCTCAAAACTCAAAATAAACTACAATATGATCCAGCAATTCAGCTACTGGGTATTTATCCTAAGTAAATGAAATCAGTAGCTAAAGGACATCTGTCAAGTTTATTGCAGTATTATTCACAATAGCCAAGATATGAGATCAACCTAAGTGTTCATCAATGATTGAATAAGGTAAGAAAATCCGATATATATGTGTACATATGTGTGTGTGTGTATATACATGTATATAATAAACATACTGTTCATCCATTTAAAAAAAAGAAAGTATCAGTAAGTTATTTCTTCTTTCAAATGCATGTAGTTACAATCCTGATGAGGGAAAAAAAAATGGTACTGTGTATATCATTTCGCTTAAAGCTGAAGTTTCCAAGAAACTATTTGATGATGTTAAATGAGATCTTAAACTGTACCGTCATTTACGGCCACACAGATGAACCTGGAGGACAGACATTAAGACAAATACTGCATGATCTCACTTATTTTAGAACATTGTTAAAAAACTTGATCTCATAGAAATATAGAGTAGAACAGTGGTCATCAGAGGCCAGCAAAGATTGGATGGACAGAATGAAGGAGAGAAATTAATCAAGGGGTACAAAATGACAGGTAGGTAAGAGGAATAATTTCTAGTTTTCTATATAGCATAGCAAGCAGACTACAATAAGCAATATTATATAGTGTGTATCTCAAAATAACTAGAAAAAAGATTCCAAATGTTCTTACCACAAAGAAATGTCTGAGGTGATGAATATGCTAAAACTATGATGTGATCGCTACCCAATGTACGTACACATGTGTCAGCAGCATCACACTGTATCCCATAACTATGTCCAATTATTACGTGTCAATTAAAAATAAAATTTAAAAAATAATTTTAATATTAAAAAAATTCTGTTAAATATGACACTCTTTATTTGTATGCAAGGCAGCTTAGTCATCCCAAAATGATCTGAGGAATAAGGCCTGAGTTGTTTGTTATATGCATTTATGATCTCTTACCACAGCAAATTTTAAGAGTTTAAAAAGTCCTCATTAATAACTCTATTTCATGACTTAATAATGTCAATCACAATCGTGTTCGATGAATTTTAATCCAGATTCTGCCCTTAAATAAACCTATTTTATATTAGCTTGCAGATAGGGACTGCTGGTCTGTGTGTCTTTATATAATTAAAAGCAATTTCAAAGACCACTTGATCTCTGATCTACATGTGTCTGCTGTCACATTTATCCATTCGATATTTGTTAAGAACCTATATGATAAGTCTTAATTTTTTAAGCTTATTTTTGTTATGTGATGCCCAGTACTTAGACAGTATCCTAAATATTGAAGAGCCAAGTAAAATTTTGTCAGATAATGTCATATACCTTATTTACTCACTATGTCTTAGAAGGTGGATATAGTTATTCTATGCCCACAGGTATCATAAGAACCAATTAGGCACCCCTAGGTAAGGTTACACATTTATTTAAAAGGCAAAATAAAATCAATTTATGTTTTTAAAAAATGCTTCAAGAGTAATAAAACATGACCTTTTTTTTTTGTCCTAGTTTTGAACATAGGAATGATGCCATAAATCTCATCTTCTTTACCCCTTTCACATCTGCCTCTTAAATCAGCATTTATTATTTTCCACTAGCAAATTTTAAGGGGACAATAAATACCTCAGTATGCTCACCAATTATCCTCATTTTCAAACACAAAGGATTTTAAAAATCCAAAAGCTTCTAATGTTGATGTGTGTTCAAATAAATCAGCATATGTAGACATAAGCAAATATTTAGTAAATTTCTATACAATCTTTTTTCCGGCTTTATTGAAGTATGTTTATGTATATATATATCCCTCAATAAACTCATAATACCTCAAAATACTGTATATTTATATATATATAACTTATATATAAAATTATATATAAAAATTTGTATATATACAAATTTTACATATAAGATATATATATATAAAATACTGTGATGTAAACATATATATATATTGTGACATGTCTACAATAATTAAGCTAGTTAACATATCACCTCACATTTATTTCCTGTATGTCCTCCACATGTAAGAAGTGGTAAGGGTGGGGGATATTGTGAGAATGCTTAAGATCTACTCTCTTTATGCAATCTTCATTAAATCAAGTAGTTGTACTGGTGTTAGCTACTGAAGAATATTGTGTTTCCCATATACATTTGTATATACTATTCCTACCTTCAAGAAACAGTTTTAACAGTTTACCAGTTTATGTAAGTTGCTAGGCATTATATAAAACTATCTGTCAAAATTAACCTTTTTTTCAAGTAATGATAATCCACTGCTGCAAATATATACAAAGTATAACAAAATATCAGTAATATCACCTATAGTGAGAGATAATAAAGTAAAATCTTAAAGGTTATCTGAAGAAGGAAAAAACAAAATGTGAAGTAGAAAAGTCGCTCTAAAATGGAATAATTCATATATACTTTTAATCTAGTTAATCAATTGACAACTGCTATTTCTACCATGTATTAAACACATGGAAATTTGATTAATTTCACTTTTTAAAGGATGGATTAAATTCTGTGACAGAAAAACAGAATTCACAAATACTAGATAATGGCCCCAGATTAGAGAAATTTTAGATGGCAGATGAGAAACAGAACTTAAAAGGGCTGATGAGCCAAGTAAAATTTTATTTGTCAGGTACTTCCATTTCCTTTACTTAGTCACTATGTCCTAGATGTGGGTATAATTATTCTATGTCCCCAGATTATATTAAGAATCAAATAGGCACTTTAGCCAAGGTTACACATTTAATTAGAAGTGTTAACATCAAATTTTAAAATCAAATCTGCTACTTCAATGCCAGTTTACACTATATTAAAGCTGAATTAAACTGTTTCAGTGACATTTGGCCATTTTCAGGAACAATTAATGAACTATAAAGCCCTGGAATGTATGCCATGTATAAACAAAAGAGAGACAGATCTACTGCGAAAACTACCTGTATTTTATTTAAATAATTTACCATTTAGAAATATCATATATACTCTTTCATGGAACTAAGGGAAGAAAATGAAGTAGAGAACTCATGAACTGTAATGAACTTAAATTCTGTTCTCCATCACAATATATCCATTCTGTAACCCTCTTGGAGAACTAAACCTTACTCAAGAATGAGACTGTGAATAATATTAGCCCTCTGATAGGAAATAACTTAATGAGCACATAGTGTATTTCTGGCAAATGATAGGCAAGGCAAACTTTGGAGGCTTTTCACAAAGTTACTACTCATTTTTGAAGACAGCAATGGAAATTTTGCCCTTTTCCATACTCTAAATCAAGATAAGAATGATAAATCATATATTTATTGAGCAGTTAGTTATTACCAATATTACTAAGCATCTAAGTCATTACTCTATAATGTCCCTATGAAAATATGAAAAAAAAAAGTCATTTTAATTACACCTGGTAAGTATCTTCTACTAAACATGGAAAAATCCAACAGAGAACAAAAGTGAATATGGATCTTTGATGAGATATCTGTGTATCTGAATCAACTAACCTTGAAGCCTGGACTTCCTATTATGAGTTAGTAATTTTTGAGTTGGAATTTATAAAAGTAAAGCCCAAAGTGTCTCTCTGAGTACACTTTGCCAGGAAAACACCTTGCTATTATACAAATATCATGATAGATTCCATCTTTAGCTATATAAATTACTAACCAACTAAAGAAAACTGGAAACTTTGAAAAGGGAGATATTCATTCTAACTCACACCTTTAATCATTTTAAATGCCAAGTACTTACAGCAATATACAGAAATATCTCTTCCTCAGTTAAACTATCGATGCCTATAACAATCTCAAAAATAGACAAGAAGTATTTTGATTATGAGGGAAAACTTAAGAAATAAAATTTCAGGATGAGATAAAAATCAAGTAAGATATTCACACTAAGAGAAGATTAATGTTGAAAACATCCCAAAACTTTTTAATGCTATACAAATGAAATAAACATCAAAAACTTGCTGAGTGTTTAAAAAAAATGAAAGATGGGCAAAAAAAAAGAAAACAGCATATATCTAAGACATTTTTTGCTAAAACCAACCTTACTCGAAGGGTTTGCTACCCTTTACATATGACTAAGCAAAGAAAAGCACATATAGGAATGAGTTATCTGTTAATATGGTCTGAGAAAATTTTACCATATTTATTTTCTGCTGTAAAACATCTTAGAGCCTTTTACAGACTTTATGTTTGTGTGTGTATACACATATAATGTGCAGAGAGGATTAAAATCTACAAAGTGGCATAGCTGTACTTATTTTCAATTTCAAATCCACAGGTATCTCAAATGGTAAGCAATTTGTAAATGTTACTCTGAATTTGAGAAAAACTGAAAATTTGAAAATTTCAGAAAGACTGAAAAATTCTATTCTATTTTTCCACATCAACTGCACTTAACCTTGGACTTAGGGACTCCTCAGCTCCACTTTTTTCTGAGTAGTGTGAAATCTAAGTTATTTATGTAGTTTACTTGCAATGATTTTAATGTTTTGGGTTGACTATGTTCCATCAGCATCATACTGTAAAAAACATAAATAGCACAAACAGTCTACATAATTGTAAACTTTAAAACAATTAAGGCATAATTGAGTTAAGAACCACATGCAGTAAGGCATTAATTCAGCAAGTCTGCGTTGGCCAGACAAGCACATTCAAAGAAAGGTATGAATCTTGACAAGCTCCTCACAGTAATCTCTGAAGTCCTTGGAATATCTAGTCTGACAAGAGTGTCTTTATTTATCTGGGGTTTTGGTTCATCCCAGATAGTTATGCTAACAATTGATTTATGGCAGAGGCCTGGGGCAATATGGTATCAGACCTCTCTCTGTAGGCACTGGAGACTAAGCTACTAAGGTAGCTTAGTAGGCAGGTCCTCCAGAGCTACAAGATCAAATCCGAGTAAAAACTCTGAAAAGCAACAGTCACTGAGTTCCTCTGGTGGACAATATTCTGTCTATGTTTTCCTAACTTGCTGCTGGGAAAATCAATTGCAGCTCACAGATGTACAACAAAAGAGGACAAATGAAATCTTGCAGCTGGTTCTCTCTCCTAGACTCTGCCCTTACATGTCTTTTCCTTTGATAATTTTAATGTGTATTCTTTCACTGTAATAAACTGTAACCATGTGTATAACTGTTATCTGGGTTAAGTCCCTCTAACAAATCACTGAACTTGAGGGAGGTTTGGGGAACCCCAAACAACACAGAGTTTTTAAAAAGCATTCCTTTAATATTTCTGTGTTAGTGAGTTCAAAGTAAATCCTATTGTTAAGTTACATAAATACCCTCCACCTGTAAAATTAAGATAATCTACAAAAGATCTGTATCTGGAAAAGGAGAAACATTCTTAATACGCATAAAATCACAAACCTTATTATTTTCTCCAGAAGCTATAATTCTTTCAAAAGACAATGCTTTTAACTTAAAGGGAAGACCTATTTTCATTAAAGTCTTGGAAAACAAAATAGCTTCACATAGCAAAAAAGTAAAAAAAATTTGAGAAATCAAATTTCCACAGAATTAAGATATTTAAACAATAATGTAATTTTTCCCAAAAATCTGCATATTACCCAAAAACTGCATATTTAGCAACTGGCAGTCCAAAAGCCTTAGAGTGAATATTATATTAAACAACTTTGCTATGACACATGTTTTGCTATAATAGGTGTAGATTTCTAATAAGACCTATACAAAGCAATAATCAATAGTTAAATCACTGGTATGACATCACTAACTGGCCTGTTCTCTCTCTCTTTGGTGGCAGACACACAAAATAATGTTGATGCTCAAAGGAAATCAAAACCTTCACCATCTCCTGATTATATAAAAACTTTTAAAATTAAACAAAACAAAAACTTTAAGGTGCCAAAATTATCTTGCAAGTCTTGGTGTTCATTTTATATCCTGAAACTCATTTCCAACCTTATTTTAACCCTTTAGGTCATATCCTCAATTTTCTAAGATTTTCATAGCACTAAATTCCAACGCTTCTCAGTGACATTAAAGTGTGCATGCGCACATGTGCATGCACGCACACACATATGAAATTGTGTATGTGGGAAAAATCTCAACCACCTACCTTTAAACTAGACTTGTAGTCTGTGTTCACTTTGAACATGAGCCCAAGTCGTAAATGAATTTCCTTGGCTCGACAAAAGCTGGGGTCAACATAAAGGACATCTTGAAATGCTTTAATTGCCCTGAAAAAAATAAAAACATAAGAAACTGTGATTTTTAATACTTACATATATCTCACTTGATAGTATAGGAAACATTCTGGTTATTTAATTTTATTGAAAGTACCAACTTTATAAAAAACAGTATGAATGAACGGAAAAGATTAGAAAGGGATAAGAAAGTGCATAATCCTTTTGTTCTCAATTCCGTCAACTATTCAAAAATATCTAAAGGTTCAAGAAAAAATTCAGTGGAAATTACTACAAATCTTTCTGAAACATTCAAGGAAGAACAGCAGGAAAATGTGAAAAGGTGAGAAAGTGAAGGTGTTAATTCTGCTTCTACTCAGCTTCATATAAGCCAACTTTTTAAAACTTTATTTCTGCCTTTCACTTTTGGTATACTCTTTTGTTGTAAATGACAAGGTCTCAATCTGTCACCCATGCTGGAGTGTAGCAGGACAATCACAGCTCACTGCAGCCTGGACCTCCTGGGTTCAAGCAATCCTCTTACTTCAGCCTTCTGAGTAGCTGGAACCACAGGTTCATGCCAATACTCCTAGCTAATTTTTTTCATTTTTTGTACAGAGAGGATCTCTCTTTGATGTCCTGGATGGTCATGAACTTCTGGGCTCAACGGATCCTCCTGCACCAGCCTCCCAAAGAGCTGAAATTACAGGCAAACACCTGGCCTGTTTGCCATTATCTACTACCATTCTAAGTATGTGTAATAACATGGATAGGGGATCAATTTTTATTTTTTCCACATAGATTTCCTATAGTCTAGCATAATTTGTGGAGCAGACTATTATAATTCCAGAGCAATATGGTGTTACCTTTGATATAAATCAAGTACTCATGTTCATGTGGGACTGTTTCTGGGTTCTCCAATCTAATTCAGTGTTGATTAGTCTATCAATCCACCTTTGTTCAAATGCTATCATACTGTCTTAATTACTGTTTCTTTTTTAAATGGGTCTCTCCAATAAAGAAAATCCACAGATAAGTAGAGGTTTTCTTTTTAACAGTGAGTGTATTTTGAATATTTTTACTGCTTGAATTATGTAAATGATAATTTCCTCAAAAATAAATACGAGGGCAAAAGTCTGCTTGAATCTAAATTATTCTCCAAATACTTTGAAAGTAACAATTTAGAATCTTAAGTGTTTCTAATACAAATGACATTTTCTATACAGTATAAAAAGATACAGATACCAGTAATATGACAAAATGGGATATAGGATGCTACACATGCCCCTAATAGGTTAGTCTGATAAGTAATTTCCTACTTCTAAAATTATGTATATTCCATATCCATTAATTCCAAGATTAAGCATTTTAAAAGGTAGGGGGTTTGGGGAATTATACAGACATCACTTAAAGACAACACATTATTTAATATATATTAAAGCAATCACTATTTTGTATCTATGCTAGCTTTATCTGTGTAGTGATTTTACGTTCTTATCTTCAATCTATGGGAGAACATGAGTTATCACAATTATATGAAAATTAATCAACATGATGCACACTAATCACATGATGCACATGTAAATCAACATGATGCACACAGTTTATTCCCCTAAACTGTATAGGAATACAGTTTCCTTGTCACTAGTTTTACACTGGATTTCACCTAAGTAAATTCTGGCTGACTAAAATGATTTTATCTATATGCCCAGAGAAATAATTATAAATACTGATTAAAATAACCATCTTTACATGGGGCAAAGCATAATAAATTATTCTACTAACTACAACTTATATCCTTACTTTTGAATACATGCCCCCTAAATTCTTTACCAGTGTTATCACTGCCTTGGGCAGACAGGGGCAGGTCCCCAGTGAAACCTGACATTCAAGCCAAAGAAAGCCTGAAGCCTGAAAACTGGGCTGCCAGTTACAGGTAGAGTCTGTGACCCAGAGTGAGAACTTCCTTGACAACTTTTAGCCAGCCAAAAGGTGCTTTTTCCAGGCCCACCTTGGACCAATCAGCATGCACTCACCCATTCTGAGCCCACACAAACCCCAGACTCAGCCATACTTTAGCACTATCCACCTTTGGGTAGGGGCTACCCACTTCAGGTCCCCTCTCAGCTGAGAGCTGTTCTGTTCCTCAGTAAAACTTTTCTGCCTTGCTCACCCTCTAGTTGTCCATGTTAGCTCATTCTTCTTGGACCTAGAACAAGAACCCAGTACCCACCAAAGGGCAGGGCATAAAGTGACTGCAACACTGTAGCCCTCCTGCCCTCTATCCACACCGGGTGGCTGCCCCATGTGACAGGAAGCAGCAGGGTGCCAGGCCAGCCCAGGAGCCGTCGGCTTAAGCCAGGTAATGGGACTGAACCAACTGGGAGGCACACAACCCCGTTCGCTGGAAGTGTGTGGACTTGGTGAGGGAGCGGTAATACCAATGAGGGAGTGGTAATACGAATGTGCTGTAACACTTCGTGGGGGCTCAGACACCAGGACTCCCCAAGCCAGAGCTGTAACAAACTGTAACACCCCCTTTGGGGCTTTGTGGTTTCTGGCATCTCCAAATATTTTCAGCGCCACAGCGTTCCCGTAGTCCAGTTGCCAGCACCCAAGGCGGAAGCCGCTGAAGGCACCGTTGGTCCAGCCACAGACTTGCGCAGAGCTCACCCATGTGCCAGCACCTGGAGTTGCCCAACCTGCCGGCACACCTGACTGTATGCCATGGCCAGACCCCATGCCCACTGGCTCACATAGGTCTTGCCACTCTGCACCTGGCTCCCCACTGGCGGGTGTGAAATCTGAGCGGGTACCATGAGCCAAGCACAGCCTGCAGGGCCAACTGGGCAGAGCCAGTCCAGCCATCAGGAACCAAACTTGAGCAGAGGCCCTGCCAGACAAACAGGTCTTGTGAAGCGGCACCCAAAGGATCCTTTGTCAGTACCCTTCCCAATGATAACAGAAAGTTTTTCTGTTCCAATGCAAAGTTTTTCTGCCTTTCGATTCCAATGCCAAAATATGCAGAAAATATGCATTTTTTGGTTTCAGTAGGAATTTTGTTTAAATTATTAGACTGGGGACCCAGACATCAGGTCTGCTTATACCACTAAATAAATGGTTAAATAACAGTGACCAAGAACTAACATATTTATGACGGATTATACAAGACGGTTAGTGAATTAAGTTTAAGATCTCTTAAAACAATGTATATTATTCATGAAAAAAATCATTATAGAATCTTAACGCTTAGTAGCAAACAATTATTTCCAGACTTGATGTAATTAAATGCCCAAAGGCAGAGAAGGAAGAAAAACAGAAGGCAGGAAAAGCTATCCAGGTTAAAGTTAAATATTCACCTGTGGGAAAACATGTCAAATAGCTGTCAGTGCATATTTAAGAATTTGTAATAAACATTACGGCAACCTACACATTGCAAATCTTGATCACACAGTAATTATCTTCCTTCGGACTGTCACAGCACTCGAATGGGGTAAAACATAAAATAGGAGCAGGGCAGTTTATAATCAAGTTACCAATTACTGGCCAAGATGAAAGAATGATGGGCTGAACTTGATTAGAAACTGCAGTAAAATAAGTGATACTACTGGAAATGTATGGTTACAGACATTAAAATCACCATTTACTGGAAACAAATGGTATAAGTCAACTTACCAATGAAATGCATTGTAGTAGAAGTAGACCAAACCAAGGCCATATAAAAACGCAGCATTCTGTTAATATAAAACACAAAACAACCTTTATAACAGATTTTATATCTATTACTATTACATATATTAATAAGAAGTCACGTAACGAGATGTTTTAAGTTCTGAATATTTTACCATATATTACAATATTCTTCTCTACTTTTTCTCAAGTTCTCTCCATTTTGAAAATTGGAATCAATTTGCCATTCAATGTTACAAAAAAGGTAGTTACCTTTTTTTTTTTAATGCACAGCATCACCCTCTACTAAATGTTAGTACAGATTGTTCATCCCTTATCCAAAATACTTGAGACTAGGTGTTCCAAATTTCCAACTTCTCTGGGTTTTAAGTACTTGCGTATACATAGATACCTTGGGGATGGAACCCAAGTTTAAACACAAAATTCATTTGTTTTATATATAGCTTATACACATAGCCTGAAGGTAACTGTGTACAAAACGTTTAATAATTTTGAGTATGAAACAAAGTTTTTGTATACTGAACCATCTGAAAGCAAAGGTGTCACAATTTCAGCCACGTAAGAGTGCAATCTGTGGTTGTTTGGCATCACCATCTATTCCTAATCAGGAATTTACATATGCCACTGAGAAGCAATCATTTTCTTACACTAATTCACACATAAGTGTTTAAAACAGTAAAAAATATGACACAAGATTATACAGAGAGAAACAGTGTCTGGGTAACTGAACAGCATGGTAGCATACAGTCATGGGCCTTGTTAATGACAGACAACATATATATACAACAGTGGTCCCACAGGACTATAATAATTGATTTTTACTGAGCTTTTCTATGTTTAGATATACAAACACCATTGTGTTATAATTAGTTATAGTATTCAGTACAGTAACATGCTACATAGGTTTGTAGCCTATGACCTAGAGGCTACACCATACAGCAAAGCTGTGTAATAAGCTGCATCATTTGGGTTTCTGTAAGTACACCATATGATGTTGACACAATGATGCAACTGCCTAAAAACAAATTTGTCAGATTGCATTCCTGTCATTGAGATGTATGAATGTACCTGTATCAGCTGATAAACTGCAACAACAAGAACAACAACAGAACAGCAGGTTTTCAGTCTCCACCTATGATGCTGTATTTTGATGAAAAATTTACTGTACACACTGCATTATTTATTTATTTATTATTATTTTTTTGATACGGGTTCTCACTCTGTCACCCAGGCTTGAGTGCTGTGGCATGACCTAAGCTCACTGCAACCTCTGCCTCCAGGGTTCAAGCAATTATCCTGCCTCAGTCTCCTGAGTACCTAGGACTACAAGCACCCACCACCACACCACATTCATATGGGATTACAGGCATAAGCCACCATGCATGGCATGAATGGCTTGTTAAATGTTTCTGCAGAATTATCTGCCTGATTCACAATGGCTTTTGCCTTGCATATCTCTTTCATTTTATAACCTGACATGATTTCTTGTTATGAATGCCTGCTGTCCTAGTCCTTCAATAAGTCCATCAGGCATTTTCATCACATTGTCTGTAGGCACCTTCCCTGCAGTCTTAAAAACATCACCTTCATTATCACTACTATCACAATCATCTTAATTCAACCAGACTATTCTGGCTATTTCACAATTGTTAAAAGAACAACTAGGGCCTAATTATTAATGTTAAAGTCTTGATATATAATTCTTCTAGCTTTATTTTGTGTATTTAAGGAAGAGCGATGTCATTTTTTTCTTACTTGACATAGAAAATCCTTCAAAATTACCACCTTGTTTATCGTCATCACTGAACACGGTCACAGAGCATAGCTGTGCCAGACATTAAGACAATATCTTTAGTCACTGCATTCCAAATACAGGCAATAGCATATACAGCATCATTCTTCATGCTAACTCCTTCTGAAGACCTGCCACACTCACATCTCTGTTCATTCATGCCAGCATGCTATTCATGAAGAATTTTTATATTTAGTCTTTATTGATATAAAGATACCCTGCTCACATGGTTGAATTAATGAAGTCACATTTGGAGAAAAGGACATGGCAAAAAGATTATTTCTGAGTAAAATTTCAGCTGAAGGATGAGCAGAGCAGATGTCAACCAGTCCAGCTTCCTGCAATGAGTACAAGCAGCTAGTACAAAATATTTACGAAACCAATCAGAAAAGATGTTGCTGGTAATCCATGCCTTTCTGTTAGTATAATAATGAACTGGTAAGAAATTCACTCCCTGAACACAGTACACAAGCTTTTGCCTACCACATAAGTTCAGATTTATGCATGCTTGTCACATTAGCACATGTCAGCACAGTTATTTTTAAACCTCTGCAACTAGCTTGTTGAATATTCAACCGTTCTCTTCAGTTTTCAGTTTACTGCGATAACAGCCACTTGTTTCATGAACACACTATTATTATGTGGCATGTATTCAATGCAACACTGACGGATCCCCTCTTTCAATACACAGTCAAAATCTACATTTTTAGCTTTACACAGTGTTTTCCTATTTCTCATTAACTTCAGTTCATCCTTTCCACACATAACTTCAATAGTTTATCCTTCTGTTTCTTCAAGTCACATTGGCGGTCATTCCAACGCTATATGCTCTTCTATAAATGTTTCACACATCACAGTTCAGTTTCTCTGTTTGACTTTATGTGCTATAAACATAAATACTTCCTCTTTTTCTTACCATTTTTACCCATAAGGTTATCTGTAGGACTTTTCTGATACAGTCTCTTTACATCACTAAGCAGACAACAAGCAAAAAACAGTGCATAGAGGTTTGGGCCCCATGTGGGGCATTGTGGAGATCCTGCCATTGGCACATCCAGGCTACACAAGTGTCATTTTATTACCCTTTGTGGCCTTGCTTATCTGGGTTTATCTGGCATGGATGGAAAAGGTATGTAACAGCTGAAGGGACCTGAGAGTGTCTTCTTCCCTTGGGGATGGTGAATAAACTATGTTCTATGCACCTGCACTTGGACTAGGACACATCACATGAGGCTGGCTGTGAAATTTTTAAGTTTTCAATTTATGGGGCGCATTTTAAATTTTAGATTTTTGAGTTAGAAATGCTCAAATATTAAACAGTTCTCTTCAGTTTTCAGTTCACTGTGAAAATCTCCACTTGTTTCATGATGAGCACCCAATTTTCTTTTTATAGTTTGAGTTCTAGGGTACATGCGCACAACATGCAGGTTTGTTACGTATGTATACATGTGCCACGTTGATGTGCTGCACCCATTAACTCGTCACTTACGTTAGATTTATCTCCTAATGCTATCCCTCCCCCCTCCCCCCACCCCACAACAGGCCCTGGTGTGTGATGTTCCCCTTCCTCTGTCCAAGTGTTCTCATTGTTCCCACCTATGAGTGAGAACATACGGTGTTTGGTTTTTTGTCCTTGCGATAGTTTGCTGAGAATGATGGTTTCCAGCTTCATCCATGGCCCTACAAAGGACATGAACTCATCCTTTTTTATGGCTGCACAGTATTCCATGGTGTATACGTGACACATTTTCTTAATCCAGTCTATCATTAATGGAGATTTGGGTTGGTTCCAAGTGTTTGCTATTGTGAATAGTGCCGCAATAAACATACATGTGCATGTGTCTTTATAGCTGCATGATTTATAATCCTTTGGGTATATACCCAGTAATCGGATCACTGGGTCAAATGGTATTTCTAGTTCTAGATCCCTGAGGAATTGCCACACTGACTTCCACAATGGTTGAACTAGTTTACAGTCCCACCAACAGTGTAAAAGTGTTCCTATTTCTCCACATCCTCTCTAGCACACGTTGTTTCCTGACTTTTTAATTATCGCCATTCTAACTGCTGGATGAGCACACAATTATTACGTGGTATGTATTCACTGCAACACTGACAGATCCCCCTCTTTCAATATACAATAGAAATCTACACGATTCTCAATATGTATTAAAAACAGTATTTTAAACTCAGAAAAGTCATCTAGCCATTACATTTTTAGGTTTTTAGACGTCACTAATTCTTTTTGCAGCATGAAACAGGGAGATGGATTCCTGCAGTAAATTATAATTTTAGGTTGCCTTGGCATCCATTTTGAATATAAGCAGAACTTTTTCATATTAGAAGCAGGACTTAGTTGCCCTTGACACAGTTTCTAATTTCTCCCTCTTCCAGTTCCTCAATATAGTTAATCTAGATATCTGCCTTAAGCAATTGCCTCCTGGTTACCACTTCCCTGTGGAAGAGCTAGACACAACCCACTTGATTTACCGCACTAACCCTTACAACCTACAAGGATGACAAAGATATGCCACCACCATCACCTCAGTCACACCCTGAACTCCTGTAACTTGCTCTAAACCCACCAATTAGAATCACCGAGGGAAACCTGCTTGGGTAATACCCTGAGTCCTAATAAAGGCTTTGGCCCATAGTTCCCTCACACTGTCTCCACTGGATTGAGCATCCCAGAGAGTTCCCCCTTTCCACATACCTGCAAGGCATGCTATCTCTTCTCTGTAATACACTACTTCTGTTATTTCATTTGTACTGTGGTGCACCACCCTCTGTCTCACCTGACTGTTAATCCAAACCAAACTCTCCTCCTGTCAAAACTCTCCTAGAGATGTCTGTCTTGGTAGGAATAAACTAGATCCTGGTTAAGTAAGAGCCACAAGGCTTCTGCCAGAACAGATGCTCCATGGCTTAAGATGGGGTTATGTCCCAGTAAACCATGATAAGTTGAAAGTGTGGCAATACATTTAATGCACCTAATCTACTGAGCATCATAGCTTAGCCAAGCCCACCTTAAGGATGATTAGGACATTTATTTATTTATTTTATTTCATTCTATTTTTTAAGACAAGGTCTTGCTCTGTCAACCAGCTGGAGTGTAGTGGCACAATCATGGCTTCCTGCAGCCTTGACTTCCCAGATTCAGGCTATCCTCCCACCTCAGCCTGCTGACTGACTGGGAACACAGGCAACAAGCCACCATGCCTGGCTAAGTAATTTTGGTAGAGACAGGGTTTCACCATATTGCTCAGACTAAGGCACATTTGCATTAGCCTATAGTCAGGCAAAATCACTGAAAACAAAGCTTATTTTATAATAAAGTGCTGAAAATCTCATTTAATTTACTGAATATTGTACTAAAAGTGAACAGCAGAATGGCTGTATGGGTAACTGAAGCTCACTGCTTCTGCTGAATACATACCACTTTCACACCTTCATAATATCAGAAACTAGGAGTAATCATTGCTAGTGAGGAACTGTCTTTATAGATGGGTTTCCTCTGACAGGGGCATCTGGTGAGAAGGACATCTGATCACAAGCACTGGGCCATCCACCAAAATATAGCAGAATCCTTTCAAAAGCACACTGTATACGTTCATGGCCACCTGTCCTGGATTCCTTTCATGGCAAGGCTACAATTTCTGGGCATTCTCTAGAGACCTCAAAACCAACTTAGATGTCAAGTACTCAAAGCTCACAAAGACCAGAACTAGAGAATGCCAAAGAGAATATGGGCAACATTAAATAGCTATGGCAATCCTAAGCAAAAAGACAAAGTTGGAGGCATCATGTTACCCAATTTCAAGCTATATTACAGGGATACATTACCCAAAACAGCATGGTACTGGTCCAAAAATAGATGTTTAGACCAATGGAACAGAATAGCGAGCCCAGAAATAAAGCCATACACCTATGGCCAACAAACCTTCAAAAAAGCTGTCAAAAACAAGGGGAAAAGACTCCCTAGTCAATAAATAGTGCAGGGATAACTGGCTAGCCATATGCAGAAGACTAAAACTGAACCCCTTCCTATTTATAGTTACAAAAGTCATAGATGATTAGACTCTAAATGTAACACACAAAACTATAAAAACCCTGAAAGACAGCTTAGGCAATACTTGGCTAGCCATATGCAGAAAGCTAAAACTGAACCCCTTCCAGCTTACAGTTACCAAAAGTCAAAGATGATTAAAGACTTTAAATGTAACGCACAAAACTATAAAAACCCTGAAAGACAGCTTAGGCAACACCATCCCGGACATAGGAATGGGCAAAAATTTCATGATAAATACACCAAAAGTAATCGCAACAAAAGCAAAATGTGACAAGGGGGATCAAATTAAAGGTAAGAGCGTCTGCAGAGCAAAACAGAGTAAGCAAACCAAGCATAGTAAATTGACAATCTACAGAATGGAATAAACTATTTTCAAAGTATGCATCTGACAAAGGTCTCCATAAGGAACTTAAATTTACAAGACAAAAACAACCCCATTAGAAAGTGGGCAAAGGACATAAAGTAACATTTTTCAAAAGACATATATGCAGCCAACAAGCATAGAGAAAAAAAAGTTCAGTATCACTGATTATTAGAGAAAAGCAAATCAAAATCACAATGAGATACCACCTCACACCAATCAGAATGGCTACTATTAAAAAGTCAAAAAATAGCAGGTGCTGGCAAAGTTGCTGAGAAAAGAGAATACTTACACACCCTTGGTGGGAGTGTAAATAAATTAGTTCAACCATTGTGGAAAGCAGTATAACAATTCCTCAAAGAGCTAAACCCATGCAGAACTACCATTTGATTCAGCAATCCCATTATTGGGTATATACCCCCAGAGTATATTCTCACTATATTATATAAGTAGTATAAATGATGATTTATAGTATTAATCATTGTACCACAAAGACAAATGCATATGAATGTTCACTGCAGCACTATGCACAATAGCAAACACATGGCATGTGAATGTTCACTGCAGCACTATGCACAACAACAAACACATGGAATCAACCTAAATGCCCAGCAATTAAAGAGTAAATAAAGAAAATGTGGTACATATACACCATGGAACATTAAGCAGCCATAAAAAGGAATAAGATCACGTCTCTTGCAGGAACATGGATGGAGCTGGAAGCTATTATCCTTACCAAACTAAAACAGGAACAGAAAATCAAATACTGCAAGAGACACTGGGATCTACTTGAGAGTGGAGGGTAGGAGGAGGGAGAGGAGCAGAAAAGATAACTATTGGGTACCAGGCTTAATACCTGGCTGATAAAATGATCTGAAGAACAAGCCCTAGTGACATGAGTTTACCTATGTAACAAAGTTTCACATGTGCCCCCAAATCTAAAAGTTTTAAAAAGAGAGAAAGAGCAACATATCAACTGTGTCTACTATAATTTTTTTTAATAGAAATGCTATTATATTCTACCTAGGAAACAACAGTAGTTCAATAAGTGTCACTATTTCAACTCTTGATCGATTAATTCATAACATAAAAAGATGTTGGTGTGAGGAATATAAAATATAAACAAACAGGAAATATGCATGCTCATAAACAAATGAAAATTATTATAACAACATATTTGTCACAAAATGTCAACCATTTAAATTAGACTTTTGCTTGCCAAAATGTTATATGCCTAGAACATTTTCTATTTCTTCCTAATTCATCTTCCAAACTTCTTATTCAAGTATAACTAAAGTATTTTCAAACATCCACTGAGATTTATTACAATTTGCTTAATATTTTTCTTAAAAACAGCTCATACTATATACCTTATTTTACAAAAAACTTCAACCCTCGCCATGAGAAATAGAAACTGAGCATAAGTAGAAGACAGTATGAAAACACAATAAAATGAACACATCAAAATCCAACTAGCTTCATTTGCCTAGAAGTGATTTCAAGAAATAATAAAAACAAAGTTCAATAAAGAAGGACACTAAAAGACAGGTACTAAAAGACTTCTTGGTTTTCCCAAAAAAACTGAAAGGGGAAAAAAGAATCATTAAAGAGAAGTTGAATAATGTATATCAATTAAGAAAGATAGTATCTCTGAATGAAAAGTAAAAACAACTGATATAAACTCCGTAATGGCAATATCAATGACACAAGATAAAGCAGGTAAAACCATGGAGACTGCTTGGATGAAGAACTAGATCTGTGAGTGTAAGGAAACCAACATAACTAATCAAGAGATCTTGAGACAGAATTCTAAAAAGTAGAGAGCTACAAAGGCAGCTTCAGAGATCTGAAGTGGTTTAAACTCTTCTTAAGAAAATTACCAATATCAGGGAAAAAGCTATTGAAAGAACCAGAGAGAACAATGTCTACAAAACCAAGATCCATAACTACTATCATCAAACAGACTGGAAAAATATGCACATAGAGAGCAGTGAATTAAAGATCTCACCTAAGTGTTTGGGAATTACCAGTATGAGGACTGAGTACTCTTCAGGACCCATCTCAAAATTCTTAAGATAAAACCAGAAGCAGGACTGCATACAGACATTGGGACTCAAAGAATGACAATATGGCAAGTGCCCGTTTTTCCTTGTTGCCTTCTATATGTTACAGACAGGGTATTGCTGAAGGCTCCAACCCAGGCCACTAAAAAAATCCTATTACTCCTAGCCAAAACACCAGGAAAAGAATGGCATAGAAACTGAAAACTTATCCACAACACTGCCAGAAACCACAGGGTAAAAAAAGTACAGTTGCATTCTCCTACACTCCACCACGCACAGACATAATACGGCTGCAATAGGGCTAAAAAGGAAACTGATATTCTTATCCCAATTACCACTAGGAAGCAGACTGCATACCACAATTTCCCAGCAGAGCAGTGTCAGCAGAACAAGCCAAAAGCTTATCTTCCATCCTTTGCTGGCAAAGGGAACTGGTACTCCGGATTCTTCTGGAGTATCAACAAAGAGATGAGTAAATCTTTCATTCTCTACAAAGTAGAAGCAGATTATGGCACAAAGATTCCACTACAGGGTATTTTAGGCAAGGCCGAACCAAAAGCTGACGTACTACCCCTTTGTCATTTGAACCAGGCAGTGCTCCAATTTTTCTAACCAGATGGTGTCAGTAAATAATGAAATTGGAGTTAATTGTATATCTCCATCTAGTGAAAGTAGGCAGTACTCCATTTCACCCAGCAGGATATTATAAAGAGGGCCCTGTGGAGAGATAAGCTTTATTTATGTGGGAGAAAAGAACAGGGGCACTGAAGTTATTTGGAAGTTTGCAACCTCTTTTTTTATACCTGTTAGCAAGGCCCAACAGGAAGTTGTGTCACTACATACTACTAGCATCAACCAGGCAGAATTGGGCAGACCATAGTTGGCATTCTGATTGCCCCAACCTTCCCTTCCATCAGAAGAGCCCAGAAGGGAACTCACCTCAGTTACTACATCCTCATGCTCTAAAAGATAACAATGTCCAGCTTTCACCTAACCCTAAAGAGAGTATCAACAAACTCCACTAGAAACTTCACTATGCACATTCACCCACTTACACAAGAAGGCCTGCTTTAAAAATATAGAGAGAGAATGGCTGGATGTGGTGGCTCATGCCTGTAACTCCATCACTTTGGAGGGCCGAGGTGGACAGATCACGAGGTCGGGAGTTTGAGACCAGCCTGGCCAACGCAGTTAAACCCCGTATCTACTAAATATACAAAAATTAACTGGGCATGGAGGGGCACGTCTATAGTCCCAGCTACTCGGGAGGCTGAGGCACAAGAATTGCTTGAACCCAGGAGGTGGAGGTTGCAGTGAGCTGAGATTGTGCCACTGCACTCCAGCCTGGGTGACAGAGCAAAACTCCATCTCAAAACAAAACAAGACAAAACAAAACAAAAACCACCAGAGGCTGGGCATGGTGGCTCATGTAGGTAATCCCATCACTTTGGAGGCGGGCGGACCAAGAGGTCAGGAGGTCAAGACCATCCTGGCTAACACAGTGAAATCCTGTCTCTACTAAAAATACAAAAATTAGCTGGATGTGGTGGTGGATGCCTGTAGTACCAGCTGCTCAGGAGGCTGAGGCAGGAGAATCGCTTGAACCCGGGGGGCAGAGCTTGCAGTTAGCGGAGACTGCACCACTGCACTCCTGCCTGGGCGACAGAGAGAGATCCCGTCTCCAAAATAAAAAAACAGAGAGAGACAAGAGGACTGCCTAGGCCCAGGAGTTCAAGAGCAGCCTAGGCAATGTACTAAGACCTTGTCTCTAAAAACATAGGAAAAGCTAACAAAAAGAAAACTATGTTCCAGACATCAAAGTGAAAAACAAATTCATGAAATTATAGACTATCAAAAGTAATATTATTCCAATGTACTTAAAGAAAACCCAGTATTCAGTGGATGAAAAGACAAAAAACAAACAGGGAGAAAGTAGTCACAAACCACATATCCCACGAAGTACTAGTAAATAGAATCAATAAAGAACTCTCAAAACTCAGCAGTTTCAAAACAATTCATTAGAATTTAGGCAAAACACAGACACATATACACATTATCAAAAAATGCACTAAAGAGGCAAATAAGCACATGAAAAGATGTTTAATATCATTAGTCACAAATAAAATGCTAATTAAAACCACATTCTGCAACTGGCAAGGAAAATCATTGTTTTAGACTGTGCTCTCCTCTCTCCCAAGCAAGCATAAATACTCTCAGAAAACTTCCCCAGAACCACAGTTTCGAAGGTGAGAGGAGGAAAGTGGATGTAAACATTCTACATCCTCTACCATCTCAGAATCTTCACAGAAAACACACTTTGGTCCTATCCCACAAGAACTACTAGGAATGCCAGAAAGCCTGACCCACCTGGAGTGAACTGGGGACAGACAACAGATTGTGGACCACACTGACTGGTGAAAGAATCCTGGTGAATACTTTGAACTACAAACAGAAGGAGAAACACATTAAAGAGACCAGTTGGCACCAAGGTACTACAAGGGGCACAATATGCAGTAAGGTCCAAATTTCTGTTGAGATTTTCCACAGGGCCTCGATATCCAAAGCAGTCTTTCCCTCGTCTGGAAATGAGCAAAAGGTCAGCATTAAGTTCCAGTAACTATTTAAGTCTTCCCCAGAAGGGGAACATAACAGAGTAGCAATTTAGTTTTGCAGCAGCATTTAATATTTTGTGTTCACTGTAAGTTCCCCAAACTAGGAACCACCTACCTACAGGGCAATGAGTTTGTTCCTGTCCAATGTTTTAGTTCTGGTGGTCACTATGAGTCTTCTCCAAAATGGGAAAAGAAAACAGTCCAGTGTTTATTTGCAATACTAAGTAGTAAAGGTCTAAACCACCAAAGAACACTTGCAAAAACTGGAAGAGGAGGCTATTTCCTCAAAGGTGCAGCATCTACATAAAGTCACAATGATTGCAGAAACTGAAGGAAACAGATACAACCAAAAGAAACCAACAATGCTCCAGCAATGTACCCAAAAGAAGTGAAGATCTATAAGATGTCAGATGGAGAATTCAGAATAACCCTCCTGAGGTTCAGATAATCACAAGAAAACAGAGAAAGAAAAGTAAATGAAACCTGGACAACAAGCCAGGAAAAAAAAATAAGAAAATTGACACGAATAAATAAAAAAACAAACCAAACAGAAATACTAAAAATAAAGAATGCAATAACTGAACAGAAAAAAAAATCAGACACTTTCAAAAGCAGACTTTGAAAAATGAAGGAAGAATTACCAAGCATCAAGAAAGACCATGTGAAATTACACAAAGGTGCAAAAATAGAGGGCTTACAAGAATTATGGGTAATTATCACATAAAAAAAGCCTCCACATAATAAACATTCCTGAAAGAGACAGGCCTAGGATGTGTATTTAGGAAAATAATTTCATAATGCTAGAGAAACATGGCACCACCAAGTAAAGAAGCTCAGCAGTAACCAAATAAATTCGATCCAAAAACAAAATACACAAGGCACATCAATATCGAATTATCAAAACTCAAAACAAAGCAAAATAATACTCGAAGTGAAGGGAAAAAAGAAATATCGCATTCAATAGAGCCCCAATATAACTTTAAGCAAATTTCCCAGCAGAAATCCTGCAGGTTTCTGCAGTAGAGTGAGATGCTATACTCAAAGAGCTTTGAAAACAACTGCCAACCACAAATACTGTATTCAAAAGGTATCTTTCAAACACGAAAGAAAGAAAAGTCTATCCCAGAAAAACAAAAGCTGAGGAAATTCAAATACCAAAACTGTCTTAAATGCTTAAAAAAAAAAAGTCTTCAACTTGAAAGAAAAGGAGAGTAATGTGTAAAAGAAAATATCTGAAGGTATTCAGCTCATTGGCTTAAAAAAAGGACAAATTCAGAAAAGTCGAACACTGTAATTGCGGTAAATAAACCATTTATCTCAGTATGGACACTAAAATGGAATCAAAACTATTGAAAACAATGACAGCTACAACAAGTGAAGTGGCGATATTAAAAGATTAAACTGTAATGTCCAAGATTCAAAATGTGGAGGGCAGGAATATTAAACTGTAGTTTTTGTAACTTGCCATTTCTTTGCAATCACATAAACTGTTAAAATTACCAAATTTTTTCTGTAAACCTCCTGGCAATCACACAGCAAAAAGCTGTACATGGACACTACAATCAATACTGCAAAATCAAAACATTCTACTAGAGAAAAATCACTTAATTACAAAGGAAGACAGTAAGAGAGAAAAACACAAACGATCTACAAAACAACCAGGGAACAAATAATAAAATTGCCTCAAGTTAACCTTTGCCTATCAATAAGAATGCTGACTGTTAAGTTTTTTAAATTATCTAATTAAAAGACATAGTGGCTGAACAGATTTTTTAAAACACTGAACAATATGCTGTCTACAAGAAACTCACTTCACCTATAAAGATACTCACAGACTGAAACAAAAATATAAAAAGACACTCCACAAAAATGGAAAACAAGGAGGCAAGAGTAGCTTTACTTATATTAGGTAAAACACACTTAAAGTCAAGAGTGGGAAAGAAATGTAAAAAAGGACATTACACAATGACAAGGGTAACAATAAAGCAAGAGAATATAACAATTACGAATATATATGCACCCCAAACTGGAGCACTCAGATTTATGCAACAAGTATTAACAGACCTAAAGAGAAAGATCGACTGCCACACAATCATGATTTTCAGCAATGGATAGATCATTCAAACAGAAAATAAAGAAACATCACAGGTAAACTGCTCTCTAAACCAAACAGACCTTCTGTAACAGTATATAAGCCTTTCCTTTTTTAACATGTACTTACCAGCATATTTTGCTTTTTGACTTTTTGATAATGGCCCTTCTGACTTGGGAAGATGGTATCTTATTGTGGTTTTGATGTGCATTTACCTGATGATTAGTGATGCTGAACATTTTTTCATGTTTCTTGGCTGCTTACATGTCTTTTTGGAAAATGCCTGTTCATACCCTTTGCCCAAATTTTTATGGGGTTGTATTTTACTTATTGCAATATTTAAGTTCCTTGTAGATCTCGGGTATTAGCTCATTGTCTGATGCATCGTTTGCAAGTATGTTTTCTCATTCTGTCGGTTGTCTGTTTACTAATTATTTCCTTCGATGTGCAGAAGCTTTGGATTCTAGTTAAGTCCTGTTTCTCTACGTTTGGTTTTGGTGCATTTGCACTTGCTCATAAATTATTTGTCAGTACAATCTTCAGAAGAGTTTGTCCTAAGTTTTCTTCTATAATTTTTATAGATACAAGTCTTAGGTTTAGGTCTTTACTTATGTTAATTTTGGTACATGGTGAAAGGTATGGGTACAATTTCACTCCTCTGTATGTGGCTATCCAATTTTCCCAACACTATTTATTGAATAGGGTGTCATCTTCACAAAGCATACTTTTGTTGACCTTGTCTAATAACAGCTGGTTTGTAGGTATGTAGTTTTATTCTCGGATTCTTGATTCTGTTCCAGCAACCTAATGTGTCTATTTTTATATAAATACCATGATATTTTGGTTACTGTAGGCTTAAGGTGTAATTTGAAGTCAGGTAATACGATACCTCCAGCTTTGTTCTTTTTGCTTAGAATTGCTTTGGCTATTTAGGCTTGTTTGATTTCATAATGAATTTTAAGACTGTTTCTCATTCTGTGAAAAAATAACATGGATAATCTGATAGGGATTGTGTTGAATCTGAAGCCTACTTTGGGCAGTTAGTCATTTTAACAATATTTATTCTTCTAATGCAGGATCATGGGATGTTCTTCCACTTGTTTGTGTCATCTTCTTTCACCAGCATTTCATAGTTCTCCTTACAGAGATCTTTCACCTCGTTGGTTAAATATATTCCTATATATTTTTTTGTAGCTATTGCAAATGGCAATGCCTTCTTGATTTGATCCTTGGCTAGATCACTACTGTTACACAGAAATGCTACTGAATTTTGTTTATTAATTCTGTATCCTGCAACTTTATTGAATGCATTTATCAAATCTAAGAGTTTTTAATTTTCAGAATTTTCTGTACATAAGAGCGTATCACCAGCAAATCAGGATAATTTCACTTCCTCTTTTCCAATTTGTATATCTTTATTTCTTTTTCTCTTGCATGACTGCTCTGGCACAGACTTCCAGAACTATTTTAAATAACAGTAGTGAAAGTTGGATCTTTGGTTTGGCCAAACTCCTGGGGAAATGCTTTCAATTCTTTCTCAATAAGTAGGATGTTGGCTGCGAGTCTGTCATATTCAGCCTTTATTGTGGGTTGAGGTATGTTCCTTCATGTCTAGTTATTAAGGATTTTTAAAATAAAGGGATGCTGAATTTCATTGAGGGCTTTTTCTACATTTACTGAGAAAATCAAGTTTTTGTCCTTGATTCTGCTTGCACGTGATATATCATACTTACTGACTTGTGTATGGTAAACCATCCTTGGTTCCCTAGGGTAAATCCCACCTGATCACCATTTATAATTGTTAGATATGAGTTCTAAATTTCTCTTCAAAGAGTCAATATGTCTGTATGTTCAATTCTTTGCCTTCTACTTTTAAACTTAACTTCCTCATAAAGCAACCTTTGTGGATCACCTGCTCCACCCTCATTCTGATTACTGCTCCACCCTGACTCATTCTGATTGCCTGCACCACCCTAACTCATTCCGATTTCCTGCTCCACCCTAACTAATTCCGATTACCTGATCTGCCCTGACTCATTCTCCACCCTGACTCATTTGATTTCCTGCTCTGCCATAACCATTTTTCCCGCCAAATCATTTACCCTGTCACTCTCTTTAAATTAGCCAATAGGAATTAGTTTTGCCTGTGAGGTCTAACCCTAGCCCATAGGGCAGCAGGGGCCATGTGTGTCAGGAATAAGTCCCTTATTCAGGTGTGCACTCACAACTGCTCCATCTGTGAGGGCACACCCTTCTATAAAAGTAAATTGCCTTGCTGAGAAGAAAAAAAGAAAATTTTATATTCAAGTGCTATTTCTTTTGTGGCACTGAAACTTAACTTATAACATTATCATTTTAATACATTAATAGATTCATTTTGCTAGTCTTTTGTAGAGGATTTTTGCATTTATGTTCATCAGGAATACTGACCTGTAGTTTCTTCTTGTGCCATTGCCTGGTTTAAAATCAGAGTGATATTGGCCTCACAGAATGAGTTACAAAGAATTCCCTCCTCCTCATTTTTTTGCAATAGTTTCTGAAAGATTAGTACTAGTTATTTTTTGTATGTTTGTCAGATTTTGGCTGTGAATCCATATGATCCTAGGCTTTTTTTGTCAAAAGATTTTGCTATTATTGATTCAATCTTGCTACTCCTTACTGTCTGTTCAGAAGTTCTATTTCTTCCTGGTTAAATCTTGGGAGGTTGTGTACCTTGAGGGATTTATCCATTTCCTCCAGGTTTTCTAGTTTGTGAGTACACATTCATTCATAACAATCTCTGATGACCTTCTGACCTTTTTTATTTCTGTGTTATCAATTGTGATCTCTTTTATCATCTCTGATTGTGCTTATTTGGATCCTCTCTATTCTTTCCTTCATTAGTCTAGCTAGTGGTTTTTATCAATTTTGTTTATAAGGCTGGAGTGCAATGTGGCTCATGCCTGTAATACTGGTCCTTTGGGAGGCCCAGGTGGGCAGATCAATTGTCCTCTAGACCAGCCCAGACAACATGGTGAAACTCCATCTCTAACAAAAATACAAAAAAAAAAAAAAAATTAACTGGGCATGGTGGCATGTGCCTGGGGTTTCAGCTATGCAGGAGGCTGAGGTGGAAGGATGGCTTGAGCCTGGGAGAGAGGTGGAGGTTGCAGTGAGCAGAGTTTGTGCCACTATGCTCCAACCGGGTTGACAGAGGGATTTTTTTTGGTTTATATTTTTGAACAGCCTAAAAACATGGCTATTTTGAAAAAATGGTGTTGACAAACCTTTAACTAGACTAAAAGAAAAGGAAAAAAGACCAATACAAATAAAATAAGAGAGGAAAAAAAAGAGATTATAACTGAAACCACAGAAATTCAAGGGATCATTCACAGGCTTCTATGAACTGTGTACCAACAACATGGAAAACCTGTAGAAAATAATTAAGTTTTTGGACATATATAATCTACCAAGATTAAATCATAAAGAGAGAGAAATCCCAAACAGATCCATAAATTGTAGCAAGATTGAAGCAGTAATAAAAAGTCTCCCATTAAAGAAAAGCCAGGACCTGATGATTGCACTACAGGATTCTACCAAATATTTTGAGAAGAATTAACATCACTTCTACTCAAGCTACTTCAAAAAAATTAAAGATGAGAGAATTTCTCCAAACTCATTCAATGAGGCTAACATCCTGCTATCAAAATCAGAACACAAACACACAGATGCGTGCACACACAAATTTCCCTGATGAACACATCCAAAACTCCTTAAAAAATACTAGCAAACTGAGTTCTGCAATACTACAAAAAGATCATTCAACATGATCTTTTTCGTCATCATAATCTCCCCAAAAGAGGACTCATCTACTGCATGCAGCAATGGTTCAAACAAAAAAAAAAGTAATAAATGTGATTGACGCATCACATTAAAAGAGTCAAGAACAAACACCATGTAACTGCTTTAACAGATACCAAACGGAGAAATTCAAAGATTTTGTCCTCAAAGATCTGGAAAAAGTCAAGGATGCCCACTTTTATTCAACATAGTGCAGAAAAGTCATAGCCAGAGAAATTATGGAAAGAGAAATAAAACCCATTCAAATGATTAAAAAATAATCAAATTATCCTTATTCACAGAAGACGTGAACGTACAGAAAAACCTAAACGCTCCCCCCAAAATACTGTAGAAATTCATAAACAAATGCAGTTATGTTGCACAAAATGAAATCAACATGTAAAAATTACCATTTACATACAGCAATAGCAAATAACCTGAAAAAGATCAAGGAAGCAATTCCATTTACAACAGCTCCAAAAATAAAATACCTAGAAATAAATATTACTGAACTCAAAGATTTCCACAATGAAAACTAAAGGCATTGATGAAGGAAACTGAAAAAGATACACAAAATTAAAAAAATTTCCACATTCACCCAAAATAATCTACAGACTCAATGTAGTGCCTATCAAAATACCAATGACGGTCTTCACAAAAATAGAAAACAAAATTCTAAAATTTGTATACAACCACAAAGATCATGAAGTGTCAGATCAGTCTGGCTCTGCCCAGCATTATCCCCCCTCCCATTTCTGAAAATGAAGATGTCAAGGGACCTAGGAATTGTATAACACAATTCACTATTTGAGGAATCCAAGTATTCCCCCTGGGGCACAGTTTAGGTATAAACACACTTCCACTACTAACTATCTCCAGCAGTTGCCTACCTATAAGCTCCACCTACAGGCCTGAAGTCCAGGTCACACAGCCAGCTGCAATCACTGACAACACAAGTGCACAAACACAGGAAGCAGAACATACTACCGATGCTAGTATCACTGCACACACTACACTGACCACCTAGGGGCTCAGAAACTCATTTACCCACCCAATCCACTGCTACCACACTGGCATCTAAGAAGTCCACCCAGAGGCCCACCACGTGGTCCACCTGGAATTGCCAATACAGATGCTGGCAAACAATGTCGTAGGCAAAAGGATGTTAACAACAAGCACACCACTGAGACCAGTGAAACCTGACTACAGGCCTAACTGGCACTGCAGTTTCCAGCAAATTTCTCCACAGCCTCCATTAGTAACCACATCCTAGTATACCAAGGAAACCACAGGTACCATTAAGGGTATATACTGCCAAATAAATCAGAGACTTCACTGCTGCCCTTACCCAGACACAAAGCCAAAGGGCTCTACCCAATCAACATCACAAACCCACCTTCAGGATAAAGTCCCCACACAACAAAAGTAAATTCAATAGGCAAAAGCAACTGTTATACAGATATCAACCTAAAGACACAGGAAACATGAAAAAGCAAAGAAATATGACACTACTAAAAGAAAACTATAGATTTGAGGCAAAAAGACATTCAAGATCCTAAAGAAAGAATCTGAATGTTGTTTTCAAGGAAACTCAATGAGACGCAAGAGAAAATTCAAAACCAATATAAAGCACCCAGAAAAACAATTCAGGATGTGAATGAGGAATTGATAATCAAGGAAAAAGATTTAAAGAAAGCAAAACAAAACAAAAAATTCTGGAATTGAAAATTTCATTAAAGGAAATATTAAATACATTCAAAAGTTCCAACACTAGACTAAACCAGGCAGAAAAAAAAAATCTCAGTACTTCAGATGGGTCTTTGAAATAATCAATCAATCAATCAATAAAATAAAAAGAATGAACAAAGCCTTTGAGACATTTCGGACAACAAAAAGTGACAAAATTTATGGACCACTGCTATCTACGAGCAGAGACATCAAAGGGTTTAGCAAACCTATTACAAAATAGTAGATGAAAACGTCCCATGTCTAACAAGAGATTTAGACTTCTAGATACAGACGGCTCAACAATCCACACACAAACAGATAAAACACAAACAGTTCTTTGCAATGACACATTATAATCAAACTCAAAAGGCAAAGTGAAAATGAAACTAAAAACAGGAAGAGAATATCACCTGGTCATGTGTAAATAAATCTACATCAAACAAATAGCATGCTTCTGAGTAGAAACTTCACAAGATAGAAGAGAATGGGTATATTCCAAGTACTGAAGGGAAAAAATCTGAGAAGAAAAATATACCCAGCAAGACTTATCTACATAAATGAAACAAAATCTTCCCTCAAAAAGGAGACGCTGAGAACATTCATCACTAATTGCCTAGCCTAACATATGCTTAAAGTAGCCAGAGGCTTGGAAAAGAAAGAATAACATTTACCATCATGAAAACACAAGAAAGTATAAAACTAACTGGTTGAAGCAATCAAACAAAAAGGAAGTGTGATGAATCAAAGGGAATCATTACAGAATTCCACACTGGCAAACAGACAATAGAAAGAAAATTTCACAGAACTAGAAAACAATTTACAATATGATAGGAACAAAACCTCACATATCAATAATAACCTAAAATATAGACAGATAAAGTATTCTACTTGAAAAATACAGATTGACTTAAGAAACTGTATTTTACTTTACTTTTTCAGACAGTCTCACTCTGTAATCCAGGCTGGAATGCAGTGATGTGACTTCAGCTCACTGCCACCCCCACCTCTCAGGTTAAAACAATTCTCCGGCCTCAGCCTCCCAAGTAGCTGGGACTCAGGCACGCACCACCATACTCAGCTAATTTTTGCATTTTTAGTAGAGATGAGTTTTCATCATGTTGGCCAGGCTGGTCTCAAACTCCTGGCCTCAAGTGATCTACCCTCCTTGCCCTCCCAACGTAGGCCAGTGCGCCTGGCCTAAGACTGGTTGAAGAGATTTTAAAACATGATCCAACTAACTGCTGCTTACAAGAAATTTACCTTACATGGAAAGGTTCATATAAACATAGGTATGGCATGGAAAATGATATTCAATAAAACCAGAAACCAAAAGTGAGCAAGAGTAGGTATCATTGTATCAGATAAAAGAGACAAGTCAAAAGGATAAAACACACATTAAAAGACATTTTATAATGATAACAGAATCAATTTAGCCAGAGGATATAACAATTTTAAATATATGCACCCATCACTCCAGCACTCAGATTCATAAAACAAATATTACTAGACCCAAAGGGACATATATCTCAATACATTAAGAGTAGGGGAGGGATATCAACGCCTCACTCACAGCATTAAACAAATCATTTAGAGAAATCAACAAAAAGATTGGACTTAAACTGGACTTCAGGCCAAATGAACATAAAAAATTACAGAACATTCTATCCAACAACTGTAGAACATACATTCTTTTCATCTGCACATGGAACATTCTCCAAGACAGACCACATATCAGGATACAAAGAAGTTCTAATACATATTTAAACAATGAAACTATATGAAATAACATCTCAGACCATACTGGAATACAACTAGAAATCAATACAAGAGAAATGCTGGAAACTATACAACTACATATAAAACAGCATGGACCTGAATCTGTGGAAGGAAAATAAAATAAAATAAATAATAATAAAGTTGAAAATAATAAACATAACATAGATAATAGTTAACATTAAGTGTGGTTATTTAGAAGTTATACATAGGCTAAGAAATTTAAGCAGCCCCTCCCAGCATTGCTAACAGGTTGCAGCTGCGAGCTTATCTCAACCTTCCAAGCTTATTGCCTGCCTCCAGACCCCCCGCACATTCCTGTCGTTCCTGTTTTCCCTTACCCCAGCTCTGTCCAGCTTCGAGCCTGACTGGTCAAGATAACTAAATTGTAAGCTTTCTCAGAATTGTCACAGGTTAAATAATTTACTGTCTTTGTCTGAAACCGGTATCCTGCCTTGTTTTCCCGCCTCAAACAACATGTAAGCAAGCCTGCATTCTTTGTCAGGGTCGGCAGCCATTTTGGGCGTGAGCCTACTGGCTCAGGTGCCTCAATTAAAGTTGTTTTTGGTCTCCAAAGGTCTCTTTGTCTTCTTTGGCTGAGTTTTACTGCGACATTTTGGAGAGTTCGACAAGAGGAGAGAGAGGACAAGCTACTGTCTCCTTTGACTGTGGGACTTGGGCCCCGGGGTCGGGGGAGACCCAGTTCTTAGGCGCGCCGACCGAAGAGTTTTCCAAAAAAGGGCTGGGTTCTCCCACATCCCAAGGCCCTGCCCCTGATAGCGCAGGAAGGAGACCGCAAGACAACTTTCAGCGCAGTGAAAAGGAATCACGGTAAGAAAAGAGGGCCCTACAGAGTAAGAAAGGGTGCCTTACAGGGACAGACACAAATCGTGCCCTACCAGGCGGGTGGGGCACTGATCACCACTCAAGGGTTGTCTATTAGCCTAACCCAGAAGGTGAATGGGGGCGGTGAGGAAAGGACCTCACCACTCATGTGACATTCAGCCCTGAAGCCGGCAGCAGGGTAGAGCCTGCTGAGCCGGAGGGAGCAAAGAGAAAGTGAAACCGTGAAGTCACCAGTGTGAGTGAACTGTCCCAACTGGGAGTGTGTGGGTACGTGTGAACCCACCCAGGACACGAGACAGACTCGTTTCATCTGATGAGGAGTCCTGGGGACAGGAGTTGTGTACGAATGTGTGTGAATGTGGGAGCCTAACTAGGCTCATCAGCTGTGAAGCGTGGGGGCCGCAAGTCTGTTAGAGTGGACTGTATGCTGTGAGTGAAATGTTGGACCCAGGACGACTAGAGGCGAACTTCCTTTGGGGCTACCGCATACAGCTGAGGGAGGTGGCCCCACAGTCTAGGTATTGTGGCAGAGAGTAACAAACTCTCCAAAGTCAAGCGGGGTCTGGCGTCTGAAACACCCCCACGAGGGAGACAGTCTAATCGGTCCGAAATGAAAGTGAGGGTCATTGCGTCGTGCGGGAAGAAATGGGAGGAAAAGAACCTAAGGAATTAACCCCCACTCCTTTGGAGTGCATGCTAAAGAATTTCAAGGAGGGATTTTCTGGGGAATATGGAGTAAAGCTGACCCCCGCCAAAGGTTAAGAACTCTTTGTGTAATAGAATAGCCTAGTTTGGGCATTGGTTGGCCGCCAGAGGGCACCCTTGTTTGGAAAATCACCAGCAGGGTGTTTCAAATAATAACAGGGGCAACAGATCAGCATGGACACCCAGATCAATTTCCATATATTGATTCCTGGTTAAATATAATCCAAAATTGCCCTAAATGGCTAGGAATCTGCATGGCTGAATATTGTAAGACCCTAGTCGCCCGAACTGGTCCAAAAGGGATCAAAAAGACAGTATCATGCAAGCCTTTAGAGAAGGAAACTAGGAAGCAAAAGAGACACACACACACACACACACACACACACACACACACATCTTACAGGCTCCTTTGGAGAAGCTAGAGAATCCTTCTCCATATGCCCTTCTCTACCCATCCTTAGCAAGGCTCAGATAAGAGGAAGGGCAATTGTCTCCTGAAGAAACAAGCTCAGAAAGTAGCGGGGCATCTCCACAGCAGGAAGAAGCTGCATCCTTGCCACCTAAGACTAGGAGGGAAAAACAGGATGAAGAGGCAGGGCAGGGCGTCTTAGGTCCAGTGGTTCCCGAGCTCTGCAAATGCCGCTCAGAGAGACGTGGGCACAAATCTACCTTGATGATCAAGGGTACAAGGTGGAGAACAAACTTACTCTTATCTCCCCTTCTCCACTACTGACCTTTTAAACTGGAAACATCATAACCCATCATACACAGAAAAGCCACAAGCAATAATTGATACGAGAATAATCTTTTCGACTCATAGTCCTACCTGGCCAGACTATCAGCAATTATTAGTAGTTTATTTAGCACAGAAGGAAGGCACAGAGTGGTGCAAGCAGCCCTCCAATGGCTAGAAAACAATGCCCCTGAATGCATAAATGATTCCAGGCAGTATGCGGAAGCTCAGTTCCCTGACACTGATCCAAATTGGGTCCCAAACAACCCTGATCATTTAGAATGCCTACAGAGGTATGTGGATGCACTCCTAAATGGGGTAAAGTCAGAGGGAAGAAAAGCAATGAACATAGGAAAAGTTTCAGAAGTCCTCCAAAAGCCCGATCAGAGTCCCAGCCAGTTCTAAGAGCAGCTGTGTGAAACCTACTGGCTCTACATCTGACCCACAGGCAGCTGATAACCAGAAAATGGTAAATACTGCCTTCGTTAGCCAGTCACAAAGTGACATCAAAAAAAAAGCTCCAAAAATTAGAAGGATTGCCAAAGAGGCATGGAGGAACTCCTCAGTGTCTTAATGAATGCTGGATATAAAATTTCAGAAAAAAAAAAAAAAGGTTTGCATCTGTTGTCCTAAAGTTAAATATTTAGGTTTTATAATAAGCAAAGGACAAAAGAAGCTTGGTAGTGAGCGGAAAGAGGCCATGTGTACACTCCCTACAGGTACCACAGGGCGCCAAATCAGAATTCTTAGGTGCAGCAGGGTTCTGCCGCATTTGGATCCCAAGTTTCTCACTTTTAGCTGAGGCTCTATATAAAGCTACAAAGGGGGTTAAGAAAGAGTCCCTCTTCTGGGAGACGGATCAAGCAAAAGCATTAAAAAAAATCAAAAAGGCCTTAACATAGGCTCCCAGATCAGACTAAACCTTTCTTCTTCTACGTGGATGAAAGAACAGGGACAGTAGTAGGAATTTTAACACAAATGCTAGGATCATGGCATAGACCTGTGGCCTATTTATCTAAACAACTAGACACAGTGGCATTAGGCTGGACACACTGCTTTAAAGCAGTTAACGGCAACTACCTTGCTGGCCCAGGAGGCTGGCAAATTAACACTAGGACAGAAGTTAACTTTCAGGTGCCACACACCGTAATAACCCTGTTAGACCAGAGGGGGAATCACTGGTTGTCTATCCAAGAATTGCTAAATATCAAAGACTGTTACTTGAAAATCCTAATATAACTGTAGAAATAGGGAATACCCTAAATCCAGCTACCTTGCTGCCTACAGAAGAATCAAAAGAATTCCCATCACATTGTTGTAAGGATGTAGTAGATAAAGTGTTTTCAAGCAGGAAAGACTTAAAAGATCAGCCTTTTGAAAACTCAGACCTAGACTATTTAACAGATGTAGCAGCTTCATTTCAGACGGAGTTTACAGAGCCAGGTATGCAGTAGTGATAAATGATTTTAAGTCAGGTGAGGGAACAGTAGTAGAAGCACAGTCACTGCCAACTAGATCCTCTGCTCAAAAGGCTGAGCTGATTGCTTTAACAAGAGCCTTATTACCAGCAAAAGGGAGGATAGTTAATATCTATATTGATTCTAAATATGCTTTTGCTACCCTCTATGCTCATGGAGACATCTATAAAGACAGAAGACTTCTAACAGCTGCAGGAAAAGAAGTCAAAAATAAAAAGGAGATCCCGCAACTCTTAGATGCTGTTTGGGCACCTAAAAAGGTGGCCATTATACATTGCAAAGGTCATCAAACAGATGGGTCCTATAAATCCATAGGAAATAGGCAGACAGACAAGCAAGGCAGGCAGCTATGGCAACCGCACCACAGGAAGAAGCTTTAATGTAAGTTACCTCTTTTCCCAAAACCATTACCTTTAGAATACAACTAGGCTCAACCCCATGAGAACCCGATGGTAGATTTTACTTAGTTACCCCATGTAAGAGGACTAAAGTATTTATTGGTCTTTGTATGCACCTATCCTGGGTGAGTAGCTTTCCCCACCCAATCTGAAAAGGCCCAAGAAGTAACGTGGGCATTACTAGCACATATTATCCCCAGGTTTGGGGTGCCTTTGACTATCGGGTCAGATAATGACCCAACATTTGTCGCTGAAGTTGTTCAAAACTTATCCCAATTATTAAAACAAGATGGAAGCTGCACACTGCGCACCATCCCCAGAGTTCAGGACAAGTTGAAAGGATGAACCGGACAATAAAGCAACTGTTTAAAAAGTTCTGTCAAGAAACCCACCTAAAGTGGGATCTGGCTCTGTCCATGGTTCTCCTTTGAATCACATGCACCCCAAACAAGCAAACTGGATACTCACCCTATGAAATTCTGTTTGGAAGGCCTCCCCATCTTATTTTCCAAATTAAAGGAGATCTCAAAGAAGTACGGGAACTAACACTGAGAAAGCAAATGCAAGCTTTAGGTACAGCCGTGAGAGAAGTTGCAAAGCTGGGTGCAAGAAGACTGCCAGTAGGCCTAACTAGCCCAGTTCACCCATACCAACAAACCCAGGGACTCTGGCTGGGTCAAAAACTGGTACCTATCCACATTAAGGCACATATGGAATGAGCCCTTTGTAGTAATCTTATCTACCCCCACTGCTGTTAAGGTTGCTGAAGTGCTTCCCTGGATCCATCATAGTGGGTTAGCCAGCTGCTGCCTAGGATGTGTGGACCAGCCAGCCAGACCCCGACCAACCCACCAAGCTAACTCTAAGATGAGGTGCCAACAGAGACCAAACCCAGACCAGCCGACCTCAGACCCAACTGTTAATGAAAAATCGCCAAGCCCTGCTGTAGTCACACAATAAGAAGCTGACTACTCTACACATGACCAAAGCTTGAGGAGTGTTCAATAGATAAGTGGATATGGATAAGTAAGATATGGACTGATATTTCATAAGTAGATAAGTAAATAAGTAGATAAGTAAAGTAGTAAATAAGTAGATGAGTAAAGTAGATATGGACTGATATTTTAATACCTATTGCTCTTCTAGTAATATTTGCTGTACTATTGTTATACTGCCATTGTTGCCAACCCTTGCTTTCAGGAAGAAACATACCCTGCCTGTGCCTAGTGTGAAGATGTTACTCTCTGTTTTGCTTATATTAACTAATATGTCAAACTTACAAAGGGGGCGGAAATACAATTGAGTTTTCTCTGTGCACCCACACTACTTGGGCAAGGAACACACAGGTTAAAACCTTTATATATCAAACCCTTTATAAGCAAACAGGAGCTTCTCTAGGAATTTGTGTACATAACCAGACTACTTATTCAATGTGTGATCTTGGTGATAATCAGCCCTGTGTCTGCTATGACCCCAAACTTCTACCTGGAACTTGGTTCGACATTAGTGAAAGGTCTGAAAAAGGAACTCTTTAAAATTCAACCTGGATACCCTCCACCAATAAACACTGTGTGTATCTGTATTTAGATGCCTGCCAGATTACAAGAACACTCCTTAAAACTGGCTGCTACATTCCTGACTCCAAAAGAAAGTTGACTGTAACCAGTCATATCCCATACTGGATTAGTGATACTCCACAGTCTCAAGACATACATTTCTCCAGAAACCTCTCCATAGATTGGTATAACTATGACAATTGTGTAAGAGGAAATTCCTGTAGCCTCACTGAATTTCTTATTTCAAATCAGATTCACCTAATTGGGCAATAGGCACTGAAGTCCCAGAGGGATACAGTGATGAAGCCACAGAATAGGAGGCAGATCCTAAGCTAAAGAGATGAGGCATTAAATATTCCAGGGTGCAGGCTACCGACAGCACCATATATTTTTATATTATACCATTATATATTTTATATTATTTTATTTTATATTATCAAAAAGACTCAAGCTCACAAACCTCAGCAATGATTTAAAATTTTCAAGTCATTCAGTGAAGAAATTAACCAAGTAGTTTCTGAGCCATCGTTTACCACTAAAAATCTGTCTGTGCAATTAGCTAAGAATATAGCAGGAAATCTAGGAGTTACCTCATGGTAACTGACATGGAGGATAGATGGCATTGGGAGGCAAAAGAATTGCTTCCCCAGGACAACTACACTTTAATTTTCTCTGCCACAAATGCTCCAGAATTAATCCCTACTGGCTCTAGCACTTGGCTTTTAAAGGCTTCTATTACAGGAAGACACTGCATACCTCGTTGGGGGACTACCTATACACACCCAGCAGGCAAATTAGCTTGTTTAGGGCAACAATACTACAATGAAACTACAGGAAAAACTCCATGGCAAAGAGAAAATAAAAAGGGTAAAAACAGTTCAAGGCCATCTCATTTCATCCCATTTTCTAGGTTCCCTTCTTTAAATCACTCTTGGTATCAACTAGAAACACCAAACACATGGTAAGTGCCTGTAGGCCTCTACTGGATCTGTGGTCAGCAAGCCTACAGGCGGTTGCCAGAAAAACGGACAGGAGCTTGTGTATTAGGTGTTACTAAAACATCGTTCTTCCTGTTACCTTTAAAGCAAGGAGAAACTTTAGGGTATCCTATTTATGATGAGCCTAGAAGTAAAAACAAAGGAGCAGTAAAAGATATAGAAATAGGGGATTGGAAAGATACAGATTGCAGAGAGAATAATGAATTATTATGGCCCAGCCACCTGGGTGCAAGATAGATCATGGGGATACTGTACTCCCATCTACATGATTAATCACATCATTAGGTTACAAGCAGTATTAAAAATTATAACTAAAGAAACAACTAAAGCTTTAGATTTATTAGATGTACTATCTACACAGAATGAGAAATGCGGTTTATCAAAACAGACTGGCATTAGATTATCTGCTGGATTCAAAAGGGGTCTGTAGTAAATTTAACCTGATTAACTGTTATTTAGAAATTGATGACAACAGGTAGGCAGTTATGAAATCACTGCCAAACTGAGAAAGTTAGCTCTCGTTCCAGTACAAACCTGGAAAGGTTGGACCCCAGACTCTCTTGGTGGATGGTTTTCATCTTCTGGAGGATTCAAGACTCTCCTTGTAAGTGTAATACTTCCATTAGGCAGCTGTCTAATACTCCCTTGTTTATTGCCTCTCCTGTTTAGGAAGATACAGTCCACTACACCACCCCCCAAATAATGGCACTAAGTATCAGCCATTACCCAAAGAAATCTCATCTCATGAGAAGGTAGAGAATTATGAAACTAACATAGGTTTTCTCCAAAGTAGTTTCCTTTCCCATGCCTCACCCTCTTTACGTTCTACACGGATTATAAAACACACATGTATAGGTATGGGATAGAAGAGCTAGGCTTTAAACATCATTTATAAAAATAACTTGCTGAAGTTTAATCTGACTTCTACTTAGGCACAGGCAAATGATGCCACAGAAAATACTAAGTTCAGCTCCTGGCTGACTTACTCGTGCTTCTCTCTAGAGAAGACACCAAAAATCATGCCCCCCAGGTAGGTGGCTGGTTAGTCAATGATGGGGAAGATTCCCTGAAAGATAGGAACAATCTAAGAAGACAGGCACAGCCACAGGGAGGACAGCAAAGGCTGAGAAAAATTAAGCCAGAGAGCCAGTGTGCTCCCACAAAGAAGAAAAGTGACGCTAAGAGCAGATACACCGGCAAAGTAACTCCCCATGCAAACAGATGAATTGCCTTTTGACAGGCCTTTGACTCTGTCCTACCATCCTAGCTGCATGTGCATCATCAGGAACAGGTAAAAGCTTTCTAATAATAGTTTCTTTTAAAAGAAAGCTTTTAAAGGGGGGAATGTGGAAAGAAAATAAAATAAAATAAACAATAAAGTTGAAAATAATAAACATAACGTAGGTAATAGTTAACATTAAGTACAGGTTACACATAGGCTAAGAAATTTAAGTAGCCCTTCCCGGCATTGCTAACAAGTTGCAGCTGCGGGCTTATCTCAACCTTCCAAGCTTATCGCCTGCCTCCAGACCCCCGCATATTTCTGTCATTCCTGTTTTCCCTTACCCCAGCTCTGTCCAGCTTCGAGGTTGACTGGTCAAGATAACTAAATTGTAAGCTTTCTCAGAATTGTCACAGGTTAAATAATTTACTGTCTTTGTCTGAAATGGGTATCCTGCCTTGTTTTCCCACCTCAAATGACATATAAGCAAGCCTGCATTCTTTGTCAGGGTTGGCAGCCATTTTGGGTGTGAGCCTGCTGTTGGCCCGGGTGCCCAAATTAAATAAAGTTCTCTTTGGTCTCCAAAGGTCTCTTTGTCTTTCTTGGCTGGAGTTTTACTGTGACATATGATCACTGGGTCAACAAAGATATTAACATGAAAGTAAATTTTTTGAAACAGAAAAAAATGAAACACACTATACCAAAAGCAGTGAGAAGTGAGACACAACAAAAGCAGTGTTAACAGGAAAATTTACAGCACTAAATGCTCACCTTCAAAACATAAATAGTACAAATTACGAATCTAATGATGCACCTCAAGAAACTAGAAAAGCAAGATCACACTCAAACCCAAAACTGGCAGAAGAAAAGACCAGAGCAGCATTAAATGGAATATAGACTAGAAAAACTAATTACATTAAATGGAATATAAACTAGAAAAATGCACGACTAAAATTGTATATGTGGGTGTGTATGAGCTCTTAAAAAACTAATTTTCTTGGCCAGGAGCGGTGGCTCAGATCTATAATCCCAGCACTTTGGGAGGCCAAGGTGGGTGGACCACTTGAGGTCAGGAGTTTGAGACCAGCTTGGCCAACAAAGAATCAACAAAACAAAAAGTAAGGGAGAGACCAGAATAAATAAAATAAGAAATGAAAAAGGGAACCTTATAATTGATATCACAGAAATACAAAACATCATCAGAGACTATTATAAACTACATACTCAAGAACTTGAAAAGCTAGAGAAAGGATAAATTCCTGTGAACATACAACCTACCAAGATAGAATCAGGAACAGGCATCATCAGAGACTATTATGAACAACTATATACTCAAAAACTTGAAAACCTAGAGAAAGGATAAATTCCTGCAAACATACAAACTGCCAAGATAGAATCAGGAACAGTCAGAAAACCTGAAAAGACAAATAAAAGTAGTGAAATCAGTCAGTAATTACAACGTCTCCCAACAAAGAAAAACACAGGACCAGATGGATTCACAGCCAATGTCTGGGAAGTTTGAAGCTGAGGAAGGTGAATGGATGATGAGAAATGAGTTAATGGGTGAAATGTACATTATTTGGGTGATGGATAACATGTTAAATGCCCTAACTTGAATGCTGTGCAATCTATGCATGCAACAAAATTGCAAATGAACCCCATAAATTTGTACAAATAAAAAAAAGCATTAGTACTAATCCTTCACAAACTCTTTCCAAAAATTAGTCCACTTTCACTAAGGGACAGAACAATTAGGCAAAAGAGTAATGAAGGATACATTAAGACAACATTTTGAACCAACTATACTTAACAAAAATCTATGTCACTTCACCAACAATAGCAGGATATACATTCTTCTCAAGCACACAAAAACAGCTCTTGGACCAGGAGCGGTGGCTCACACCTGTAATCCCAGCACTTTGGGAGGCCAAGGCATGCAGATTACGAGGTCAGGAGATCAAGACAATCTTGGCCAACAGGGTACAACCCTGTCTCTACTAAAATACAAACAATTAGCTGGATGTGGTGGTGCACACCTGTATTCCCAGCTACTTGGAAGGCTGAGGCTGGAGAAGCCCTTGAACTCAGGAGGCAGAGACTGCAGTGAGCCAAGATCCACCTCTGCTTTCCAGCCTGGCAACAGAGCAAGACTCTGCCTCAAAAAAAAAAAAAAAAAAGAAAAAAACCAGCTTTTGAACAGTCCCTATGATAAGCCATAAAACAAGGCTTAACAGTAAAGTTTTTAAAATAATATATATATATATATATATATATATATATATATATATTCATAAAAAGTATCTCTTGTGACCATGACAGAATATACTAAGTAATAAAACATGGAAAATTCACAAATTGTGGAAATTAAACACACATTTGTGAATTTGTGTGTCTCAATTTCCAGTGAGTCAAACAAATCAGTAAATACGTCATAAGAATTAAAGCTAAAATACATCTTCACAAAACTCATAGAAAGCAGCTACAACAATGCTCAGAGGGCAAATTACAGGTATAAATTCCATTGCTAAAAAGAAATAAATCCTACGAGTAAACTACTCTAAAAAAAAAAACAGCAAACTAAATGCAAAGCATGTTAAAAAAAAAACATAGATGAGTAAAAATTTAATAAAGTATATTATCATCTGCAAACACAGATAGTTTGACTTCCTCTCTTCCTATTAGGATGCTCTTTATGTCCTTCTCTCCCCTGACTGGTCTGGCTAGAACTTCCAGTACTGTGTTATCAGTGGTGGTAACAGCAGGGCATCCTTCTTCTGGTTTTTTTCAAGGGAAATGGTTTTAGCTTTTGCCCATTTGATGTGATGCTGGCTACGAGTTTATCACAATGGCTGTTACTATTTTGAGGTAGATTCTGTCAATGACTCATTTGTTAAGGGTTTTTAACATGAAGGAATTTTGAATCTTATCAAAAATCATTTCTGTTATCTATTAGAAAGGAATTGTGGTATAAATATACACCATGGTATATACTATGCAGCCATAAAAAGGAATGAGATTATGTCCTCTGCAGAAACATGGATGGAGCAGGAGGCCATTATTCTAAGTGAACTAATGCAGCAACAGAAAACCAAATACATATTACTAACTTGTAAGTGGGAGCTAAACATTGAGTACATATGGCCACAAAGAAAAAAACAACAGACACCTGAGCCTACTTGAGGGTGGATGGTGGGAGAAGGATCAAAAAACTACCTATCAGGTACTATGCATATTACTTGGGTGACAAAATAATCTCTACACCAAACCCCTATGACACTCAGCTTACCTATATAACAAACCTGCACATGTACCTGAGCCTGAAAGTTAAAAAATAAAAAAAACCCTAGAAATTAGTGTAAATTTGTTATTTCAACTGTAACAAAAGTACAATACTTATACACTGACAACTAAAAAACATTTGATACAAATGTTAAAAGTTCCAAATAAATAACAAGAGGGCTGGGTATAGTGGCTCACTCCTATAACCTAGTTTGGAAGGTCAAGGAGGGTGGATTGCTTGAGCCCAGAAGTTCAAGAACAGCCTGGGTAACAGTGTGAGATAGATAGATAGATAGATAGATAGATAGATAGATAGATAGATAGATAGATAGATAGATAGATAGATAGACAGACAGACAGACAGACAGGATGTCATTTGTTTATATCATTTAATTATAAGTGTTCATGGGCTGTACCATATAATACTGTTAAGATGACACTACTCTTAAATTTGAACTGCATATCATAATCCCTGGTGGCTTTTGGCGCAAACACAAAACTGATCCTGTGGAAAATACAAGGTACCTAGAGGAGCCAAAATAACTTTGCAAAAAAGGAACCAAGGTGAAAAAAATCATACTAACCAGTCTCAAAACTTACTACAAAGTTACACTAATTAAAATATGGTAGCACTACAACGACAGACATATATCTAAACTAGAACTTGAGTCCAGAAAAAACTAAAAAAAAATTTTTTTTTTAAATTATTGCACTTTAAGTTCTGGGATACATGTGCAGAAGGTGCAGGTCTCTTACACAGGTATACATGTGCCATGGTGGATTGCTGCACCCATCAACCCATCATCTACATTAGGTATTTCTCCTAATGGTATCCTTCACCTACCCAACCCCTGCCAATTCCCTGACAGACCCCAGTATGTGATGTTCCCCTCCCTGTGTCCATTTGTTCTCGTTGTTCAACTACCATTTATGAGTGAGAACATGTGGTGTTTGGTTTTCTCTTCTTGTGTTAGCTTGCCGAGAATGATGAAAACCTTTAACATTTATGGTAAGTCTGAGGAACTGTCAGAGCCAAAAGGAGCCTAAAAGAAAGACATGAGAAGTAATAATGCTATATTCAGGATGGGATCCAAAACAAAAAAAAATTAGGTAAAAACTCCAGAAATCTGAATAAAGAATGAACTTTACTTAATGCTAATTCATCAATATTGCATAATAAACTTTAACAACACATGTACCAGATTAATATAAGATGTTATCAATAGGGGATTATGTATAGACACACTGTGGTATCTTTGAAATAATCTTGCAAAGCTAGAACTGTCAATAAAAAATAAAGTTTACTTTGAAAAAATGAAGATAATGATTAAAAGTGATGAAAAACATCGACTAATATGTCTTAAAAAGCTTGGTTAAATTCTGAGCAGAAAAAGTACAAGGAGATCAGAAAATGGTGGAATAGAAAGTCCTCTGTTCACATACCCCATAGCAGCAATAACTTGGCAATGATTCACAAGCGAAAGTGGCTTTGTGGGAGCTTTGAATTACAGGTAGAAGACAGCAAAACTCTGAGACTAAGAACTGTTTTGCAAAAGCAGGCCCGTGCCCAGGTGGCAGTTTTGCCAACAAGGTCCCCAGCTATAGTCCTATCACCCTGTAGCCTCAGTCATAACAACACTGAATAGCAACGATCCAGACACTATACCAAGGGACACAGATGCCACACCATGCCTTGGGTAATGTACTGTAGTTTTATTTTCTTTTATTATATACCTACAAGTGGAATTGTTTGACAAGATAGTAACTTTGTGAAAAGCTGCTAGGTTGTTTTCTAGAGTGGTTGCATCATTTTACATTCCCATGTCAACATTTAAAGATCTGTTTCTCTATATCCTAGCCAACACTTGCTGTCTTTTAAAAAATTTTTATAATCCTAGAAAATATGAAGTGGTCTGCAGTTTCGATTCTCATTGTATTCATGACTAATGTTTGAACAGCTTTTTGTTTATTGGCCATTTGTAAATGTTTATTTTTGAACAAATGTCTATTCTGATTATTTTTCTTCTGTTATTTCTTGAGTTGCAAGAGTTTTAAAATATATATGTCTGGTTATTTGATCCTTACATGATTTGCAGATGTTTTCTTATTCTTTTGAGTTGTCTTTTCAGTTTTGATAGCATTCTTTGAAGCACCATAGATTTAAGTTTTGATGGATTCCATCAAAATTCGTCCAGAATACACAAATATATAGAAACAGAAATGAAATTAATGACTGCTTAGTGCCACGTTAATGGAGGGAAACAGAAGGGTACAGTGTTTTATTTTAATATCATGAAAATGTTTCAAAATTAATTGTGATGGTTGGACAACTCTATGAATACATTAACAATTACTGAATTGTACACTTTAAATGAGTGAATTCTAAGCTATATATGTATTATACGTCCATAATGTTTTACCAAAAAATAATAAATCAAAATAAATGCTTATCAATATATGTTTTGGAACTAAGTAGATTTCATTTTTAATTACATTTCTTTCCCACTCAAGTAATTCATGAAAGCCAGAAATAATTTTATTTATATTAGGAATCAACACATGGCCTTTCAAAGTCTGTGACTAAAACAGGACTTTCCCTTTATCCACATTGTACTATCTATGGCTAATCCTCATAGCAGTTACAACTAACAGTAGTATCATACATCCTATGACAAGATAAATGTATTTTGAGTATGATCTGCCATAAAGGAAATAAAAACTGGCATTGAAAATTTGTACCAACCTTCCAGTAGTCAGCCTGTAAACTGTAATATCTCTGATATGCAGATAATGCTGGAAAAGAAAAAATAATTATTAGCCAAATCATATCCCATTTAAAAATCCACTGTAAGACATTAAATTGATATTTTAATATAAGCTGCCAAACATGCCCATCTGTTAACAAACAATAAAAATGAAATAACCTAAATTTTATGGCTTACTAATTTAATCAGGTATATAAAACCATGATCGAATCTCACCCATGTACTCAAACCAACATAGTATCTTAGCAATTACTTGAATCAATTTGACCTCCTTCAGGGACCAAAAGTAATGGCAATCTTCTAGAGGTATTCCCTACTATGATAAAGTTTTCTAATTTTTCTTAACATGCAATTCACTTTCTAGAAAGATAAAAATTCAGTCACCTAAGGCACAAAATAACTTTGTGATGCTTCCCTTTGCACAATCAGTAGACTACTATTATCTATAGTTTAATTCCAAGTTAGGATGCCTTATGCCCTAAAACCTATCTAAAAGCAAAAAGAGTACTCAAATCATATAAAGTAGTTGTTCCTGACAGCCTAAAAAAAGGCACATAAAATAAAACCACAAAATAAAAACATAAAAAAGAAGTCGTATAAGCACATTAGAATTAGTGGAAACATTAATAATGACAAAACTAGGAAAACTCATCACTTTATCCAATCAACTCAGAATCTCTGAAAAACAGCTAAGCAATGATTATATTCCTGGGGATAGGCTTTCAGGATAAATTATAGCACTGAATATCACCCAAAGTCAAAAATAAATTGAAAAAAATGAAAAAAAATTAACTGAAAATAGCAGAATGCCAAAAGTGGCAGATTGAACATATTGTTATATGCGGAGGATTCTGTCTTGAACAATCATTTTTAGAAATTTCAGAGATTTTTACAATAAAAATGTAAACGTTAGCTGAAATGCTTCCACTGAATTTAGCTACAAAAAGTTAAGGTGTGGGGGTAAGCCTATTGAGGAAATCTTGCTTTTTTCAAACAATCATAAAAATGACAAGACAGAATTTTAAAAGAACCAAATTTAATGCTCAACAGACAGTAGCATATATAAGAATCATCTCACGATATAGGCTACATTTCTATAACTAAAATATTTACTTTCAAAACGAAAAAGTGTAAAGGAGTGACATCCAAAAAAGTAGCCTGAAAAGATCCATAGACACTTTCTCAAGAAAAGCAGACTTAAAGTCTCTCTATAGCTGTCTTAAGGGTACTATTCAAATGGAGAAAATTTTACTAAGAAAATAAACTAAGTTCTCAGCAAAAAACAGTGAAAATCTATCGTATTGTAGCCTGAACTAATTCTTTCTGACACCATTCCTACTGTACCCCAGCTCAGTAAGATAGGACCACTAGACCCACCAAAATGAAGTGTTCTTTCTTGCACAAGCTCCTGTTTTAGGGCTAGGCTAACACCTCAACAGATGTAGGCTACCAACATTTCCCCTACTCAGCTCAGTATTGCAGAAACTATATTAAAAACAAGCATGGCCAGGCGCAGTTGCTCACGCCTGTAATCCCAACACTTCAGGGGGCTGAGGCAGGTGGATCACGAGGTCAGAAGATGGAGACCATCCTGACTAACACAGTGAAACCCCATCTCTACTAAAAATGCAAAAACTTAGCCGGGCGTGGTGGCACGTGCCTGTACTCCCAGCTACTCGGGACGCTGAGGCAGGAGAATCACTTGAACCTGGGAGGCGGACACTGCAGTGAGCCAAGTTCGTGCCACTGCACTTCAGCCTGGATGACAAAGCGAGACTCTGTCTGAAAAAAAAAAAAAAAAAGGGCAAATGACAAGACGAGAGGCTGCTTTGCTCTCCCATGCCCAGAATGGCTAACTGAAAACTCTAATCCAGTTGCAACAGACCACGAAAGTACTGATGCCCAACAGCCCTTGACCCAAATAACTCTGGGTAGACTCCATGTAAGAGAGGCAAGCAGACTAAAGACTATAGCTCCTGCCCAGTACCTGCTCCTAAAACACAGGGATCATTTCAAGAATAGTGGCCATTATCTCAGGCTCCAGCCCTTGAAGAGCAAAGGTTCAACTCTAGTGGAAAAAATAGTCTTAAGATCATGGAATGCAGTAATTGCTCTTCTAGTGTGAATTTATACAGAAAGCATTTGGGGTTGTTCAAACCCATAGAAAACATGTAGATTTTTACAGTTAAGTGTCTAGTAGCTCCAAAATAGCAAGTATCTAAACTGCAGACTGGCTAGAAGTTTTACAGAGAGAAACGGAGAGAAAGAATCTCCTGGGTTAGTAAAGTCCTGGAAGATAGACCTCAAAAAGCGTTGCGCAAATGAGTAATGCAGGATACCCTTCAGCATAAACACTACAAGTAACAACTGTCAGAAAAAAAAAGAACGGAAAAAGGAACAGAAAGCCTGAGGAATACCATAGTGGTAAATTCCCACCAATTTACAGGTTATGTTTTTCCCTTTCATCCTACATTTGAAACTGAAGAAGCCACCATTCCAGAAGCATCAAAAAGAATGAAGGAGGGCAGGGTGGTACTAATCTCCCTAATCAAAGGAAAATGGCAATCCAGCAGGACAGAAAACTTAGAACGGGATCTGTGTACTGTAAACAGTACAGAAAAAAGTTCCCTCAAACCACCTACTCTACACAAAGGCCAAGTAGAAAGCACAGACATCTATCATATATCAGGCTACCTATTGCATTAATGTGAGAGGAAGCCAAGTAGGGAGCAAGAAAAGAATTTATCTGATGGCTGGTAGTGAGGCTTACATGTCCTCTGATGAAGGTAGCCTAGATTTCACACTCACGTGGCAGAAACAAGCTGTCTGCACGTTAGTGGAGTGAGAGCACCCCAGTGGAAGTCAGGATTTTAACCACTGGCCAGTAATAAGGAAGACTGGAATAATAATGGAAACCATGTGGGAAGCCAAAATTCTCATTTCAGTTCAACATTAGCAAAAAGCCTAACTCAGTAATCTGAACTTTAACATTCACCTAGCAGTAAGAGACAGCAATACCGTTTACTGTAGATTAACGTAAGATCCACCAGCCAGGTGCAGTGGCTCATACCTGTAATCCCAGTACTTTTGGGGGCCGAGGTGGGTGGATCACTTAAGGTCAGGGGTTCCAGACCAGCCTGGCCTATTAGCATAGGGAAACTCCATCTCTACTAAAACTACAAAAATTAGTGAGGTATGGTGGCACATACCTGTAGTTTCAGCTACTTGAGAGGCTGAGGCATGAGAATCACTTGAACCCATGAGGCGGACGCTGCAGTGAGCTGAGATAGCACTACTGCTGGGCAACAGAGTGAGACTCTGTCTGACAGCGTTAACATAAAAACTTCCAAGATCCAGTCAAAAATCATTCACCATATCAAAAAAAAGAAGTATACCACAATGAATGAAAAAGATGGGAGAAATGTTTGAATATATGATAAAAATTTTTAAACTGGAATAAAAGTGCTTCAAAGAACAATGAAAAAAGGAAAAATTGAAAGTCACAGTAAAGAAACAGAAGCTATAAAAGGCAAACCAATGTAAACTTTAGAACTTATAAATGAAATACTCAAAATAAAGAGCTCAGCTCATAGCCTTGGTGGCACAATGCACACAGAAACATCATTAAACTAGAATACAGAAAGATAAAAAACTATTCAATCCAAACTAACAAGAAAAAATAAACTAAGGCAAGAGAAAGAATGGAGGCTCAGGGATTAGTAGGTTATTAACCAGAGATCTAAGTGTCATCACACTCCACAAGGAATGAAGAAAGAACCAGACGTAAATGTACTTAAAAGATAGGTATGAAATTTATCCAAATGTGAGTGAAAAAGAGATGTGGATGCTAGCCACAACAAAGCCCCTACATCCTTCAAGGGTCCTCAGACTAACGGGACTTCCTGGAGATCAAGCAAAGGCATTGCTCCAGAGAGAGAGGTCACTTTCGGACCAGTGCACTGCTAGAGCACTAAGCAATGGCAAGTAGCTAAAACAATTGTGAAGAGCAATAAACTCCGATGACTCACACTTCCCAGTATCAAAACTTCCTACAAAGCTATTATAATCAAAACAGTACAGCTAACATAAGGATAGAAATAGAGACCAATGGTAGAATAGAGCTGAGAACCTGAAAATAATCTTTACATATATGATCAATTGATTTTTTCACAGAATGCCTAGTTCACTCTTGAAAGGGCAGTTCAATTTTCTCATGCAAAAGAATGAGGCTGGTCCCCCAACTCACATAATATACTAAATGTAATTAATTCTTTATTAAATATAAGAAGTAAAACCAAAGAAATCTGAAAGAAAATATAAAGATTCTTCATGTTCATGAACACAGCAACAGAGAGGACACCAAAAGCATGAGCAACTAAAGATGAACTGAACTTGATCTAAATTAGAAACTTCTGTGCAAAGCACATTGTTAATAAAATGAAACAAAAACCTATACGATGGGGGAAAATATTTGCAAATCATATGTTTAATCAAACTTTATTTTCGAGAATATACAAAAAACTCCTAAAACTCAGTAACAAAAAGACAAGTAGCTCAACTAAAAAAATACATAAAGAATCCGAACAGATATTTCTCCAAAGATACATAAATGGCCTATGAACACCTGAAAAGATACTCAACATTGTTAGTCATTAGGGAAATAATGCAAATCAAAACCTCTATGAGACTATCACTTCACACTGTAATAGTTACAATGGGAGGTGTGGGGAAATAGTAAAAAACAAGTGTTGGCAAAAAACTGGAAGTCTCCTCCTTCAATGGCAAGATAGTAATAATGGGTACAGCATCTGTGGAAAACAGGTTTTCTTAAAAAAAATTACTGCTTTTTCAGTAATAAAAATAGCAATTTCACTCCCAGCTAACTTGTCAGAAGAATTGAACGCCGGGTGCAGTGGCTCATGCCTGTAATCCCAACACTTTGGGAGGCCGAGGCGGCTGGATCACCTGAGGTCAGGAGTTCGAGACCAGCCTGGCCAACATGGCGAAACCCTGTCTCTACCAAAAAAAAAAAAAAAATAGAAAAATAAAATAAAAAAAGGCAAAAATTGGCTGGGTGTGCTGGCACGTGCCCATAATCCCAGCTACTCAGGAGGCTGAGGCAAGAGAATTGCTTGAACCTGGGAGGCAAAGGCTGCTGTGAGCCAAGATCACGTCACTGCACTCCAGCCTAGGTAACAACTACAACAACAACAAAAAACAACTAAAAGTGGGACTCAAACAGATGTCTGTATACTAATTTTCATAGCATATTCCCAACAGCCAAAAGATAGGAAAAAAAACCAAAGCATTCATCCAAGATGAACAGTAAACTGTGGCATACACATACAATAAAATATTATTCAGTAATAAAAAGGAACATAGTAGTAATACATGCTGCAATATAAATGAACCCTGAAAACATTTTGCTGAGTAAAAACAGCTGACATATACAATATGATATCATTTATATATCAATAACAGGCAATCCACAGAGACAGAAGATAGGCTAGTGACTGCAAGGACCTAACTGAAGAAAGGAAGAAAGAGGAGTGACCACTAAAATAACATTTCAATGAAAGAAATATACACATTGTAAACTCGTTGAAGAAAATAAACAGGCAGGGCATGGTGGTTAACGCCTACAATCCTAGCACTTACGGAGGCCAAGGTGGGCAGATCACCTGAGACCAGGAGTTCGAGACTGGCCTAGACAACATGGCAAAACCCTGTCTCTACTAAAAATACAAAATTAGCCAGGCATGGTGGTAGGTGCCTATAATCTCAGCTACTCAAGAGGCTGAGGCAGGACAATCACCCGAACCCAAGTGGCCGAGGTTGCAGTGAGTCAGATCACACCACTTCATTCCAGCCTGGGCGTCAAAAGCAACACTGTCTCAGGAAAAAAAAAAAAAAAAAAAAAAGCCTTAAAAACAAATGAAATTCTAATACATATTATATGAATGACTAAATTAAACACATGCCAGGTAAAAGAATCCAGACACAAAAGGAACAATAATGCATTATTCCACTTATAACTTACCAAGGGAAGATACGTTCATACAGATCAAGGTGTAATGCAGGCAAACAAGGGCTGAGTGTGGTGAATAGGAATTTATAGCTGAATGGCTACAGAGTTTTGTTGGTATGATTAAAGAAAAGTTTTCGAAGAGTGGTGATGGCTATGAGGTACTTACTGCTAAAGAAATTTAACACTTAAAAGTTATTTAAATGGCAAATTGTGTTATATATATTTTAACACAAAACTTTAAAAAAAATGAAAAATGATTTTTTCTGGAATAAGTAAAGATCTCTCCCTGGAAGAGATGGGAAAATTCAAAGATCAGAAAGACTATCCATAATCACAGACTATCATGTGCTAAAGCATATGAACAATAAAATTTTAGAGTAAGGGTAAGAATAACAGATTTTCTAAATTATCACCAAAACACTTCCAACACGAAGGACATGAGATGCTGATTCACAAGGACACATAACAGATTAAAATAGGCCTATTCTAAAACATATCAATTTGAAACTCTGGAAAAATAGTTCTATATTCCCAGTTTTTAGAAAATTAGTATTTTCCTAAGTCTTCAACATCCCCACAGCCTGTGACCATCTAACCCAAATGACCAGGTCCATCAATAGGATAAGGATAGTCCCTGCCAAGTTGACCTTCTTGCCTTTCCCTGATTATGATCTAGAAAAATCCAAAGACATCAGTAAAATTCTCTCTAGACTTTTGCTTGAGTATTCTGTCCTGACCCCTAATAGAGGAGTTCCACTTTCTCTCAGCTCCTGATGTGCTGGGTGAGGCCATTCTCTGGGAGTTCCACCTAGATGACCCCTTGTGTGGGGTGTCAGGCCTCCTTCTTCTAGAACCTGTGAGTATAACAAATCCTTTAATCTCATTTGCCTCATCAAGTATAATCTCCACAGCCATATTGGAATGAGCCTTAGTGACCCCAAAAAGACCACTTACTCCTCTATTTACAACATAAGGACAAAGACTTCCAGGGGTAGGGCACTAAGCAACAGGTCACATGAAAAAAATTGTTATTAAGGAGCTTCAGACTCCATACCAGCAATTCTAGGACCAAGAAAATGGAAAACTACTTCCAAAATTATATTTTTAAAAAACTATTTCCATCCTAGATTTAAATATTTATACTATTAATTTACAGTTGCAAGGGTAAAAGAAAGATATTTCACACAAACATATATGTGAAGTCTCAAAACAACATTATATCTCATGAATCTTTCCTTAAGAAGCTACTAAAGAATGTGCTCATCTAGAAAATACTATACACTGGCTGGGCATGGAGGCTCACACCTATAATCCCAGCACTCTGAGAACAAGGCAGGTATGGATTACTCAAGTTCAAGAGTTCAAAGCCAGCCTCAGGTAATGAAACTGTTTCTTGAAAAAAAACACAAAAATTAGCCAGCCATGGTGACTTGCACCTGTAGTTCCAGCTACCTGGGCAGCTGAAGTGGAAAAATGGCTTCAGCCACAAAGATGGAGGTTGCAGTGAGTCAACACTGAGCCAGTGCACCCCCACCTGGACGACAGAGCAAGAATCTGTCTCTAAAAATAATGAAAAACAATTATATACCAACAAAAAAGATACGTGATAAAGAAAACAGCAGTACCAGAACAAAGAAAAAAGGTTCAAAAATGGCATCTATGTCCCAGATAGAATTTAGGAATACCATGACTCAGGACATATGCATACTGATGTCTACCAACATCTGCTGTTCCTGTATTTCTTTATCTGAAAAATGTCCAGTTAAACTTGGTTTTGATTATTATATGTGCAAACCTATTTTTTTAAACCACCTCTACTATCCTTTTCACACACTATAAACTAGATGACTAGAAGGCCATCTCACTCCCCTTAGAAGTGTTCTAACATGACCATCATTTGAATTGTCCACTCTCTCCCTCATCTTATTTCCTCACAAATTTCTAGTACCTGGAACATATAAGAGCCTAGTCAGAAACACTAATTGTAAGAAGTATGTTGTCCTAAAGTCTGTTTCTAAAAATCAGTTTTATTTATGCTGGGGTATTCAGTTTTTCAAAACTAAACAATATCCAATTATTTATAAGTTGTTGAAGAAAACAACAAAATTTCAAGGAATCTATAAAATCTACTCCTAGAACTAGCATGAATTTAGTAAGCTCTTATGATACAAAGTCAATTTTAAAACTCAACTATTATTTCTTATATAGTACTAACAATAAACAACTATATATAAAAATTTAGCACCAAAATTTTAAATATTTAGATCTTAGTATAAGAATATATTTAATAAGACATGCAGGATCTGTATGTTGAAACTGTCAAAACAAGAAATTAAAGCACAAAACAATTGAAAAGTTATTTCATTTACATGAATTAAAAGAATTACTATAGATAAGATGAACATCCTTCCTAAAATAATTAATAAACTCAACAAAATCCAAATGAACCCCCAAGAACTGGCTTGTCTATACCTGTAAAAAAGTACTCCCTTGAGTGCAGGCTATTGATAGTGACTTTCTTCCAGACAATATGATATGCAAAGAAGCAAAAACAGTAACTTCACAGTGGAGAAACCTAACAAACATGCCTCAGCCAGTGAATAACATTAACATTGCTAAGTCATGTTGACAGTATATGTCTCTGATATGATGTGATAAAAATGCACTTTATTTTTGTAATTTTCCCCCTAAAAAAATGATAATCCTAATTTAATCATGAGAAATACAACACATGATCCCTGTTCAGGGACATGCTACAAAATACCTGACCAATACTCCTGAGTACTATTAACATCATCAAAAATAAGGAAAGCCTGAGAAAGTGGCAACAGACAAGATCATAAGGAGACATGACAACTAAATGAAATGAGCTATCCTAGTCGGAACTCTGAAAGAGAAAAAGGACAATAGGGAAAAACTCTTAAGAAGAATTTGAATAGAGACTTTAGTTAATGTATCAATACTGCTTCATAATACTGTGACAGATCTATCATCCTAGTGGAAGAGGCTAAGAGGGAAACGGAGTATACATAGAAACTCTCTAATAACTTGTAAAATGTAGTATACACTTGACCATGTCTATAAAAAGTAAAAACATTATTGGACATTTAGGTTGGTTCCAGGTCTTTGCTATTGTGAATAGTGCCGATATAAACATATGTGTGCATGTGTCTTTATAGCAGCATGATTTATAATCCTTTGGGTATATACCCAGTAATGGGATGGCTGGGTCAAATGGTATTTCTAGTTCTAGATCCCTGAGGAATCGCCACACTGACTTCCACAATGGTTGAACTAGTTTACAGTCCCACCAACAGTGTAAAAGTGTTCCTATTTCTCCCCATCCTCTCCAGCACCTGTTGTTTCCTGACTTTTTAATGATCGCCATTCTAACTGGTGTGAGATGGTATCTCATTGTGGTTTTGATTTGCATTTCTCTGATGGCCAGTGATGATGAGCATTTTTTCATGCATTTTTTGGCTGCATAAATGTCTTCTTTTGAGAAGTGTCTGTTCACGTCCTTTGCCCACTTTTTGATGGGGTTGTTTGTTTTTTTCTTGTAAATTTGTTTGAGTTCATTGTAGATTCTGGATATTAGCCCTTTGTCAGATGAGTAGTTTGCAAAAATTTTCTCCCATTCTGTAGGTGGCCTGTTCATTCTGATGGTAGTTTCTTTTGCTGTGCAGAAGCTCTTTAGTTCAAATGTCCAACAAGGATAGACTGGATTAAGAAAATGTGGCACATACGCACCATGGAATACTATGCAGCCATAAAAAATGATGAGTTCATGTCCTTTGTAGGGACATGGATGAAGCTGGAAACCATCATTCTCAGCAAACTATCGCAAGGACAAAAAACCAAACATCGCATATTCTCACTCATAGGTGGGAATTGAACCATGAGAACACATGGACACAGGAAGGGGAACATCACACTCTGGGGACTGTTGTGGGGTGGGGGTAGGGATAGCATTAGGAGATATACCTAATGCTAAATGACGAGTTAAGTGATGCAGCACATCAACATGGCACACGTATACATATGTAACAAACCTGCATGTTGTGCACATGTACCCTAAAACTTAAAGTATAATAATAATAAAATTTAAAAAAAAGTAAAAACGTTACAATCATTCTGTCAACCATTGTCCTAGATAAAGGCATTAGGAGAGTACTAGGTCAGCCTCCATTTGCAACCTATAAAGTTTAAAATTCATATTCAGAATTTATGAGGAATTTATTTACCTCTTATACATGTACACCTAATGTACTTAAGCTTACCTGTTATATTTTCAGCCATTTAAGCAAGTTCTCAAGAATCAGTCTATTACATCAGTCCCTGGGATCTTATCATTTAAAAAATCTTAACATTTTATGTCTTCTAAATAGGTTATTAAAATTAATAACTATTACCAATCTCCTTCATTATAGTTTCTCTGTCGAATTTACCTTATCCAAAGCATTGTCCTTATTTTTAATAGGTAAGTCAAGTACTGACCTATGGATAAAATTCCTAATCCTACTATAACCAGACTTTTCTGAAGTCTTAAACACAGGATGGGGCAAGAGTGTGAGGATCATTTATTTTGATTTCTTTATACTACACCATGTCTGTTTCATAATAATTGCAGTAATCGTCTGACTGATTTTTCTCTTGGTAAACCAAAATTCACGCACTCTTTATTATGTGCTTCTTGGGTCCTCAGTGGCTGAAGTTGTCCTTGTTCATCCCACTATGAAACCTTTTAATATTATTATAGGCAAGATCATTGTTTTCCTTTACCACTTACAAAAATGGTTTAACAACCATTTCAACATCAACCCCTTGATGAATGCCCAAAACTTAAGTTTTATCAATCCCTGAACCCAATTTTAGTCTTAAACAGCCTTCTAATTATTTTTAATATTTGTTTTGTATTTAAATCTATTCATTTTAGTCTGTTATCAGCTTAAATCCCTAATTTCTTGTATTTAAATCTATTCATTTTAGTCTGTTATAAGCTTAAATCCCTAATTTCCTTAAAAGTATTCCTAAGTACCTGAAATTCACTGTTTCATTAAAGCCAGAGAACATAAAACTCATTTGTTAATCACAGATTAAATACACAAACATACTTCTTAAAAGTATTAAAATGACTGCCAAGAACCAACAATATATTTATATAAAGAAAAAAATTCAAGAGCAAATAATGAAAGTTAACTATTAAAAAAACACTTCAGAGTTCTATAACCCCTACCATATTTTTATCTTTAACATAATAGAAATACAAGGAGAAAAAGAAGTGGAAAAGGTGCCATGTCATTTTTTCTTTAACCTCATGACCTTGCTTCACTTCTTTTAAATAAAAAAATGGGGTCGGGCACATTGGCTCACACCTGTAATCCCAACACTTCGGGAGGTCAGGATGGCAGACTGCTTGATCTCGGAAGTTCAAGACCAGTGTGGGCAATATGGCAAAACCCCATCTCCACAAAGAATACAAAAAATATCCTGGCATGGTGGCGCACGCCTGTAGCCCCAGCTACTCAGATGGCTGATGTGGGAGGACTGCTTGAGCTGGGGAAGCGGAGATAGCAGTTAGCCATTATTGTGCCACCACACTCCAGACTGGACGACAGAGCCAAACCTTGTCTCAAGAAGAAAAAAAAATGAGGGTGAGGGGTGTAAAGAGATGTTGGTCAAAGGAAACAAAATTTTAGTAAGATAGCATAAGTTCAAGGGATCTACTATAAAACATAGTAACTATATTCATATTATATATCTTGAAAATTGCAGAGAGTAAATTTTAAATGTTCTTAACACCAAAATAAATAGAAATTTGTGAAGTAATGCAAATGTTAGTTTCTACAATGTACACATATTTCAAAACGAGATGTTGTACACGAGAAAGATACATAATTTTTATGTCATTTTACAAATAATTTTTTAAAGGGGAAATACAAACTTTACAAAAGGTCCTGACTACTGTATACATACTAGAACAAAAAAATTTATGACAACTTCTCCCATTTTTATGAGTTTTAAGGATTTGTAAGAATTTTCTTAGAAATGAAAACAGAAGCAATTGTCAAAGAACAAAAAAGAAGGAAGGAAAGGAAGAAAGAGAAGGAAGGAGAGAAAGGAAAGAGAAGGAAAAGAAGGGAAATGAGGGAAGGAGGGTGGAAAGGAGGGAGGGAGCGAAAGAAGGAGGGGAAAGGACAGGGTGGGGGGCGCGGGAAGGAGAGTGGAAGAGAAATTAGTAATATAAACTACAATCCAATGGTACAAATAATACTAAGCAGTGATAGGAATTCAAGAACATAGTTACTCTCATACATACTGATATGCAAATATAAATCAATAAAGCCTTTCAAGAGGACAATCTAGCATTAAGCATTCAAAAGTTCATTTAAAAACAAGAGTATTTGTGTGTGTGTATTCCTCGCTTCCATGATGCCGGTAATGGATATATAACAGCAATTATTGGCACATAAAAATTTTCACTAGGCTTGTCAACAGTGATTATTTTAAAAGCATAAAAAGAAACAAAGAGACTAAAATGCTCAGTAAGAAAATGTTTTCTAGTTTTAAGAAGAGTCTCACTCTGTTGCCCAAGCTGGAGTGCAATGGCACCATCTCAGCTCACCTCCGCCTCCTGGGTTCAAGAGATTCTCCTGTCTCAATGGGTTCAAGAGATTCTCGTCTCAGTCCCAGAGAAGCTGGGATTACAGGTGTGCGCCACCGCACCCTGCTAGTTTTTGTTATTTTTAGTAGAGACGAGGTTTACCATATTGGCCAGGCTGGTCTCAAACTCCCGACCTCAGGTGATCTGCCTAACTTGGCCTCCCGAAGTCCTGGAATTACAGGCATGAGCCACCATGCCCAGCCGAGAAAATGTTTAACTTAAGTAATGGAATAAGGGGTTACAAATGTTTTAAAATTGTATATGCAGGCTATAAATTTCAGGTATTTTGGCACGATATTATTAGTATACTCTATTGACTTTAAGTTACAAACTGGTATGCAGAGTAAAAAACACATTTTAAATTCTGAAATGTTTATATTGACACAATAGTCTATTAGGAGTTTTATCAAAAGTTTTAACAGTTGTCTCTTGGTGGCAAATGTATTACTGAAGCCTTCGTAGAATTTTTCTTAAATACTGTGAGTCACCAAGCTCAATGCAGTAAATACAGATGTAAACAAAACACAAAGCAATAATTTATCTTTTTAGTTATCTGAACACTGGTTTTTTTGATGTTTCTTTTATTGAGATGAAATCCACATAACATACAATTAGCAATTTTAGAGTGTACAATTCAGTGGCATTTAGTATATTCTCAATGTTGTGCAGCCACCACCACTCTCTATTTTCAAGTTTTTTTGTTACTCCAGAAGTACACACTATAATTCTCTGGCAATCATTAATCTACTCTGTCTCTAAGGATTTACCTATTCTGAATATTTTATATAAAATAAGTCAAAAAACACGGGATTCTGTGTCTGGCTCCTTTCACTTAGCATAATGTCTTTAAGGGACATGCAGGTTGTAGCAGGTATCAGTACTCCATTCCTTTTTATGGCTGAGTAATATTCCGTTGTCTGTATATACTACAGCTTGTTTACATAGTCATGGACATTTGAGTTGTTTCCACCTTTTGGCTACTTGAATCAAGTTGCTATGGGCATTCATGAACAAGTGTTTGTTTGAGTGGTTTGTTTTGTTTCAATTATTTAGGGGTGTATACCTCAGAGTAGCATTTCTGGTTCATTGGTAATTCTGTGAAGTTTTTGAGGATATATACATATATATATATATATGTACATATTTTTATTATACTTTAAGTTCTGGGGTACATGTGCACAATGTGCAGGTTTGTTACATATGTATACATGTGCTATGTTGGTGTGCTGCACCCATTAACTCGTCATTTACATTAGGTATATCTCCTAATGCTATTCCTCCCCCCTCCCCCCAACCCCACAACAGGCCCTGGTGTGTAATGTTCCCTTTCCTGTGTCCAAGTGTTCTCATTGTTTAATTCCCACCTATGAGTGAGAACGCCCAGTGTTTGTTTTTTTGTCCCTCCAATAGTTTGCTGAAATGATAGTTTCCAGCTTCATCCATGTCCCTACAAAGGACATGAACTCATCCTTTTTTATGGCTGCATAGTATTCCACGGTGTATATGTGCCACATTTTCTTAATCCAGTCTATCATTGATGGGCATTTGGGTTGGTTCCAAGTCTTTGCTATTGTGAATAGTGCCTCAATAATCTTACATATGCATGTGTCTTTACAACAGCATGATTTATAATCCTTTGGGCATATACTCAGTAATGGGATGGCTGGGTCAAATCCTATTTCTAGTTCCAGATCCTTGAGGAATCATCACACTGTCTTCCACAATGGTTGAACTAGTTTACAGTTCCACCAACAGTGTATAAGTTTTCCTATTTCTCCATATCCTCTCCAGCACCTGTTGACATTACTAAAATAACATTCTCATCAAGGTCATCAGGGTCTCAGAACTGGCTACATACAACCTCCAAGAAAGTTTCGTTCTTTCTGTTTTTGCAATGTGTTCTGCCACAAATTCATCAGTTCTCAAAGCTAACAGAACTTTTACTAGTTGCCCAATGCATCAATTCCATAGTTCTGAGAGCATGGGCATGAATGTCTGAAAACCTGAGGTATGATCACTAATATGCTATTCTCTGAACTTCTCAATTGCATTTTCCTCCTTGAATAAATCAGACTAAATTAGTGACACCACAAATTGTGATCATTGAGAAATCTCTAAAGGTTTTTCAGAAGCCGAGTAGGAAGCTATCTATGACTTTTTAAAACTCTGACTGAATTCTAAATATATTTAATTGGACATTACATGAAGACGTTGTGTATTTAACTTCTGAATGCAGGGAAGATAAATACAAAATCACCTGATGGATATGCAAAAATTTATCAGCTTTACAAAGACATATAATACCATTCTATGAGCACAAGTTTATTGCAATATTTTGTCCTTTACTGTCAACAAAAGAACACAGCCACATGATATAGGAAAAATCTATATTCTTTACAAATTTTCCATGAATCTCTAGCTAAAAGATCATATGACATATATGCAACGATTTATCAGCTTTCAGAGCTTTAATTGATATTCATTACTTGTGGGTTCTGTTATTTGACTCACGAAAATTTATATATACACAAAATCAATACTTAATGATGGTTTCAAAGATATTCACAGACCTGCTCAGGGCAGCAATAAATTCGACCCACTGGATACACACTCCCAGCTAATGTTAGAAGCGGTGGGCCTTTCTCTGACTTCATGTGTCAAGTATTCTAAACAAACAGGCTTTTCCTGCTGTATGCAGTGTCACATTTTTCTGATTTTTGCTCTTTTGTTAGTAATTTCGCTGTTTAAAATCACTATCCAGCTGGGTGCAGTGGCTCACACCTGTAATCCCAGCACTCTGAGAGGCCAAAGCAGGCGTATCACTTGAGGTCAGAAGTTTAAGACCAGCTTGGCCAACATGGTGAGACCCCATCTCTATTAAAAATATAAAAATTAGCTGGGTGTGGTGGCACATACCTGTAATCCCAGCTCCTAGGGAGGCTGAGGCACAAGAATCCCTTGAACCCAAGAATCGCTTGAACCCAGGAGACATAGGTTGCAGTAAGCCAAGATCGCACCACTGCACACCAGCCTCGTTGACAGAGTGAGATTGTGTTTCAAAAAATAAAGCTGAGTGCAGTGGCTCACACCTGTAATCCCAGCACTTGGGAGGCCAAGGCGGGTGGATCATGAGGTCAGGAGATCAAGACCATCCTGGCTAACACGGTGAAACCCCATCTCTACTAAAAATACAAAAAAATTGCCAGGCGTGGTGGCGGGCACCTGCAGTCCCAGCTACTTGGGAGGCTGAGGCAGGAGGCTGAGGCTGAGACAGATGAACCCGGGAGGTGGAGGTGGCAGTGAGCCGAGATCACGTCACAGCACTCCAGCCTGGGTGACAGTGAGACCCTGTCTCAAAAAAGTAAATAAATACATAAAATAAATACATAAAAAATAATAAAATACAATATAAAATAACAAAATAAAATGAAACATTAAGAAGTATACAAAATCACTAACCGATGTATAGTGCTGAAGAGCTGTCTGATGTCCCTAAGTACAAAAAGAACGTCATGTGCCAATGTGCCTAAATACAAAAAGAATGTGATGTGCCTCACAGAAAAATATATTTCATTCAGGCATGAGTTATAATGCTTCTGGCTTTGAGTTCAATGATAATGAATCAACAATTTAGATTTTAGTAGGGATTTTTAAACAGAAATACACATAAAATATAGTTATGTATTGATCAGCTAACAACAATGTTGTGATCAAAGGCTAATAGGAACTTTATCCTGTATTTCCCTTTAGGAACAATAGTTCAGTATTTGCTAATTCAGTTTTCACAATGATTTATAACATTAATCTAAATGACAAGAATCTATATCCATTGTTAAGCAAATTCATTGTTTTATACAGACACACACACACACATATACTGAGTCTGAGTCTAGTAAGACAGAGAGCCTATCTCAGGCTGCTAATCTGGATAACAGAAGCCTAGTATTCATTGCAAGCTTTGGCCTAAGGCTCATGAAAGCTGCCCAAAGCATATGGAGTCTCATCTGCCCATGTCCACTTGCACCATAGCTGAGGAACCCTGAAAAGCAGCCCTAAGTTTAACACCCTGGCATTATAAGCCTTAATGAGCTAAACAGTTGAAAGAACACACCACCAGCTCTTTAGTGCACCCTGTTTCTGGTGTGGAAGGCAGTTGGGAAAAAAGGAGGCTGTTTGCTGAGTCCCTCATCATCTTAGGATGTTGTATTCCCAGTACATTCTACAGTCATTCTTGTGAACTACAAGTGAGAAAGAATGAAAACTGGGTTGGTCCAAGGCCATGCTGACTACCATACTCCATGAAACATACACTATGGTCACTAGTTTATATAAATATTCTACTTTATACTGAAAACAAACAGTATTTCCACATTACAGATTAAGAAACTGTATATTTAAGAAATTCCCTTCTCTAGGCAACAGAAAAAAGCTATAATCAAGAATCAGGAAGGGAGAGCACTGGGAAGAATAGCTAATGGATGCTGGGCTTAATACCAAGGTGATGGGTGGATCTGTGCAGCAAACAACCATGGTACATGTCTACTTATATAACAAACCTGCACATCCTGCACATGTACCCCAGAACTTAAAATAAAAGTTGAAGGAAAAAAACACCGAATTCCTTTTTTAAAAAAACAGATTTTTATATTTTCAAACTATACCAACACTTCAAATTAAAGAAACACCATCTTCAATTTAAACAGCAACACAAATAGGCTCATCCATAAATGAAATAAAACTATTATTTTTGGAGAAGCATAACTCAAAGACCTATTAGTGGGAAGCACCCATTTTATGTTCTTATACTCTATGTACCAGGACAGAGTATTATAATTTCACCCAAGAAAGTGAAAGGCAAACAAAAGAAGAAAAAGAAACATAAAGTTTGACATACATTATTAGTCATTCTTGGAGTAATAGTAAATGTACAGGAACCAAAAACACAGAGCCAAAATTTTTAACAAAAGTGGCTGTCAGTACAACAGGTAACAAATTACTTACCTGAAAGAAGAATAGAAGAGAGAAAGTTATGAATGGCTGGAATCTCAGTTAGCTTGTAATTGGAAAACTTTCAACTCAACACCAAATATAAAATATAAATGAATGTCTCTGTATTCATTTTATTTTCTTCTCTACTATTACAAGTGATCAAGTTAACCTCTACGTCTAAAAAGACTAATTCTTTTTATCTTTGAGACAGAGTGTTGCCCTGTTGCACACACTGGAGTGCAGCGGCACAATCTCAGCTCACTGCCACCTCTGCCTCCAGGGTTCAGGCAATTCTCCTGCCCCAGCCTATAGAGTAGTTGGGATTACAGGCGCATGCCACCATGCCCAGCTAATTTTTTGTATCTTTAGTAGAGACAGGGTTTCACCATTTTGGGAGGCTGGTCTTGAACTCCTGACCTCATGATCCACCTGCTTTGGCCTCCCAAAGTGCTGGGATTATAGGCGTGAGCCACTGCGCCTCACCAAAAGACTAATTCTTTTCATGCCAATATTGACCTGAGAGAACATTTAATCAAGAACTTAAATGTCAGCGTTATTCTTCTCTGACCTTAATGTATTTTGCCCAATGTCTGACCCACCATGTGCCCAAAGCACAACAAAACACAACAAAATAACCTTCAAAACAATTTCCTTGGAGTCTTTATTCACTCCACAGACAAAAATTATACAAGGTCTCTTCTCTTCTTTTTAAATAGAAAATGTGACTAAATTCTCAATCTTAAAGCTTTAAGAAATTTAAAAATACACGCCAGGAGCAATGGCTCATGCCTGTAATCCCAAAACTTTGGGAGGTCAAGGCAGGCAGATCACCTGAGGTCAGGAGTTCAAGACCAGCCTGGTCAACATGTTAAAACCCCATCTCTACTAAAAATACAAAAATTAGCTGGGAGTGGTGGCAGGCGCCTGTAATCCCAGCTACTCAGGGGAGACTGAGGCATGAGAATCACTTGAACAGGTAGGCAGAGGTTGCAATGAGTCAAGTTAGAGTTTGTGCCACTGCATTCCTGGAGACACACCAAGACTCTGTCTCAAAAAAGAAAAAAAAAAAAAAGAAATTAAAAATACATATTAAGTGACTGCTACATAGCAAAGTCAGACAGTCCCTATTTAAATCTACTTCTCAATTCAGGGTCTTTGTTTATTAGCTCTCAAGTTTGCATATTAAACACACAAAAAAAATCTTAAATGTGTACTAGAAAAACCTATGTATTTTTCTTCTCCAATTGTTTCCTTTGAAATATTACACTTTAGGCCAGGCATGGTGGCTCACACCTGTAATACGAGCACTTTGAGAGGCAGACACGGGTGGATCACTTGAGGTCAGGAGTTGGAGACCGGCCTGGCCAACATGGTGAAAACCCATCTCTATTAAAAATACAAAAATTAGCCAGTGTGGTGGCGCATGCTTGTAATTCCAGCTACTTGGCAGGCTGAGGCATGAGAATCGCTTGAACCCAGGAGGCAGAGGTTGCAGTGAGCCGACATTGTGACACTGCACTCTAGCCTGGGCAACAAAACAAGACTGTCTCAAAAAAAAAAGAAAAAGAAATATTGCATTTTAACCAAATTTTTATCTAAAAGTTTATAAATAAACATTACCAGTAAAAGTCACCTGCTAAAATAAAGCCCATTTAACAAGTGCTAAGAATTTCAGGCCGGGTGCGGTGGCTCACGCCTGTAATCCCAGCACTTTGGGAGGCTGAGGCGGGCGGATCAAGAGGTCACGAGATTGAGAACATCCTGGCTAACACTGTGAAACCCGGTATCTACTAAAAATATATAAAAAAAAATTAGCCAGGCGTGGTGGCAGGCACTTGTAGTCCCAGCTACTCAGGAGGCTGAGGCAGGAGAATGGCATGAACCTGTGAGGCGGAGCTTGCAGTGAGCCGAGATGGCGCCAGTGCACTCCAGCGTGGGTGACAGTGAGACTCCATCTCAAAAAAAAAAAGAATCCCATTTATCATTCATTGACTTCCTCTGCTACTATTCCCCAACCTACTACATTATTAGGAGGAAGAAGTTAGAGAAACTTAAATAAATCTGTTACTATAAACCATTTTTAAATGGCAAAGTTCCAGCTGAAACATTAATACCCCATAGAGCATGCTACGTCAAATTAAAAGTACATTTCATTAGTAAACACTGGCTTAACCTAACAAAAAATGAGGTACATCAGATACTCTACTGCTAAAGCACACAAGTAGTATACCCCCACCAACTCTTCCCTCTAATCCTAAAATAGTCAACTGTTCTTTCTACTACCCATATTTGCTGGAAAATATATCTACCTACTCTCTACAATATGTTTACTTATATCCAAAAGTTATAAAATATTCTTTGGTATGAGAATATTGGTGTGAAGGAAAAATGTTCTAATTTCCTAAATAAATAATGCTCTTGGTCAGTGGCTTGGTACTATGAAAAGTACACAATTTTTACAGTTATCTTAAGTAAACTTATCTCCACCTATTGCTTTTTTTTTTTTTTTTGAGACGGAGCCTTGCTCTGTTGCCTAGGCTGGAATGCAGTGGCGCAATCTCGGCTCACTGCAACCTCCGCCTCCCAGGTCCAAGCGATTCTCCTGCTCCAGTCTCACTAGTTGGGATTATAGGCACACGTCACCACACCCAGCTAATTTTTGTAATTTTAGTAGAGACGAGGTTTTTCCATGTTGGCCAGGATGGTCTTGAACTCCTAACCTCAGGTGATCTGCCCACCTTGGCCTCCCAAAGTGCTAGGATTACAGGCATGAGCCACCAGGCCCACCCCTCCACCTATTTCTGAGAAGAAAAATCATTTGACTGAATGAAAAAAATCTGCTGTATAGAAGGCTCAAACTCAAGAGATGTATTCCTTTATTCCTTTAGAGTAACACACTGCTACAGATTCCTTTAGAATAACACACTGTATTCTAACCTGTATTCCTTCAGAATAACACACTGCTACAGATCAGACTTGCAATATTTTCTAACTATAATGAAAAATTTTAAAGAAAATCGAGAAATCAAATGAGGAAATACTGTTTTCCTGATCTTTCCAAAATGTCCACGTTTGTATAATATAGACAAAGATGACAAACGTATTGTCTTTCTACTGTTAACATTTTTAAAAACTTGATTTTCACAAGGGCAAGCAAAATAGCAATACAAGTGTAGGATATTATACGTTTTACTCAATAATCTAATTGACGGCATATTTACATGAAATCACATAAAATTTTCACATCTCTATTTAGTCTAAATTCTTTCTCATTGATTACTATGTTTTTAAGTTTATCAGAAGAAAGGAAAAATCAGAAGTATCCCTGAAGAAGGAAAAAACGTTACAACTATGGGGCAAATGTAAGTCAAGCAAGAAATTTAGAAAGAGAATAACAATACCTTTTGAATAATCTTCCAACAAGAGGTTGAAGTGACCTAATTGGCAAAAGAAGTCAGACTCCACTTTTCCTTCAGCTTTTAAGATTAAAGATTCGTAGCAGCGAACAGCCTAGAAATAAAAATTATAAACATTAAGAAAAAGGCATGTCCTTCCTGGAAGAATACATACATCTGCACGAGATTCTTAAAGAAATCAAAGCAACCATAAATGTATGTCATTTCTTCCATAGGCATAGGATTAAATTCGGCATTTCAGAGAGGAAATAACTTCTCTTTAAGAATTTACTAATGAAGAAATTAGATCCCAAGGATTCTTGGTGAATTTTGAAGTCTTCAGCAGTATACCCATATTAAAAGGAGATGACAGAAGCCAAAGTAATGATGGGCTGACAGGACGACTAGATCAGTTTCATTAAAAAGGGCTAACTTGAAGATATATCTTTTGACACCAGCTGTTTAGAGGATCTGAAGTGACCTTGCTGGACAGTGGAAGTAATCACAACATGGAACTCCTTGAATAAAAATTTACTGACTTTAAAAATAATAATAATAATTATAATAGTAATTCACTAATGAAGCCAACAGTCATGATCTAAGTACTTTTCCATCTTGAAAAGATCATATGCTCAATAAAATAAACTAGGAGCTCATTAATAACTTTATATAAAAGTTACATATCTAAATTCTTATTATAATCCTTATTTCTACAACAAAACTACTCTCAAATTAAGCATTGGAGGAACATTACTGACTCTGGTAGCCATTAGCCACATGAAATTTTTAAACATTTGGAATGTGGAGAGCACAAACTGAGATGTGCTGTGTTTCAAAGATTTCACACAAACTTTGGTGGGGGAGTGGTTACGGGTTCCGATCAAATCTTTGAACTTTCAGGAGTATGCAGAAGGGAAAAACTGAATGAAAACATTACTAAAACATCAGAAAGAACAGTCTTCTGGAATTTTGCTGCAAATAGAGTTGTTACTAACCACAGATCTTGAAAAACTTAACTTCTTCTAACTACAGTCTTAACATGCAAACAGCTTGTTATTTGCAAAGGAAAAGATGCTCAGTATTTTCAAGAATAAATGAATTACTTGTAATGCAGAACAAAATGAATAAATCTGAAAGTAAGCTGAAGGAAAGGAGCAAGGCTAAAGCATAGTATATTTTTCACAATCCCACTTACATAATATTCTAGAAATGTAAACCATCTTTAGTGTCAGAAAGCAGATCAGTGATTACTTATAATTCCTGCCTCCTCTTTCTGAATTACTAAACCACTGCCTGAGTTTACTTGTACTAAGCCCCTACTGTGACAGACCCAATACGAAGTACTTTACATAAATGTTCTTCCTTACACAAAATGCAGTATCCGGAAAACAGGACTTCAAGTAATGGCAGCATGAAAACGATAGTGAATGCACTCTACAAAAAAGAAGGGGTAATCGCAGCAACTTTGGGAGGCCGAAGGCAGGTGGATCACAAGGTCAAGAGATATAGATCATCCTGGTCAACATGGTGAAACCCCGTGCCTACTAAAAATACAAAAATTAGCTGGACATGGTGGTGCGCATCTGTAGTCCCAGCTACCGGAGAGGCTGAGGCAGGACAATCACTTGAAGCCAGGAGGCAGAGGTTACAGTGAGCCAAGACTGTGCCACTGCACTCCAGCCTGACCAACAGAGTGAGACCCCGGCTCAAAAAAAAAAAAAGAGGAGGACGAAAGGGAATAAAGGCAAAACATAGGAAATTTTATTTTTTAACATTGTGCTAACATTCACAGCAGCAAAGAGTTTCACAGTTTAGTCCACAAGTACCCTCCACTCTATGCAAATTTTCTTAAAATACATATCTAAAATGTCTAATTCTCCACCAAACATTACTAGACCTGAAAACAAACAGGTAAGTGTAACCCTATTATAATAAGTCACTTTTTTCAATCAACAAAAACTTACCCAAATAAATTTATATATTGTATTCAGCAGGAACTTCAAAGTAGTTATTACAAATATACTTAATGAATTAAACAGTGGGCAAATACAGGTGATTGAGGTTGCAGTAAGCTGTCATCATGCCACTGCACTCTACCCTGGGTGACACAGCAAGACTTGAAAAAAAAGAAAAAGTGGGCAAAGGACAAGAACAGATCAAAAGAAGACACATAATAGTCAAAAAGCACATTTAAAAAATGTTCAACATCACTAATCACCAGAGAACTGCAAATCAAAACCACAATGAGATATCATCTTAACACTAGACAGAATGTCTATCATTAAAAAGATAAAAAAAAAAAAGAGATATTGGCAGGGATACAGACAAAAGGAATCTCTTATACACTTTCATAGAGTATTAGCACACTCTGAAAAACAGTATGGAGATTTCTCAAACTACTAAAAACAAAACTACCATTCAATCCAACAATCCCATTACACGGTATATACCCAAAGAATAAGAAATCATTATATCAAAATGATAACTGCATTTGTATGTTTACTGCAGCTCTCCTCACAATAGCAAAGATAGGTAATTACTCCAATGTCCACCAATGGATAACTGGATAAAGAAAAAGCGGCATATATAAAATTAAATACTATTTGGCAATTAAAAGAATGAAAATATGTCTTATGCAACAACAAGATGGAACTGAAGGTGATTATCTTAAGTGAAACAACTCAGAAACTGAAAACCAACACTAAATATTTAATACATCAATATAAAAGATCAAATCCAAAAAAAGAAAACATTGAACAAAAACAGAGCTTCAGAAACATTTTGAGATCATGCCAGGTGTTACAATCTTAATATAACTGGAATCCAAATGAAAAAATGGGAGAATAAAATAACTATCCTCCAGGCTGGGCACGGAGGCTCACGCCTGTAATCCCAGCACTTTGGGAGGCTGAGGTGGGTGAATCACAAGGTCAGGAGTTCAAGACCAGCCCGCCCAACATGGTGAAAACCCGTCTCAACTAAAAACATAAAAAATTAGTTGGGCGTAGTGGTGGGTGGCTGTTATCCCAGCTACTAGGGAGTCTGAGGCAAGAGAATAGGGTGGCTGTTATCCCAGCTACTTGGGAGGCTGAGGCAAGAGAATCGCTTGAACTTGGGAGGTGGAGGTTGCAGTGGGCCAATATCACGCCACTGCACTCCAACCCAGGCAACAGTGCAAGACTCTGTCTCGAGAAAAAAAAAATAATGAAAGAACTATCATCAAAAATTCTATACTTCATTATACTATACTTCTATTAAAAAGGAGAATCATATTCCCAGATAAACAAAGGCAAAGAACTAACTGACGATAGACATACTTTACCAGAAAGAAGTATTGTTTCACGCAGGAAAAAATTAAAATAGCAGGCAGTAATGTGAATTCCCAAGGCAATAACATGGTTGTGGGATGAGCAAGGAGTGCTGGGCCAACTGCTAAGTTTGTACCTAAGGGATACACCCCCTGAAAACTGCTAATCTGTTTTTGTATCTCTCTGGATTTGCAATTTTCGAGAAAGTAAGACTTCCTTGAAAAACAAACCTGAGGGCGTTCATCACCACTACACCTACCTTGTAAGAAATGCTGAAGTAGTCCCACAGGTTAAAGAAAAATGATGTTAATCAGCACACAAAACCATTTGAAAATACAAAATAAAGGTAAACATATAGACAAATATAGTAACCTATAATATTATAATGCAGATGAAAAAATAATGAATAAATCTGGTATCTAATTTTTTAAGGCATAAAAAAATTCTAAAAAATACATTAATGGATCCCTAAAGGACAGATATAAAGAGCAGTTTTTATATGCAACTGAAATTTAGTTCTTGTCAGTTGACAAAAGATGATTACTGGCCGGGTGTGGTGGCTCATGCCTGTAATCCCAGCACTTTAGGAGGCCAAGGCAGGCAGATCACCTAGGTCAGGAGTTGGAGACCAGCCTGGGCAACATGGTAAAAGCCTGTCTCTACTAAAAAAATACAAAAACAGCTATGTGTGGTGGCAGGTACGTGAAATCTCAGCTACTTGGGAGGCTGAGGCAGCTTGAACCTGGGACGTGGAGGTTGCAGTGGGCTGACATAGCACCACTGAACTTCAGCATGGGCAACAGAAGGAAACTGCATCTCAAAAAGAAAAAAAAACAAAGATAGTTTTATAACTTTATGAAGCTTTATGTTACTGCCATGGTAACTACAAAGAAAACATATAGGACATATGTACAAAGTGAAATGAAAAGAGAATTAAAATTTGTCACTACAAAAAAATCCAATGAAACACAAAGGAAGGCAGAAAGAGAGGAAAAGAGAAATAAAAAGGGTACAACATAGAAAACAAGGTAAACTTTTAGACAATTATAGTAACCTATATTTTAAGGCATAAAAATGAAATGAAACAAAGAAAATGGAAGTAGTAAGTCCTTTCTTGTCAGTAAAGAGAAACAGGTAATGCACCAATCATAATACACAGAGGGAATAACTGGATTTAAAAAAACAAGATACAACTACACATTGCCTAAAAGACATTCACTTTAGACCTAAGGACACGCACAGGCCAAAAGTGTAAAAATGAGAAAAGATCTGTATTCTATTCTCTGAAGAGGGCAAGAGTGTCCATCCTGGGACTATAGGTGCAGATCACCATGTCTAGCTAATTTCTTAGTTTTTTGTAGAGATGGAGTTTTGCCATGTTGCCCAGGCTAGTCTTGAACTTCTGGACTCAACTGATGCATCAGCCTCCATCTCCGAAACGGCTGGGATTACAGGCAAGAGTCACCACGCCAGGCCAAGTAAAGCTTATAACAAAATGAGATCAGCGAGTAAAAGAATAGCAAAGTACATTACTTTAAACATCTGCTAAAGCTAAAGTCTGATTTTAAATCTGAATTCTAAATAAAATTACAAGATGCACTGCTGTGGTATGAATCAAATAATCTCCAAGTAACAACTCTGTCCTATTAAGAAACAGCAATGCAAACTTTTATTTTCATAAGCTAACCTTTACTGTGAACTTTTAAAGCCCTTCACACATTTATTCTACACTCATGTTCCGGTGTTAGTCATCCTACCACTTAAAGGACTATTTGTTCAATCTAAACTGAGAGAGGTCTTACTTCAATACGACCTTCATAAAAGTTTTCCATTCATGGCACTCTCAAGTTTGTTCTGCTCTGAGTTGCAGCAGCAATTTATAAGCCAATCATGTGAAGATTCAAAGCAAGTTCATAAAATATGCCAGTCATTTTATGACAGCCATTGACTAATTTACAAAATATGTAGGTTTAGGTCTTAATTTGTTGAATGAAACAATCTTATATTCTTTAAAATACAAATTAGCTCTCTAGACAGCTCATTAAAATGGGATCATTCGTTAGCATCACAGTAAGTTGCAGTGCAAAAATAACCTTCAAAACTAAAAATCAATCTATGTCAGAACAGATGTATAATACTGTGGTTGGAAAGCACTAAAATTTAATTTTGGCTTACAGCATTATGCCTATAAATAAATTTTGCCACCTGAGTCACAGACAAAACAGGCAAAACAATCTTATTTGGCAATTTAAATAATATCAAATGTTCCCTAGTTATTTCAATTTGACTCTTTTAAAAGCTAGCTAGTTAGTAATAAAAGTAGGCTGGATGCAGTGGCTCACTCCTGTAATCCCAGCACTTTGGGAGGCTGAGGAGAGCAGATCACCTGAGGTCAGGAGTTCCAGACCAGCCTGGCCAACATGATGAAACCCTGTCTCTACTACAAATACAAAAAATTAGCCAAGCATGGTGGTGGATACCTGTAATCCCAGCTACTTGGGAGGCTGAGGCAGGAGAATCACTTGAACCCAGAACACAGAGGTTGCAGTGAGGTGAGACCGCACTATTCCACTCCAGCCAGGGCAACAAGAGTGAAACTCCATCTCGGGGGAAAAAAAAGTAAAGTAAACCAATACCAGAAAAGTGCCCATTTATTATCACATAGTTTGGAACTGTGCCTAGATATCAAAATATTTTCTATAATTGCTTCAGATATGTATGTCCAACGTTGTACCCAAATTTTCTATTAGCATTCTTACATAATGCCTACTTAATACTTTGTCCAGTAATACGTAAACAATAACAACTCTAATTGTTTGGAAGACAACATCCAAACTGTTCCTGATACACCAAATTAAAGACCTAATTCTAAATAACAAAACATGACATTATTTCTATAGTTGCTTTTTTAACTCAAAACACTATTTTTACAACTGGAAATGAAGTTCTACAGGTTACAGGTTAGCAAACAAAACGCATATAACGCAAGATCTTAAATATCACCTTTCAAATATTACAGTATAAAAAACCACTCAAAGCATTTTAATAGGCGTTTCTCCTGTTAATGCCTCTAGCATTATATTGAAGGCATACTGTAATAGTAATATTCTATTTGACAGAGTGAAACTCTATCATAATACAAACAAAATCAACCTAAAACGTTTTCCAACATGAAATAAAAGTTACTATTGCTAAAATCTGTTTTTCACTTAATTGAACTGCGTATTATTTAAATACGAGCAAGTTATTAAGCTTCAACCAAAAAGTTTTTGCTGAAAAGTATTTACACTAATTCAGATGACAATCTTATAAAAATTAATAAAAATCTTATAAAACATAAGTTACAGAATTTTAAGGAAATCTATTGTTACAACCATCCTAATGGTTTGATATGCGGGTTCACGTATGAGGTCAAAAAAAAAAAAAATCAGAGAAACTAGTCGTTGGGATAGAGCATCCTCAATGTCCAGAAAACTTGACAGGGAAAAAAGCATATTTATAACAATATTTTAAACCTTTAGAAGCTTGTAAAACAATACTGACATTAGTAAAATCTATAAATAAAACTTTCATAGAAAACATAAATACGAATAAAAACTGAAATATCAGTGAAATAGATCATTCTAAGAACTTTTTTAAAAAACAGTGATATATGCAAAGCTCTGTGAGAAAGGGAAAAAATACTTTATTATACATACTGTAGAATAATTTGTCTTGGAGAACAGGTACTATGGTTTGAATATGTCCCCCAAAGTTCATGCATTGAAAACATAATCCTCAATGCAACAGTGTTGTGAAATGATGTCTTTAAGATTTGACAACATCATAAGCAGGCTGCTCTCATGGATGGGTTAATGTCATAGTGAGGATAGGTTCATTACAGAGAGTTAGGCATCCCCCATCTCTTGCACTGTGATATACTTTCTTGCCCTTCCACCTTCTCCAAAGAATGATGCAGCACTAAAGCCCTCATGAAACGCAGCCCCTTGATCCTGGACTTCCCAGCCTTCAGAATCCTGAGCCAAATGAAGTGAAATTGAGTTAATATTTTTTTCATTTCAAAAAAGTCACTGCAGTTTAATATACGGCATTACTCAGTGTTTTATGAAGCTACAGTTCTCCCCAAACATAATGAAACCACTTTCTCATATTTAAAATGTTACTGTAATCAAAATTGGAAAGGATCAATATGTGAAAAAAAAATTCCTTAAAATTTAAACCCCATATTGTCTATCTGAAAAGTTCATTCCAAACTAAAATGTTAACCACAACCCACTGAGAATTTATCCTAACTCCAGCATATGAAGATTTAAAGTTCTCAACCAGTATTTTCCCACATTATCCCAGAAAACATCAAATTACTTTTATTTCATTATCATAACTATTTTAAACATTAAGGCAGATCGAGTCACTGTTGCTTAAATCGTATCATTGATACTATAACATGTTTTTCATAAAGCTATTTTCACTTGCATAATCAAAGTTTAACTCATGTTTCATTTATCAGTCAAATAAAGTGGATTTACTAACTATATATATACACATTATACATACATATATATATTACATTTTAGTTTTCTGATCAGTATTTGCCCCCAAAACAAACATACAAAGGAGATTATAGGTAAAAGAACTCAGCGTCTGTACTGAATTAAACTACAAAGTAAAACGTCTTGGTAAGTAAAATGTTCATCCTGAGAAAATAATTAGTATTTCCTTGTCAAATACAATAATAAACTGAAATTCTTAACTACTGGCTTCAGCATCTAAAAGATGGCGCGATTGTTGTACCGTTCTTATTTCACGGGACCAATTGACAACATACAAATACTTTAACAAGATTTTGGTGAGAGGGTAAAAAACGATACACACAGGAATATTCCAGGGCCAAGTTACGCAACAATTCACGTGGGAGTAACTAAACATGCTGCAATTAATAAGCACATATAGGTTTAAAAATGCTGCTGTCAATGTTGGAGATAACGCAAGAATTCTACTTTTAAATAATAATAATTTTTAATAAGCAACATGAAGCTACGTCAGCGCTCTTTACGGTCTATTCCTTGCTAAGGTTTCCGGGTTAATACCTCCACCCTCTTCCCAAGCTTCCCCCTTTATTGCTCCTCCCCCTTTTTACCCGCCATCTTGGCTGATAGGAGCAGCCATTAACTAAACGACAGTGCCAACTTTTCACACAAACAACAAATTCTTCCCACTGTGAGCATGACACCTAAGAAACAAGGTTCCTGAATGGAAAAAGCACACACATTCATGAAATCACATTTGCAGCACTGTGCATCCTAAAAAAGTCAACAAATCACTAAACTTCAGGCTAAACATACACGCATCAGTTTATAGGTCAAATATCTACTGCAAACTCTTCACCGCTGTAACTTACTTGCTACTTACACTTAGGACACCAGGGATATTTTTTTTAAAAAGGCAAAAAAATGTTTAAAATTAGACACCAAGAGCCAAATACCAAAAGGCGAGGGGAAGAAGCAGGAAGTTATGAATTTTGAAAACTGTACACATTCACTATTTGTGACGCTAAAATTCAGGAACAAAAGGCCCTAAAGTAACAGGCATGTGGTGTAGACCCGGTTTAGCCCGGTCCCAAAGCGTCCGATTTTTTTTTTCCTCAGAGTAGAAGGGAGTCTGGAGCAAGGGGCGAAGTATTCCAGAGTACGGGGACAGCAAAGGCAAGAAACACTTTTCCGACCCCTTGGCCATGGAGCAGAGCCAAAATAAATACTGGCTGGGCGGTAAGGAACGCGGGGCCTTGGTAGAGCAAAGTGCGGACCAAAGACTTTGCGTCTGGTTGCTTTTACCTTGCCTAGTAGGGTCTTCGTTCTGGCGCCATCTTCATGAAGCCTCACGAACCCGAAGAGACGGCTGTAGAGAGAGAGACACAGAGCTTGTTAATGGTCTGAGAAAGCCAGTGACTTGCTCCTTCCCGAGTCCAAGAGCGACAGCGACAGATTGGTGAGTGCCAAGCTGAGGATGACCCCGTCATCAACGTGGGCAAGCTGCGTCCAGGCCTTCCCGGAGAGTATCGCCAGCCAACCAGGCGGGTGATGGAGGTGCGTACCTGTCCATGCCACCAAGCGCCTCCCTTTCCTCGACTGTCAGGCTAACAGACTCCTCTTCACTCTCGCGGCTCGCTTTTCCTTCCGCCATTTTCTTTGCCTCATCACCGAAGGCAACAGCGGCGGTAGTGAGCGACACTGCGCAGGATTTCATGGAAACAACAAATTTCCAAGTCCCACGACGATACCCAACCTTAATCGAGTAGTTGAAAAGACGCCTTCAATCGCTGCTTGAGACTGTGACGCCAATTTTATCGCCTCCTCAGCGGCTGCAAGGAAAAAAGCTGAGGCAAAGACTTAAGCTACCGAAGCACGGGCAGCGGAACTCGGCTACCTGGATCACATCTGGGAAACTACAGGGAAGGCAGAAGCTCGCAGTGCTGGAGAGCACAGCAGAATTTCTTAAAATCACAAACTTTGCCAGCACCAGCACAAAGTTGTAATTGTGTCACGGGCGAACCCCACGCAGCCGCCGCGACCTCCCCGCTCCCAACCACTTAGTTGTAGCCAATCTAGGCGACTGATTCGTCTCACGTGATCTTTGTTGACTTACGTCAGGCATTGCTCCACTGTACTCCTAGGCTGCTGGGACCCCGCCCAGCCAGTTCGCCAAGGACCTAGGAACATGACAGAGGCTGACTGATTCTGACCGCTGGTTGGTTGATGGTCACGTCTATGGAGAAAAGGGTAGTCTCTGGGATGGAACAACCTGTAGGTTGTGCTAGTTAAATGCATTAAGATAGAAAATGGAGTGTCTGTGCTGGGTGTTTTTGCAGTTGCGATACGCTTGAAGGGGAAGAGAGCGATGGGAAGGGCGGCATCGGGCATCACCCACGGGGCGCAAATGCGAAAAGAGGACACCATGGACTTTAGGAGAGTCCGTAATGAGGCTCCCACTGTCACAAGCCTTGCGAATGCGAGACCTTGCGGGGCATGGCAGGGAAGCTGCGCAGGCCCTAAACCTTCACCCTCAAGACTTTTGGCCCTAAGGCCTTGTCACCTCCATAGGCTGGTTCTTTGCCCATTTCCTCTCCACTGACCAAGTCTAAAGAGAAGGCATAATATCTTATGACCTCAGTCGGTAAGCCAGGCCCTAGGGAATCAACGTGGCAACTGCATTTATCAGTTCATGATATTATCTAAACAACAAACGATGAGCAAAAAAAAAAAAAAAAAAAAAAGTTACTCCACAAACCCAAAATGTTTATTTCTATTGTGATAATGATAATTCCGTGAGGTCTCAGTAAGAGTAGGAGCTTCTGTGGACAGGAATTATAAGAACAATAATTAAGACCTTCATCACACTTTCAAGATGCAGTAACCCTTAGAAAAGAAAAAAACACCACTTTTTTCTTACTTTCTCAATTGTAACCAAAATTATAAATAATAGGTAAAAGAATTTATTTCTGAACCCCAAATATCTGAGAGAGGTCTTAGTCAATTTAAAAAGTTTATTTTGCAAGACTTACCCATGATACATTTGCCCAAGGTGGTCAGGGCACAGCTTGCTTTTGTACGTTTTAGGGAAACATGATTGGTTCGGTCAGGTAAGAGGGACAGCTCGAAGCGGGGGCTTCCATGTTAGAAATAGATAAGAGACAGGTCGGGCGCTGTGGTTTACGCCAGTAATCCCAGCACTTTGGGAGGCCGAGGCGGGCAGATGACCTAACGTTGGGAGTTTCAGACCAGCGTCACCAACATGGAAAAACCCCGTCTCTACTAAAAATACAAAATTAACAGAGCATGGTGGCGCATGCCTGTAATCTCAGCTACTCTGAAGACTGAGGCAGGCGAATCGCTTGAACCCAAGAGGCGGAGGTTGCGGTGAGCCGAGATGGCACCATTGCATTCCAGCCTGGGCAACAAGAGCAAAACTCCGTCTCAAAAAAAAAAAAAAAAAAAAAAATGTAGATAAGAGACAAGAGTTTGCATGCTTTTGAGTCCTTGATCAGCCTCCTACTGAATACAGAATTTAGTCCGGCTAGTAACTCTGTATTTTTACATAAATAAATAATAAGGCAGAGGAAGCAATCAGATATGCAGTTGTCTCTTGTGCGCCTCACAGGGATAACTTTGAGTTGGGTCTGTCCTTTGTCCACAAGGAATTTCCTTGTGGGCACGTTGTGAGGAACGTATGTAGCTTCTTATCTTTGTACGTATCTTATTTAGGAATAAAATGGGAGGCAAGTTTAGTGACATAGTTCCCAGCTTGACTTTTCCGTTACTTAGTGATTTTGGGATCCCAAGATTAATTTTTTTTTCTCATATTATATGGCATATGTATGTTGAGGAATTGTGTATATTTTTCTATGTAAAGAATCTATAAAAAGTCTCATATATATTAAACGCCTCTGTTGATTACTGTTTTCAAAAGACAAATTGCATAATATTCCATGTATCAAATAGTTTACTGGTTATACCTCCAGATATTAGATATTACAAAAATGTTAATTATTAATGGCATTAGGGGAAATGTTCCTTTATAAGTGAAGAAATGGTATCTTTTTTTAAGTAATAGATTTGCCTCCTCCAAAAATAGGTATTATATATTTAAACTTTGATGTTTAAATGAGAGGACAGTTTAGAACTTCCAGACAAAAAACTATAACACTAGTGAGAGTTTTGGAAATCCCAGCTGATTTTGCTCAGTAACACGTGTTTTCATTGTTATTTTGAAACTAACAACTAACTCTGATTTTATAGATTATAGTCTATCATGTTCTTTACTCATTCCATTTCAGTTGAATCGCTACACCACAGAATATTTTCAGTAGCTGTACTATTGAAAATGTTATATTAATTGTCATAAGTATATTAGTAAGTATATTAATTGTCATAGTGGTGGCCATCACACCAAGAGGTTTTTGATAATATGCATACATTTGCACAAGCAGACATTCAAATAATGTAGAATATGGCCTTTTCCAGGAATAAGGCCTACCTGTCTCACTTGAGGCAGGTAATTATTACAAAGTGATAGAGCAACATAGAGGTGGGACAGAAATTGCAGTAAAGAATGAATTTGAATTCTGGCTCTGTACAGGCTGTACCTTGGAAAAATTAGCTAATCTCTAACCCAACATTATATATCGAATGTAAATACAAAGCTGCATCCATCCTCATACCTTCATGTACATTTGGCAGATTATAAATCAGACAGTATATAACATTAAGGCCTTACATTCTATGTAACTTTTTGGATCTTACCTGGTTTATAAAATGTAACTACAAAAGATACAAAAATATGTATACTGATAAAAGGCTTATTATTTGTACCCTTTGTAGTGTATAATTTGTCACATGTATGTGAAATGGGTATAAAGCATTCAGATTTAGGTTATTCCCTGAAGAGACTAGACTAATGACTTTATATTATTTTTAAAAAAAAATTTAGTATAACAACACATGGAAGGTAGGGTGGTATAGCAAAAGAAGAAGTAACAAAAATGAGCATTAATTATCGGAAAATTAGAGGATATAACCATTTAACCTGATATATGTGAATGCATGTAGCTTATTTTTTAAATTTATTTATTTATTATACTTTAAGTTCTGGGATACATGTGCAGAACGTGCAGGTTTGTTACACAGGTATATATGTGCCATGGTAGTTTCCTGCACCAATCAACCTGTCATCTAGATTTTAAGCTCTTCATTCATTAGGTATTTGTTCTAATGTTCTCCTTCCCCTTGAACCCCACCCCCGATAGGGCCCAAGTGTGTGATGTTCCCCTCCCTGTGTCCGTCTGTTCTCATTGTTCAATTCCCAATTATGAGTGAGAATATGTGGTGTTTGGTTTTCTATTCCTGTGTTAGTTTGCTGAGAATCATGGCTTCTGGCTTCATTCATGTCCCTGCAAAGGATATTAACTCATTCTTTTTTTATGGCTGCATAGAATTCTATGTTATGTATATGCTGGATTTTGTTTATCCAGTCTATCATTGATAGGCATTTGGGTTGGTTCCAAGTCTTTGCTATTGTAAATAGTGCTGCAGTACACATACATGGGCATGTGTCTTTATAGTAGAATAATTTATAATCCTTTGGGTGTATACCCAGTAATAGGATTGCTGGGTCAGATAGTATTTTTGGTTCGAGATACCTGAGGAGTTGCCACACTGTCTTCTACAATGGTTGAAATAATTTACACTTCCACCAACAGCATAAAAGCATTCCTGTTTCTCCATGTACTTGCAAGTATCTGTTGTTTCCTGACTTTTTTTTTGAGATGGAGTCTCTGTTGCCCAGAGTGCAGTGGCGTGATCTCAGCTCACTGCAAGCCCCGCCTCCCGGGTTCATGCCTTTCTCCTGCCTCAGCCTCCCAAGTAGCTGGGACTACAGGTGCCCACCACTGCACCCGGCTAACTTTTTGTATTTTTTAGTAGAGACGGGGTTTCACCGTGTTAGCAAGGATGGTCTCACTCTCCTGACCTTGTGATCCGCCCGCCTCGGCCTCCCAAAGTGCTGGGATTACAGGTGTCAGCCACTGCACCTGGTCTGTTTCCTGACTTTTTAATGATTGATCACCATTATAACTGGCATGAGATGGCATCTCTTGTGGTTTTGATTTCCATTTCTTTAATGAACAGTGAAGTTGAGCTTTTTGTCATAGGTATATTGGCCACATAAATGTCTTCTTTTGAGAAGTGTCTGTTCATATCCTTCACCCATTTTTTGATGGGGCTGTTTGGTTTTTTCTTGTAAATTTGTTTAAGTTCCTCATAGATTCTGGATATTAGTCCTTTGTCAGATGGATAGATTGCAATATTTTTCTCCCATTCTGTACGTTGCCTGCTCAGTCTGACGATAGTTTCGTTTACAGTGCAGAGGCTTTTTAGTTTAATTAAATCCCATTTGTCAATTTTGGCTTTTGTTGCCATTGCTTTTAGTCATGAAGCCTTTGCCCATGTCTGTGTCCTAAATGATATTGCCTAGGTTTGCTTCTAGGGTGTTTATGGTTTTTAGGCCTTATGTTTAAGTCTTTAATCCATCTTGAGTTAATTTTTGTATAAGGCATAAGGAAGGGATCCAGCTTCAGTTTTCTGCATATGGCTAGCCAGTTTTCCTTCTTGAGTTAATTTTTGTATAAGGCATAAGGAAGGGGTCCAGCTTCAGTTTTCTGCATATGGCTAGCCAGTTTTCCCAGCACCATTAATAAATAGAAAATCCTTTCCCCGTTGTTTCTTTCTGTCATGTTTGTCAAAGATCTGATGGTTGTAGTTGTGTGATGTTATTTCTGAGGCCTCTGATCTGTTCCATTGGTCTATATATCTGTTTTGGTACCAGTACCATGCTGTTTTTGTTACTGTAGCCTTGTAGTATAGTTTGAAGTCAGACAGCATGATGCTTCCAGCTTTGTTCTTTTTGCTTAGGATTCTCTTGGCTATGTGGGCTCTTTTTAGTTCCATATTAAATTTGAAGTAGTTTTTTCTAGTTCTGTGAAGAAAGTCAGTGGTAGCTTGATGGGAATAGCATTGAATTTATAAATTACTTTGAGCATTACAGTTATTTTCATGATATTCATTCTTTCTATCCATTAGAATGGAATGTTTTTCCATTTCTTTGTGTCCTTTCTTATTTCCTTGAGCAGTGGTTTGTATTTCTCCTTGAAGAGGCCCCTTCACATCTCTGTAAGTTGTATTGCTAGGTATTTTATTTTCTTTGTAGCAATTCTGAATGGGAGTTCACAGATGATTTGATTCTCTGTTTGTCCATTATTGGTGTATAGAAATGCTTGTGACTTTTGCGCATTGATTTTGTATCCTGAGACTTTGCCGAAGTTGCTTATGAGCTTAAGCGGTTTTTGGACTGAGACGATGGGGTTTTCAAAATATATAATCATGTCATCTACAAACAAAGACAATTTGACCTTCTCTCTTCCTATTTCAGTATGCTTTATTTCTTTCTCTTGCCTGATTTCCCTGGCCAGAACTTCCAATACTATGTGGAATAGGAATGGTGAAAGAGGGCAATCTTGTCTTGTGGTGATTTTCAAAGGGAATGCTTCCAGCTTTTTCCTATTCAGTATTTTATTGGCTATGGGTTTGTCATAAACAGATCTTATTATTTTGAAATATGTTCCCTCAATACCTAGTTTATTGAGTGTTTTTAGCATGAAGTGGTGTTGAATTTTATCAAAAGCCTTTTCGGCATCTATTGAGATAATCATGTGGTTTTCGTCATTGGTTCTGTTTATGTGATGGATTGCTTTTGCTGATTTGCGTATGTTGAGCCAGCCATGCATCCTAGGGATGAAGCTAACTTGATAGTGGCGGATAAGCTTTTTGATGTGCTGCTGGACTCAGTTTGCAGTATTTTATTGAGGATTTTCGCATCGATGTTCATCAGGCATATTGGCCTGAAATTTTCTTTTTTTGTTGTGCCTGTGCCAGGTTTTGGTATCAGTATGATGCTTGCCTCATAAAATGAGTTGGGGAGGACTCCTTCTTTTTCTGTTGTTTGGAATCGTTTCAGAAGGAATGGTACCAGCTCCTCTTTGTAGCACTAGTAGAATTGGGCTGTGAATCCATCTGGTCCCGTGCTTTTTTTTGGTTAGTAGGCTATTAAATAATTACTGCCTCAATATTAGAGCTAGTTATTGGTCTATTCAGGGATTCGACTTCTTCCTGGTTTAGTCTTGGGAGGGTTTATTTGTCCTGGACAAATAAACCCTTCTTCTAGGGTTTCCAGTTTATTTACATAGAGGTGTTTATAGTATTCTCTGGTGGTAGTTTGTATTTCTGTGGGAACAGTGGTGATATCCCCTTATCCTATTTTATTGTGTCTATATGATTCTTCTCTGTTTTCTTCTTTATTAGTCTGTCTAGCATTTTATCTATTTGGTTAATCTTTTTAAAAAAACAGATCCTGGATTCATTGATTTTTTGAAGGGTTTTTTTTGTGTGTCTGTCTCCTTCAGTTCTGTTCTTATCTTAGTTATTTCTTATTTTCTACTTGCTTTTGAATTTGTTTGCTCTAGTTTCTCTAGTTCTTTAAATTGTGATGTTAGGGTGTCGATTTTAAATCTTTCCCACTGTCTGATGTGGGCATTTAGTGCTGTAAATTTCCCTCTAAACATTGGTTTAGCTGTGTCCCAGAGATTCTGGTACATTGTGTCTTTGTTGTCATTGGTTTTAAAGAACTTATTTATTTCTGCCTTAATTTCTTTATTTACCCATTAGTTATTCAGGAGCAGGTTTTTCAGTTTCCATGTAGTTGAGTGGTTTTGTTGAGTTTCTTAATCCTGCGTTCTAATTTGATTCACTGTGGTGTAAGATACTGTTATGATTTCAGTTCTTTTGCATTTGCTGAGGAATGTTTTACTTCCAATTCTGTGGTTGATTCTAGAGTAAGTTTCATGTGGTACTGGAAGAATGAATATTCTGTTGATTTGGGGTGGAGAGTTCTGCAGATATCTATTAGGTCCACTTGATGCAGAGCTCAGTTCAATTCTTAAATATCCTTGTTAATTTTCTTTCTTATGGAACTGTCTAATACTGAGAGTGGAGTGTTAAATTCTCCCACTATTATTGTGTAGAAGTCTAAGTCTCTTTATAGGTCTCTTAAGAACTTGTTTTATGAATCTGAGTGCTCCTGTATTGGTGCATATATATTTAGTATAGTTAGTGCTTCCTGTTGAACAGATCCCTTTACCACAATGTAATGCTATTCTTTTGTCTTTTTTTATCTTTGTTGGTTTAAAATCTGTTTTATCAGAGACTAGGATTGCAACCTCTGCTTTTTCTTGCTTTCCGTTTTCTTGGTGAATTTTCTTCCATCCCTTTATTTTGAGGCTATGAGTGTCTTTGCACATCAGATGGGTCTCCTGAATACAGCACAGGGATGAGTCTTGACGCTTTGTCCAATTTGCCAGTCCGTGTCTTTCAATTGGGCCATTTAGCCCAATTTATAGTTAAGGTTAATATTATTATGTATAAATCTGAGCCTGTCATCATGATACTAGCTGGTTATTTTGCACACTAGTTGATGCAGTTTCCTCATAGTGTCATTGGTCTATATATTTTGGTGTGTTTTTGCAGTGGCTGCTGCCAGTTTTTCCTTTCCATATTTAATGCTACCTTCAGCATCTCTTGCAAGGCAGGCTTCGTGGTGACAAAAATCCCCTAGCATTTGCTTGTCTGTAAAGGATTTTATTTCTCCTTCATTTATGCAGGTTGGTTTGGCTGGATATGAAATTCTGGGTTGAAAATTCCTTTTTTTAAGAAAGTTGAATATTGGCAACACTCTTCTAGCTTGTAGGGTTTCTGTTGAGAGATCTGCTGTTAGTCTAATTGGCTTCCCTCTGTAAGTGACCTGACCTTTCTCTCTGACTACCCTTAACATTTTTTTTTTTAATTTCAACCTTAGAGAATCTGATGATTATGTATCTTGGGGTTGATCTTCTCATGGAGTATCTTGGTGGTGTTCTCTGTATTTCCTGAGTTTGAATGTTGGCCTGTCTTGCTAGGTTGGGGAAGTTTTCTGGATAATATCCTGAGGTGTGTTTCCTAACTTGGCTCCATTCTCCCTGTCTCTTTCTGGTACTGCAATCACTTATAGGTTTGGTCTTTTTACATAGTCCCATATTTCTTAGAGGTTTTATTTGTTCCTTTTCATTCTTTTTTGTCTAATCTTGTCTGCATGCCTTATTTAAGCAAGATGGTCTTCACTCCGATATCCTTTCTTCCGTTTGATCAATTCAGCTATTGATACTTGTGTATGCTTAATGCAGTTCTTGTGCTGTGTTTTTCAGCTCTATCATGTCATATATGTTCCTCTCTAAACTGGTTATTCTACTTAGCAGCTCCTGTAACCTTATATCAAGGTTCTTGGCTTCTTTGCACTGGTTTAGACCATGCTCCTTTGGCTCAGTGGAGTTTGTTATTACCCACCTTCTGAAGCCTACTTCTGTCAATTCCATCCATCTCATCCTCTATTTGTTTCTTTGCCTATGGTAGCTATTTGTTTATAAATTTCTCATTTATATTTATAACTATTTTTGTCTATACTCTTCTATGTCACTGAGCTTCATATCATAATTTTGAATTCTTTATCTGGGTTTTAATAAGGTTCTTTTTCATTGGAATCTGTTGCTGAGGTATTACTGTGTCCCTTTACAAAGGTTACCTTTCCTTGTTTATTTATGTTTCTTGTGTCTTTATGCTGCTCTCTGAGTATCTGGTGTAATAGTTGCCTTTTCTAATTTTTAAAATATGCTTTCACTAGGGAGATTTTTTTCTAAATATATATCTATGGTTTTGGTTGGGTATGGCACTTTGGCTTTCATTCTAGATGTGGGTAGTAGTGGAGTCTCCATATGATTTCTTTAGGTGTAAACAATGTCAGTGCTATCTTTGATTTCCTCTGTTGCTCAGGGTGTGGCCGTTAGTGGAGGCTGTCTTGAAGTTTTGCTGTGAATGAGGATGCCAGATAGGCCTGTGCTTGAGCCCAAGAGTGGCATATCCTGGCAGCAGTGTTAGTGGGCCCAGCTTGTTCAGGTGCTGATAGTGGTAGCAGTGGCCAGGTGGGTGGGTGGATTCTAGACCACTGGGAAGTACATGTGGTATTGAGGTGGAAATTAGAGAAAGAAGAAATAAAAACCAAAAGAGAAAAACAAGTTCCTGTGTTAGCCTGTCTCATCCCAAAAATCAGTAACAGACACAGCCCAGGCCCGGGCAAGGTCCTGAAAACACCAAGAAGTCAAGACCCAAAAGGAATGTGCTCTGGAGACCCTCCCAGCACTCCCCAACATAAGAAAAAGAAAAATAAAATTCCTCTTTTAGCCCTTTACCCACTTTCCATAAATATTTTGCAAGTTTTGTAAGGTCCTGTTTCTCCTTTGATGCAGCTGCAATACCACAAGCTATGCTAGAGATTATGAGATCTGTCACTGTTTGATTAACTGTCTTTATTTCTGCTTCTGTAACCCTTTGTTCTGAGCTCAGTTTTTTTGGATGCAAATCCACTGAGCCAGTGTACATCTTAATAAAAATCCTCCTGTAAAACCCATTTGGTCCATCTGGTCCTCTGATTCCTGCAACAGTATGAGTAACGGCAGTAACAGTAGTAGCATAACTCTCTGACTCCCAAATAGTCCACACTTGTGTTGGCAATGGTTGTAACAGGGTGGATGAGCCAGACCCCAAGACTGTATATAGCACATGCAACTGGCTATTCACTGTGGTGGTAGGGGCAGATTGGCTGGGCTTGACCCCAGGATCCTGGGAGAAGTGCCCAGGTGCCTGTGGTGGTTGACTGGGTTGGGAAATCCCCAGTACCCAGGAGAGCATGGTTGGGTATTTGAGGGGCAGAATAGAGGTCAGATGGGCCTGTTCAGGTCCCTCAGTGGTTCATGCAGGTGCTGGGTGTTGTAGGCAGGATCAGGGTGATCCCTGTGTCTTTGGTGGGATGCTCCAATTCCCAGTGGAAATGCTGCAGCCCTCCTCCTGGGAAGTATAGGATTGCTTCCAATGGCAGCAGACATATGCTGGCAATTGGAAATTATACACATTTCTTGTGGTTTGGCTCCATCGGTACCATCCCACAGTAGGCACAGACTGAGAAGGAGTTTGTCCTCAGGGCACTTGTAAATGTGTGGCAGCTTCATTTCAGAGGCAGTGGGAGCAGTGGGAGTAACTGGGAAGAGCAAAGGGCATGAGTCAGGGGTAAGGTCACTGTCAATGGCTTGTGCTTCAGCTCTGGAGGCAGCAGCCAACTGAGGCTATATCTGTGTATGGCAGATGTCCAGGAGGATCCAGGGATATGGAGACCCTGGGGCGTTTGGGCCCCGAGGCAGGGTACAATCTGGTCAGGGCTGGCCTCTCAATATGGCACCTTGCTGTGCTTAGGACTCATGGGTGTGTGGGACCTAGTGTAAGCTCCGTCTCTGAACCAGTGCCATGGTGTGGTCTCCAGGAGCCTGTGTTAATATTAAGGCCTGTGGGGATTGATGGCTTCTCCCATAGCTAGAATTGCAGAAGTCCATGGTGAGAATATGGACCACTGGGAGTCTTTAATTTACCCTTTTCCTGAATTGAGGTGCCTCTCCAGGATCCCAGCCAATCCCAGCCAAGCAGGCTGCCTAATTTCCCTCTCATTCCTTGCTTTATGTGTTGCTTAATACTTCTGTGTTGAATTTCAGTGTTCTTTCTTATGTGATCTATTTGAAGAGATTATTTGCTATTTTGGTTCTTTGCCATGGAGATGAGTAGCAGTTCTCCCTGGTCAGACATTTTAAAGCTCCTTCCCCTCTTTCTATTGTTTTAAGGCAGAATATTTCTTAGGTTATTTAAGCATGTCTCATTACAAAAAGTGGAAAAATTCTTTTAACACTCTTTGTTAGGGTGGGAAAAAGTACAAAGGGCATGAATGGGGGCCAGGTCACTGACAATGGCTTATGCTTCAGCCCTGGAGGCAGGGCTATGTCTTTGGGTAGTGGATGTCAATGAGGATCCAGGGATGAGGAGATGTTGGGGTTTTTGGCCCCCAGGCAGGGTGCAATCTGGTCAGGGCTGGGCTCTCAACATGGAACCCTGCTATGCTTAAGACTCATGGGTATTTTGGACTCAATGTGTGTAAAAAATACTACAAACATTACTATATACTTCATACATAGAAAAATCTAAAGGTTAATTTATAATCATTTATTTAAAATTTTTAATATTGAGATATTCTGGTTCAGGTTCAAAGTTTCCCATTAGTTCACCAAATGACCCTATGTGGGTCTGTGTTCATATGTACATGACCATGATTTTCAAATTGTTCTCTAACAAGATAATCCTGTTTTAAATTAGCTGTTTTGTGGACTGCTCCCTATGTCTTTTATATAACAGATTTAGAATTGCTCTATATTGAACTTCTTTTACACTATACCCTGTCCTCACTTCGAGGAGCTCTGAAGTATGGTGGAGCTCAGGGCACCAAAGAATACCATTAGCTAATCATTAAGACTTCATTTCTAAGTTTTGATTTCTAAGATTATTGATGTTTTCCAGAGTCAATAATATCTCTTGCCTTTTTTCAATTGTCTAATTATTTCTACCATTGATTAGAAGATTTAGGATAGGAAATAGGCTTGAGGACCAATATTAATAATATTAAAAGAGTATTCTCAATAATTGCCAGTTAGGTAAGTTTACTTTGATCCTCTCCTGTGTAGAGGTCTGGATCTGTGTAAGGTAAAGCATTCTACTATAGTAAGAGAATGCAAATATTTGGACATTTGTTCCCAACTTATACATAAGATAGGAAATTCTAAAGTCATATGATAATAATGCTATTAATTCATGATTTTTTAAAAAGGAGAGGCCTCTTTTGGTGCATTTAATTTATAGATTATTGAACTGCCTATTGTTGGATATTTACGTAGAACAAACAAGCTTTAATGTACATGTAGCAAATAGAGATGGCTACCTAAACTCAGGTTTGTGAATATGATTTTTATATTAATTGGATCATAAGGTAATTGAACAAATTAAAATTGTGCTATGTTCTCAATTTTTGACAAAGATATGATTGCAAGATTAAAGCTTTTTGAGACAATAATACTAAAGACTCATGTAACTAATACTTTTTGTAATCCAAATACATGGGCTTTTTTACTTACTGTTCTGAAGTTGACAGTAGCATTAATAGACCACCATGTTGTTCTAAACTCTTTTAAAACCATGTAAGGAGTAAAACAAATGGCTGGGTGCAGTGGCTCATGTCTGTAATCCCCGCACTTTGGGAAGCTGAGGCAGGTGGATCACGTGAGGTCAGGAGTTACAGACCAGCCTGAACAACATGGTGAAACCCTACTAAAAATACAAAAATTGGCCTGACATGGTGGCATGCACCTGTAGTTCCAGCTACCTGGGAGTCTGAGGCAGGAGAATCGCTCAAACCCAGGAGGTGGAGGTTGAAGTGAGACAAGATCATACCGTTGTATTCCAGCCTGGGTGACAAGAGTGAAACACCATCTCAAAAAAAAAAAAAAAAAAAAGATTAAAACAAATGAAAAGGATATAACAGCTACCTTATAAATATCTGTCAGCCAACTAGCCAATATTTATTGAGCTTGGTGCCAGCCCTGAGGTCAGTGAAAGAAACCTCTGTTTACAACAGTAGCAAGGCTGGGTCTAGTGGCTCATGCCTGTAATCCCAACACATTGTGAGGCTGAAGCAGGAGAATCACTTGAGCCCAGGAGTTGGAGACAGGCCTAAGAAACACAGGGAGACCTCCTCTCTACAAAAAATAAAGTTAGCCCGGCTTAGTGGTGTGTACTTGTAGTCCTACTTACCTGGGAGGCTAAGGTAAGAGGACCACTTGAGCTTAGGAGTTTGAGGCTGCAGTTAGCCATGATCTCAAAATATAAATAAATAATTTTTTAAATTACAAAATAAATAAAACAGCAACAACTACCACACTACTGTTATTTTTATTATTTGCCTGAAACTGGCTGGAAGGTAGTAAAATGAAAGTTCAGAGCCCTTAGTAGCTCATTTTAAACTTTGATTTTTTTGGTGCGCCATTCTATACTCTACATGGTCTTGCCTAAATTTCCAACCTTATGGTTCCTTTCATTTGTTCTTTAGAGATAGGATCTTGCTCTGTTGCCCAGATTCACATAATCATAGCTAAATGCAGCCTCTACCTTTTGATCTGAAGTGATTCTCCCCATGTCAGCCTTCCAAGTAGCTGGGACTACAGGCGTGCACCACCAAGCCTGGTTAATTTTTTATTTTTTGTAGAGGTGGGGTCTTGCTATGTTGCCTAGGCTGGTTTCAATCTGCTAGGCTCAAGCAATCCCAAGTGATCTGCTTGCCTTGGCCACTATGCCTGGCTATTTTTTTTTTTTTAAAGAGACAATGCAATCAATCACCATTTACTACAGCCTCGACCTCCTGGGCTCAAGGGGTTGTCCTCCCTCAGCCTTCCCACTAGCTGGGACTACAGGTAGGGACCACCATAACTGGCTAATTTTTTAACTATTTATAGAAAGAAGATCCCCACACATTGCCCAGACTTGTCTTGAACTCCTGGGATCAAGCAGTCCTCCCATCTCTGCTTCCTAAAGTGCTGGGATTACAGATGAGTGCCACTATGCCCAGCCCCAATTAGATAATCTTTATTGTAGCAGTACAAGCCGCAGACAAAACCTCTCAGACACGGAGTTGTAGAATGAAGGGCTTTATTCAGCTAGGAGCATCAGCAAGCTACTGCCTTAAAATCTGAACTCCCTAAATGCACAATTTCTGTCCTTTTTAAGGGCTCACAACACTAAAGATTTCACATGAAAGAGTTGTGATTGATTTGAGCAAGCAGGCGATATGTGACAGGGGCTGCATGCACCAGTGGTCAGAGAGAAACAGAACAGGGCAGGGAGTTTCACAGTGTTGTTTTATACAGTGTCTGGAATCTATGAGTAACATCGGTTTCTAAGTTATGAGTTGATTTTTAACTACTGGGCTTAGGCCAGGCAGGCCCAGGCCTGATTTCAGGCCTGGCACTGGGCTACCTGTCTTTGGTTTTACTTCCTTCTTGTTTTTTCTTAAAACAGTTACTGAATAGAAAACAATATAAAACAATATGAGAGATTCTCTCTTCCCTCATTTTGATTCCGGTAAATGAGAAGAGCTGGTAAAAATTAGACGTAACAGTAAACTGTCTTAAAACTATTTTGGATAACATAAACAACATAGATCTATGAGAAAGTCTAGATAAATCATGATTTTGCTAGGTGACCTTTGACCTTTTAAGATTTGAGATTTGTATAAATTACAACCTAATATTAAAAATAAGCTACATGGGAGACAGCTGGCAAGATAGCCTAATAGGAACAGCTCCTGTCTGCATCTCACAGCAAGAGCAACGCAGAAGCAGGTAATTTCTGCATTTCCAACTGAGGTACCCTGTTCATCTCATTTTGACTGATTAGACAGTGAGTGCAGCCAATGGAGGGAGAGCACAAGCAGGGTGGGGAGTCACCTCATCCAGGAATTGCAAAGAGCAGGGGAACTCCCTCCTCTCGACCCCCACACAATAATAGTGGAGACTTTAACACCCCACTGTCAATATTAGACAGGTGGACGAGACAGAAAATTTATCAGGATATTCAGGACTTGAACTCAGCTCTGGACCAAGCGAAACCGATAGAAATCTACAGAACTCTCCACCCCAAATCAACAGAATATACATTCTTCTCAGCACCACAAAGCACTTATTCTAAAATTGATCACTTAAAAGGAAGTAAAACACTCCTCAGCAAATGCAAAAGAATGGAAATAATAACAGTCTCTCAGACCACAGAGTAATCAAATTAGAACTCAGGATTAAGAAACTCAACAAACTGCTCAACTACATGGAAACTGAACAACCTGCTCCTGAATGACTACTGGGTAAATAATAAAATTAAGGTAGAAATAAGTTCTTTGAGACCAATGAGAACAAAGACACACTTACCAGAATCTCTGGGACACAGCTAAAACAGCGTTAAGAGGGAAATCTGTAGTACTAAATGCCCACATCAGAAAGTGGGAAAGATCTAAAATTGACACCCTAACTAACATCACAACTTAAAGAACTGGAGAAACAAGAGCAAACAAATTCAAAAGCAAGCAAAAGACAAGAAAAACTAAGATCAGAGCAACCCATATTTAAAAAACCCCATTGTCTCAGTCCAAAAACTGCTTAAGCTCACAAGCAACTTTGGCAAATTCATAGGATGGTGGTCAGAAAGAGAAGATAATCTACTACTTGAACTTCATGACTGTGAGAGGAAACTCACAGTCATGAACTGATAACCCACAAAGGTGAACTTAAACTCATGTCTGTTCCTTTTGTCTCTGATGATATGGGAATGCTGTCAAACATAGGACCATTTGTCACAGGACTAATCACACAAACACCTGGCTCAGCAATCAGAGAAAACTGAAGAAACATACTGGAGGAGCAGGAACATTGTCAGTGCCAGATACTGCTTTATGCCAACAACATTAATCAGCAGATCAGCAATAGTGTGTGACCTACAAAATAGTTGATCCCTCTCACATCAGGCTTCCAACTCTCAATGGATTCTTCCCTTGTAATCTATGCTAACTGGAAAAAATACAAGAAAAAACTACTAGTATTTGTTGTCAAACGTAGCCAAATTCATATGCGATAGTCCACCCTATTTGTAAATTGGTACACATGTAAAATATCTTTAACTTACTCTCTTTAACTCCAAATAAAGAAGGCATTATACCTTTTCCTAACTGTTTCCACAAAAGAGTATATAAGTCCTCTTTGTTATCTATCTTTTCCTTTGATATGTTTAACTCAGCTAAACTAACAACAAATAGAGAGGTATAAAGTTAGCTATTACTAATATGTTATGCAAGATAATAAGGAGTGGAAAGATGACGTGGCAATGTCAGGAAATTACCCTATATGTTATAAAAAGGGGAGGAACCCTTAGTTCTAGGAATCTCTTTTTCATTTTTTTTATTTTTTTTTATTTTTTTTGAGATGGAGTTTCGCTCTTGTTTCCCAGGCTGGAGTGCAATGGCATGATCTCGGCTCACCTCAGCCTCTGCCTCCTGGGTTCAAATGATTCTTCTGCCTCAGCCTCCTGAGTAGCTGGGATTACAGGCATGCGCCACCACCTGGGCTAATTTTGTATTTTTAGTAGAGATGGGGTTTCTCCATGTTGGTCAGGTTGGTCTTGAACTCCCAACCTCAGGTAATCCGCCTACCTCGGCCTCCCAAAGTGCTGGGATTACAGGCGTGAGCCACTGCACCCAACCCAGTTCTAGGAATTACTTACCACTTTTCCAGAAAACTCATGAATAATCCACCTCTTGTTTAGCATATAATCTGGAAATAACTATAAGTATACTAAATCAGGCAGCCCATGCCACTGCTCTGCCTATGGAGTAGCCATTATTTTATTTCCATACTTTCCTAATAGACTTGCTTTCACTTAACTCTATGTACTTGCCCTGAATTCTTTCTTGCGTGAGGTCCAAAAATCCTCTCTTGGGGGTCTAAATAAAGACCCCTTTCTGGTAAAAGTTGTAAGGATTGTTGGTTTGCTTTTTCAGTTTTGAGTTTTGTTGGGGTGGGGGATTATGGAATCATGCTGTGTTGCCCAGGCTGACTTTGAACTACTGGGCTCAAAATATCCTCCTAATTCAGCCTTCTGAGTAGCTGGGATTACAGGTGTGAGCCACCATCCCTGCTAATTTTTAAGTTTTTATGTTGATCTTCATTAATATTATCCCAAATACAGAAAATCTGTGGAGAAGACTGGATTAATTATTATTTACTTTAGAGCAAATAACAACTGCATGCTTCTCTGAATTACAATTTGAGTTACATGCTCTAATTTATTATTTTGGGGTAATGCTATGAGAGCGAGGCATAGATACCAAGGAAAATGAATCTGGATGCTTATATTTATATCATTCTCTTCCCTTCCTGAAAGAAGAGTGAAAGACATTCCTCTTTGTATAGAATTCTTATGTCATTTTTAACTTTTTTGAATGTGGAGAGATCTCATCACAAGAAATTTAAGCTCATTTTGTCAAGCTTTACAATACAAGCCTGTGTACATGGTTATGGATCTCATCTCTCTTTGGAATGTTACTTAACTTCTGAAGTTAGGTACATATTAATATATCTGGAATTTTTTAAACTCAAAATCTTAACTTTTATTATTGATTTTTTCCCAATAAGATTAAGGCTGATATTGCCACATTTGACAGATAAAGAAGCTGAGACCCCAAAATGGTTAGATTCAGGACATCACATAGTGAGAAAGCTGAGAGTGCTTTCTTAGGTCTCTTGTCCTCTTCTTATAAAGCCACCAGTTGTCATGCCTGTAATTCCAGCACTTTGGGAGGCTAAGGCAGGAGAATCGTTTGAACTCAGGAGATGGAGGTTGCAGTGAGCTGAGATCCTGCCATTGCACTCCAGTCTGGGCGACAGGGCGAGACTCCATCTCAATAAAATGAAAATAAAATAAAACCACGAGTTGCAAACCCATGATCTACCAACCCACTAATCTACTAATCCATAAACAGATTAATGCATTCATGAGGAGAGAGTCCTTATGACCTCATCAGCTCTTAAAGACTCCACCTCTCAGTACCTATGCTAGGGATAAAGTATAAACATGAGTTTTCAAGAGGACAAATATTTAACCATGGCATTTTATTCTTGGTCCTCCCCACTTGCATGTGAGAAGTAATGTCTTCTCACACACAAATATTTATTCCATTGCCATGGTCTCAACACCTTAACTTGTTCCAGCATCAATTCAAAAGCCCAAAGTTCCTAGTCTCAAATGTGAAATCTAAATAATGTATTTACTTCCAAGATGCAGTAGTGGTAAAGGCATAAGGTAGGTATTTCTATTCCAAAAGAAAGAAGTAACGGGTTCCAAGCAAATCTGAAACCCAACCCAGCAGACATTAAATTTTAAGCTGGAGAAATAACTTTTGACTCCATTTGCTGCCTTGTGGACACCCTGGTATAAGGAATAAATCCCAAAGGTTGTAGGAAGCCCCACTTCTATGGAGGCTTTGCTGGGTGCAGCTCATGTGGCTACTCAGAGGGTTAGAGTTCAGTGCCCGAAGCTTTCCCAGGCAGGTGTTACATGCTGCAAATGACTCCACAGTTCTGGGGTCCCTATAGTAGTCCCGCTGTTGCCTTAGTGCAGACCCTATAGTGGACTAACTTGCATGGCTCCACTAGGTATCACCCTGGTGGAGACTCTCTAGATACTCTGACCCCACATTTCTTGTTGGCCTTACTCTGGTAGAGGATCTCTGGATGCTACACCTTTGTGACAAGTCTTTTTCTGGTCCCCCTACACTTTCGACAACATCCTTTAAAATATCAGTGGAAACATTCTTTAAAAGATTGCTGGAACATACCACCATTCCTTTTGTACGCTGGGCCTGCATAATTGATACCATATGAATGCTACCAAGTATTTTCAGCTTGTCCATATTGGAGTGGCAAGTTGGGTTACACTTTGGACAACTTGAATGACAGCTGTGGTGGCAAAAAGGCACAGTGTTGGAATGCAAGGAGCGGAGATCTGAGGAGGACCCTGTGGTGTTCTGTGGAGGGTACTGTAGGTCTGCATCCTCAAATCATTCTGCTATTCTGGCCTTTTGACCTGTGGTGGGAAGTGCAGCTGGGAAGATCTCTGAAATCTTTTCAGGGACTATTTCCATTTTCTTGATTATTTCTCCTCTCTGTACTAATTGCCATAATAAAGGCTTACAGAGCTACTCCCTTGGTTATCTCTCAAACATGTTTTTTTTTACACAATATTTGGCTAGGCTGAGGTTTTCAAATCTTTTCACTCTGTTTTCCTCTTAACTGTAATTCTGCTTTTATCTTCTTCTTTCTCTTTTTCTGGCTATTGAATCTCAGCATAAACAGCCAAAAGCAACCATACAGCTTCTAAATATTTTGTTGAGAACTTTCTTCTGCCAGATACCCATTTTCATCACTCTCAAGTTTGGCCTTCCACAAAGACTGTGGACTTGGACATAGGTTAGTCAAGTTTTTTGCCAATTTATTACAGTTTCCAATACTTTATTCCCCCGTTCCATCTACCTTTTCAGAATGACCTTTACTGTTGATATTTTTATCAGCATTCTAGTCAAGATCTCTTAATCTCTAAAGAGTTTCAATCTCTTCCTACTTTTCTTGTCTCCTAAGGTTTAACCAGAATCAAGCCCTAATCCTCCAAATTCTTCCCGCCTCTGCTCATTATCTAGTTTTAAATCCGTTTCCACATTTTCAGGCATTTGTTTTCATCAAGCCTCCCCTTCTGATGTTAATTTTCTGCCTTAATCTGTTTTCTAATGCTAGTAACATCATACTTGACATGGGGTAATTTATTTTTCAAGAATATATATATATATATTTTTTGCAGGTATGGATAGGCCACATCTAGTGAGGGCCTTCTTGCTGGTGGGAACTCTGCAGAATCTGGAAGCAATGTAGGGTGTCATATGTTGAGGGGGCTGAGTGTCTAGCTCATGTATCTCTTTACTTCTCATATAAAATTACCAATCCCACACCTGTGATAACCCAACCTATTCATGAGGGCAGAACCATTCTGGCCTAGTTCCCTCTTAGAGGTCCCATTTGTTAATACTGCCACATTAAGTGTTAAATTCAACCTGAGTTTTGGGAGGGACAAATATTTAAATTATAGAAATTCTAAACTACTTTATGTTAACAAATCTAGGAATTTAGATTAAGCGGACAAATTTTTGAAAGTTATAAACTAATAAGTTCACTTATAAGAAATGGATAATCTAAATGGTAGAGTTAACTTTTTTTTGAAAGGAAAATAATACTAATTCAAATATTTGCAAACAAACAATAAATAAGAGGAAGTACTTTGCTGGGCATGGCCACACCTGTAACTCCAGCACTTTGCAAGGCTGAGGCAGGTGGATCACCTGAGGTCAGGAGTTTGAGACCAGCCTGGCCAACATGATGAAACCCAGTCTCTACTGAAAATACAAAAAAAATTACCTGAATGTGGTGGCAGGTGCCTGTAACCCCAGTCACTTGGGAGGCTGAGGCAGGAGAATCGCTTGAACCCAGGAGGCAGAGGTTGCAGTGAGCTGAGACTGTGACATTGTGCTCCAGCCTGGACAACATGAGCGAAACTCCATAACAAAACAAAACAAAACAAAGACGACAACAACAACAAAAGGAATTACTTTTCAACTCATTCTGTGTAACTAGCATTATTCATATATATATATATACACACATATATATACACACACATATATATACACATATATATACACACACACACACACATATATATATATACATACATATATATATATAAAACCAGATAAGCCAGGTGGAGTGGCTCACTCCTGTAATCCCAGCACTTTGGCAGGCCAAGGTGGGTAGATCACCTTAGGTCAGAAGTTCAAGACCAGCCTACCCAACATGGCAAAACCCCATCTGTACTAAAAATACAAAAAATTAGTCAGGCGTGGTGGCAGGTGGCTATAATCCCAGCTACTTGGGAGTCTAAGGAAGGATTATCGCTTGAACCCAGGAGGCAGAGGTTGCAGTTACCCGAGGTTGCACCATTGCACTCCTTCCTGGGCAACAAGAGTGAAACTCCATCTCAAAAACACACGCCAAAAAACCGCCAAAAAAACCCACACAAAAAAAATACAAAAACAGATACAACACATAAAGCATTACAAGGAAAGAAAATTAGATAATTACGGAAAATATCTTCAATCAATGTGATGCCTATGTCCTAAAAAATTTAGTAAACCAAATGTAGAGATTAAAAATATATTATACTGTTATACTATTGCCAAGGGTATTATTACAGGAATACAGAAATAGAAAAAGAACTAGTGTTAGTTATCTAGATGGGTATATTAAAACATTTGACAAAACCCAACATCCATTCTAATACACAATGACAATTTCTCAAACAGATTTTAAGAAGCCATATACAAATATCTGAAACCAGTCTTATGCTTAATGGTGAAAGGCTGAATACTCTGCCCAAAATTATCAGGAACAAGACACGGATGCCTACTGTTACTACTGCTATTCAACATCAAACTAGATATTCCAGCTAGTATAATAAAAAGTGAGTAAAAAACATCCAGACTCCAACAGGAAAATTAAAACTATTCACTGTTTCACCAAAAAAAGACATAAATGACTAACAGGCATATAAAAACATTCTAAGTATCACTAATCATTACAGAACTGCAAATTAGGACTGCAGTGAGATATCACATCACACCAATTTGGCAATTATAAAAAAAGATAAATATTGATGAAGATATGGAGGAAAAAAACACTTGCACACTGTTGGTAGAAATGTAAATTAACATATACATCTTGTTTCCACAAGATGGCACATTGGAGGCAGGGTTTGTTTGCCTCTCCTACTTTTAAGAAAAGAATGTGTGTAGAGATTCACACTGTGAACTTTTTTTCACATAGGAACTTAAAAACTGAAAGAATCCACAGATCCTCTGAAAGACATGGCAGGCTGCAGCCTACTCTGAGACAGATGAAAAACTAAATCCCCAGAGAGTTAGAGCGGGAGAGACTGCCTCCAGAATACTCATTTCCATTGGAGAATCTGAAAATCCAGGCCACAGGAGAAGGCCTTAACCCTACCCGGAGCTGGAACTCATTCAGGGAGCAGCAATAAAAATATAGTTAGAAATAGCAGTGGGAAGTGCCTTGCAGACATTCCCAGTATCCAGTGTAGACTCAGGGAAGGCATTCTTGAATATATCTCACAGGGGACCTCAGAGAAGTCAGCTAAGTAGCTTAGAGATGGATTGCAGGGTGAAAGAAACTTTCAACAGAATTTCATAATATAATCTTGACTGGTGACAAATTTCCTTTGCTGGAACCCAGACGGTGATTGGGAAGTGCCCTGTGGACACAAATGCAGAAGCTGGACACCTGGTCTTGCAGGCAGACAGAGAGGAGCATGGCCTGTATGCTGCAGCTGCTGTCTCTGCAAGGAAAGCTAATGGCCTGGAGCAGGCCTCATTTCTGTGTGTAGGCTGCCTGGATCTATATCTGGTGCTACTGGCACTGTGGGAATGAGAGTGGCCTTGCCAAATGCATGGGAGCTGGGTGAAGTTTGCTGCCACTTGCTTCTCTCCACTGCCATTGGCAAATCTGTTCAGCAGAGGCAGTTATGCACCTACCTGGAACATTACACCAGCAGCCTGAGAACCACTCCCTTATTCTCACAGGGACTGAGGCTTGTCCCACTTAAGGAGACACAGAACACAGACCTACGTAACCCTGCCTCCACCTCACTGTACCTCTTTACCCATGCTAGTAGCTTTACAAAGAACAAAAAACATACACTTTTGGCAGCTTTCTAGCCCTACCCATTGTCTCAGAAACTGGATTACTTCCCCTAGGCAACTTAGGGCAAGCTCAAGTCCCATGGCTTCTACTGCAGTAGATGCTCTTTTGCAAATACCACCTAGCTGGAGGCCAACCAACAGTCTATTACAGGATCTCCAAGTAGAACAACACTGCATCCAAAAAGAAAAAAATAGGTGTGTGAGCTCAGCTATCACCACCTTCTACAATGCCCTGGCTAACCAGTGGTCCTGAGTCTGCCCACATGACCGTTCACTACAGTTATAACCAGCATTTGAGAAAGCCAACAGAGTAAGCCTATCTACAACCAACGAGTCAGAGTCTGCTTCACTCCCCTGACACTCCATCAAA